>NC_000023.11:15773851-16076881 GCF_000001405.40 Homo sapiens
CCTAAAAGCACATTTTAAATGGTTATTCCTTGAAGAAGAAATTTGTCTTTAACTCCTGCATAATTTCCATATGGAGGATCTATTTCTCTCAATATAAACATCTTCTCTCCTGTAGATGCAAGTGGATTTCGAATATTGGTATTTCATTCAAATCAAGATGGGACTGGACAAATGTTGATTGCTCACTGAAGTGTCACTTTGTTATATGAATTTTCTATTTTTCTCCCCAAATAAATCCCTTTATTCTAAAATAATATTAATTGCTGCTCTTGCCTAAATTTCTTCCTGATCTTTGTTTCTATCTCATTTTGGATTGTCATATGGTTTTCTTGGTGGCTTTACTTTGGGTGAGGAAACATGTTTAAATGTCATAGGTTGACTGAGGCTGTGGGTTTATTCTGGAGAGATTCTGTATAGTCACGTGTTAACCCTCTTTTCATGGTGTTTCAGCTGCACTTAGTGCATTGGAACGCAGTCAGATTTGAAAACTTTGAGGATGCAGCACTGGAAGAAAATGGTTTGGCTGTGATAGGAGTATTTTTAAAGGTAAAATATCTCACCAACTTTAAATGACGTGTTGTATTCTAGGATGAAAAGATAGAACAGTATAATATTGTTATTTACTTTAAGAATGTTGGGATCCATACATTGGTAAGATAAATAGTGCTTGAAGTACAGGATTGTTAAGAATATATTTTAGGGCCAGGCATGGTGGCTCACGCCTGTAATCCCAGCACTTTGGGAGGCCGAGGCAGGCAGATCACTTGAGGTCAGGAGTTCGAGACCAGCCTGGCTTCCATGGGGAAACCCTGTTTCTACTAAAAATACAAAAATTAGCCAGGCATAGTGGTGCGCACCTGTAATCCTAGCTACTCGGGAGGCTGAGGCAGGAGGATCGCTTGCTTGAGCCTGGGAGGTGGAGGCTGCAGTAAGCCAAGATTGTGCCACTGCACTCCAGCCTGGGCAACAGAGCGAGACTCCATCCCCCCCACCACCAAAAAAATATATATATTTTAAATGATATAAAAATGCACAGCCCAATAGAGTGGTCACAAGCCACATGTGGCAATTGAGCACTTGAAATGTGTCTACTGCAGTTCTGGAACCATTTTTCATTTTATTTAATTTTAATTTCAATTTAAGAACTTAAATGAAGCAGGGGGCACCTTTCACTGCAGGCATGCTGACCTTGTCAGCAAACAGCCTGCTGATTTGTTCTCTAATTTAATTCAGTAATGTTTATAAAATTATAAATTACAAGTTTAAGTGTAATTTCAGTCATGCAGTTTGTTTTTATGTAATCACCAGGTAGTTAATTTTAATTCACATTCTGTTACAGTTTCTACAGTGAGATGTCCATTGTTTGTAATATTTTCTTACTTGTTGTTCTTTAGCTAGGCAAACATCATAAGGAGCTACAGAAATTAGTGGATACTTTGCCGTCAATTAAGCATAAGGTACTATTTGTTTTCCTTAATTACTTGAAATATACTTTTATGTTTCAATCTCAGAGCGGAGACATTACCAAGGCACTTTGAATTGGGAAGTTTAATTAGGTGAACTGTATTCAGCCTTAGAAGAAAACTTGCCATTTATGATTCCAGGGGACAGAAGTCATCATTCTGTGGGTAGGCAGTGAGCTTTCTGGTTTTGCTGCAGTGCCGCTGAGGACTTGGGGACTCAGGAACATATTGCTGTCCCCTCCTCTGTTCCTGACACCGGCTCCTTCTAAGTCCTTGTGAACACACCCAGAGCAGCCTTCTGTTCTGTAGCTGCCATCCCACAGGCAGGGAGCAGAGCGCAGTTCTACAGAAACTTGCCTTGTCCAGCTAGAAAGAACAGTAATCCACATCCTTCAGGTCGGATGCCTTTGTCCAGTCCCCCAATATTAATTCTTCAATATTCAGAATCTCAAAGGGCTGCTCTCTGGAGGCCCATATATTCTCTTCTTCTCCCTCTCATCCCCCACTGTATCCCTCTGGTCCCCACCTCTTTCCCTCTCCTTTCCTCTCTGGAAGCCCGTATATTATCTCCCCCCATCCCCCACTCTGACCTTCTGGTCCCTACCTCTTTCCCTCTCCTCTCATCTCCATTTTCCTGTTTTT
Source organism: Homo sapiens (assembly GCF_000001405.40). Lineage (NCBI taxonomy): Eukaryota > Metazoa > Chordata > Mammalia > Primates > Hominidae > Homo > Homo sapiens. The sequence goes on from NC_000023.11 coordinate 15,775,957, forward strand.
CCCTCTCTTTCCTTTTAGTTCAGGTTTCTGGCTCCTCCTGAGCTGCATTTCTTCTTAAAAGGACAATTCTCAGTTAGCCTCTCGAAAATGCAAAGCCTCCAACCGGGCGCAGTGGCTCACGCCTGTAATCACAGCACTTTGGGAGGCCGAGGCTGGCGGATCACGAGGTCAGGAGATCGAGACTGTCCTGGCTAACACAGTGAAACCCCATCTCTCCTAAAAAATACAAAAAATTCGCCGGGCATGGTGGCGGGCGCCTGTAGTCCCAGCTACTTGGGAGGCTGAGGCAGGAGAATGGCGTGAACCCGGGAGGCGGAGCTTGCAGTGAGCCGAGATTGCACCACTGCACTCTAGCCTGGGCGACAGAGCGAGACTCTGTCTCAAAAAAAAAAAAAAAAAAAGAAAAAAGAAAAGAAAATGCAAAGCCTCTTTCTTTATGCACTGGCCGCTGTCTAAAACCTCTCAACAAAACTCAGAGGAGACTACCTGCTGGAACCTCACTAGAATTGAGAGATCAAGTGGTTTTGGCCGTTTTCCCACAGGGGAATATAAAAAATGCACAGTTAATTCCAGAAACAAAGCCAGGCATGATACCATCCTAAGCAGCGATTCTTCAGGTAGCTGCCCAGAAAGGCCTGGAGCTGCTCTGGACCACTGCTGATCTCCAGATACTCCCTGAGAACCGTCACCTCGGCGTCCAATTCCTGAGTGGTTTTCACTACTAAATAATGACTCGGTTATCTCTTCTCTTGGCCAGGACGCCCTTGTGGAATTTGGGTCATTTGACCCTTCCTGCCTGATGCCTACCTGCCCAGATTACTGGACCTACTCAGGGTCTCTGACTACCCCACCCCTCTCCGAGTCTGTCACCTGGATCATTAAGAAGCAACCAGTAGAGGTTGATCATGATCAGGTATGTTCTCTCCATAATTTCAATCTAAGGAAATCCTTGTCTGCCCATGTAAAACAAGGCTGGGCTCAGACTGTGGCATCAGTTTTAACATCTTGTAATGCTTATACATTTTTATTGAAGTGTACCAACGTCTTGTCTCAGTTTGGACATGAATTTGGGGATGTTTCAAATTAACTAGAGAGAAGAGTTAAAACACAGAAGAACATAAGTTTTTTACATTTATATTTGACAATTACATATGTCTTCTTATGCCTTGTGTATTTTATATATAAATATTAAACTCTATACAAAATCAAGACCCTTTTAAAGGGAAGAGTGAAGGCTGGAAATGAATGTGTTCAAAACTGTTTAAAATCCTTAAGGGAATTCTGCTATGGAATCTCAGGATAAATACAGAATTCAACAATGTTTGTCCAGAAACTTTAATGTAAGTCCATTTTTTGAATTTGGGATCTATTTTTCCCTTAGAAACTAAGTCTAAGTAGTATTTACTATGCAAACACTCAAAATCCTGTATAATGTATAATATAAACTACAATAATATTTACTCATACTTGTTTTATGGGATTTTTATTGATTATAAAGCATTTTCATAAGAAAAAAAGCTTCCAAATTCTTTTTATGAAGCCAGCATAACTGATACCAACACTCACCAAAGATTGGACCCCCCTCTGAAGAATATAAAAGAAAAAAAAGCTAAAAAGAAAATATTAGAAACAGAATCCAGCAGTACATCAGAAGAAATATACACTTTGTCCAAGTAGCTTTTACTCCAGTAATACAAGTATGGTTCATGTTAAGAATGATATTAATGTAATTCATTCTATCAGTGGATCTAAATAGAAAAATCATATTATCATTTCCAGGGAAGTTAAAAAGACATTTGTAAAAATCACCATTCAGTTTTTGAAAATTTTTAATAAAACAGAGCTGAATAGAGACTTCCCTATCTTGATAAAAGAGATTGATCTCAGTTCAAAAGCAAATAGTAGGTTTTGAATGGAAAGGATTGTTACCGTATTAAGTTTTATATTAAATTACATTCTGGAAGTAGCCAGTACAGTTAGACTGGAAAATAAAAAATAAATTAGAGAAACAATAAAAAACGACTACAAAAATCAGAGATAATTTGGTAATCAGTGGAATACAATATCAATTTCTAGAAATCAATACATTTGACATATATAAATCACAATCAGCTAAAAGATATGATATAAAGATATAATGTAAGAAAGGCTCCTATTTATAATGGAAACAAAAATATAAAATACTTCGGAATAATTTTAACAAGGAAAGCTAATAAGAAAACTTAAAATGTTCCTGGAGGATACAAAAGAAGGCTTGAATTAATAAAGTTAACACATTATAGGATCAAAAGACATAAAAACACCTTTTTTTGTCATAAATGACAACCTAAGTTGTCATTCTCCATGAATTATTTATTCACCATAAATTTATGTATTCCCAATAAATATGCCAATAGGATTTTTAAATTGATATGCTATTTCTAAACTCATGAATAAAGACAAACACATAAATAGCCAGGGAAAATTCTAGAAAAATACGGGATAATTAGACTCACAAAGTTATAAAGCCTCAATAATTAAATAGCGTGTTCCTGGCACATGGATAAAGAGATCAATCAAGGGAAGTATATTAGCGTTCTCCAGAGAAACAGAACCAATAGGATATATATTGTATTAGTCCATTTTCACACTCCTATAAAGAACTACCTGAAACTGGGTAATTTATGAAGAAAGGAGGTTTAATTGACTCATAGTTCCACAGGCTTAACAGGAAGCATGACTGGGAGGCCTCAGGAAACTTAAAATCATGGCAGAAGGCAAAAGGGAAGCAAGGACCTTCTTCACATGGTGGCAGAAGAGAGAGAGAGAGATGGGGGAAGTGCCACACACTTTTAAACCGTCAGATCTCATGAGAACTCTTTCACTATCACGAGAACAGTAAGGAGGAAATCCACCCTCATGATCCCCTCCCCTGACACAGGGGGATTACAATTCGACGTGAGATTTGGGTAGGGACACAGGGCCAAACCACACCAGATATAGATAAAGATAAAAAAAATTAAGAAAGACAAAGTTAGATAAATAACCCTATAAAGGTTAAATAACCTTAACTCTATAACCCTATAAAGATAAATAAAGAAAAAGATAGATAAAGTTGTATCATAAGGTATTGGCTATGTGATTATGGAGACTAAGAAGTCTTACAATCTGCCATCTGCAAGCTGGAGACCCAGGAAAGACAGTGGTGTAGTTCAAAGGCCTGAGAGCTGGAGAGCTGATAATGTAGATTTCTATCTTGGTCTGAAAGCCTGAGAACCAGGAGCTCCGAAGAAAGGAGACGATTGATGTTCCAGCTCAAGCAATCAGAGCAAATTCAGCCTTCCTCTGCCTTTTTGTTCTATTCAGACCCTCAGTTTATTGGATGACTCCCATCTACTTTAGGGAGGGCCATTCACTTTACTCAGTCTACCAATTTAAATCCTAATCTCCTCCAGAAACACCTTCATAGACATACATAGACACAGTATTTAACCTGTCTGTGCATCCCATGACCCAATCAAGTTGACACATAAAATTAACCATCACAGGAAGAAAATAATAATTTCAGAAATATATCCAAATACATATGAGAATTTATTTTATGATAAATATAGCATCTCAACTCAGTAGGCAGGAAAGATAGAGTATTCAGTATTTGGTAAATGCTGTTGAGGAATAATTGAGCAGGCATTTGGGGGAAAAAAATTGGATCCATCATTCAGACCTTACACAGGAATACATTCCAGATATATTACATGTAAAAACTACCACCATGAAAGTACTAGGATAAGCATAGGAAAATCCTTTTATGCCTGCAAATGTATAGGCTTTGTGGCCTATACATTTAGTCTGTTTCTATTCTTTGGATTAAAAAATTGACACATTTCCTTGACTTATATTCCTTCTAGAAAAACAAATGGACATAACATTGAAAAACAAATAAAGCAAATACATCAGAGGGTCAGTGGCCCATGTGAGGACTTTGTAAATACGATTTCAACAAAATTTTAAAATTTATTTTTCAATTATATAATTTAAAATTTTATTTTCTGGTCTAACTGTACTGGCTACTTCTAGAATGTAATTTAATATAAAACTTACGGTAACACTGAAAATTTAGTAAGGAAAACAGTGCTACCTGTCATCTATAATATTATCCTAGTTGCCTATAATTTTACCACTATCATTGTTTGGGGAAATCCTTCTGGTCTCTTGTCTGTCCAGATGCACATAAGTCCTTATGGTCTTTTATCTATATAAATATACACAATTTTTGTATGAAAATGGAATCATTCTGTACATACCATTTTGCTGCTCTTTTCACTCAGTGATGCCTGGAACATTTTTTTTTTTTTTTAAGACGGTCTCTAGCTGTTGCCTGGGCTGGAGTGCAGTGGCACGATCTCGGCTCACTGCAACCTCTGCCTTGCACGTTCAAGCAATTCTCCTGTCTCAGCCTCCCAAGTAGCTGGGATTACAGGCGCCCGCCACCACGCCTGGCTAATTTTTTGTATTTTTAGTAGAAATGGGGTTTCACTGTGTTGGCCAGGCTGGTCTCGAACTCCTGACCTCGTGATCCACCCGCCTCGGCCTCCCAAAGTGCTGGGATTACAGGTGTGAGCCACCCCACCCAGCTGCATGGAACATTTTATAGATAATGAACATCTTCAGTATTATTTTTAAGGACTATATACTAGTTCATTTCATAGATCAGATGTCATTTATCTTTGATACTTAGACTATTTCTAATCTTCTGCAATTAGCTGAATAAAAAGAAACATTAGCTACTTGTACAGCTTTCTAATTAGTGAGGGCTTTTGTGTAATTTGCATGTGCAGCCGCTGTGTGATATGTTCATTGCTTGCTTTCAGTCGTAGTTCTGCCTCTTCAGCTCTATTTGCCCTGAAGTCTTTGTTGCAAATGACTCTTCGCTTGCTTGTCTACTGTGCCCCAGGCTGTCTTCTCAGTTGTTACAATGAGGCAGATTGAATGAGGGGAAATGTGAATGGATTTTCCTGCTGGCCTGAAGTAAAGTATTTTGTTTTCTTTTTTTTTTTTTTGACATGGAGTTTCACTCTCGTTGCCCAGGTGAGAGTCCAGTGGCGCGTGCCCAGGTGAGAGTCCAGTGGCGCGATCTCGGCTCACTGCAACCTCCACCTCCTGGGCTCAGTAGCTGGGATTACAGGCATGAGCCACCACGCCCAGCTAATTTTGTAATTTTAGTAGAGACAGGGTTTCACCATGTTAGTCAGGCTGGTCTCGAACTTCTGACCTCAGGTGAGCCACCCGCCTCGGCCTCCCAAAGTGCTGGGATTACAAATGTAGGCCACCACGCCCGGCCTAAGTAAAGTATTTCATAACACAATTGGGTCTGAAACCAAGGGGCTACTGGTTGATACTGCAGCCACATCAGAGAACAAGCCGTTGATATTCTGGGTTGCTCCTTTTGCATTGAGTTGTATTGTCTAATATTGTAACCACTGGACACATGTAACCATTTACATTTAAATATAAATACATTAAAAATAAAATTCAGTTCCTCAGTTACACTGGCCACATTTCAAGTGCCCAGTAGCCACATGTGGCTTGTGACTACCGTAATGGACCGTGCAGAGGACATTTCCGTCATTGCAGAAAGTTCTATTGGACAGCACCAGCATAGAGCATCCTGTCTCCAGTTAAGACACCTACATGCAGCCTGGTGTGGTAGCTCACACCTGTAATCCCAGCACTTTGGGAGACCTAGCTGGGAGGATCACTTGAGGCCAGGAGTTCAAGACCAGCCTGGGCTGAACATAGCAAGACCCTGTCTCTACAAAAAATTAAAAAATTAGCTGGGTGTGGCAGCATGTGCCTATAATCCCAGCTACTTGGGAGGCTGAGGTGGGAGATCACCTGAGTCCCAGAGGTTGAGCCTGCAGTGAATCATGATCACACCACTGCATTCTAACCTGGGTGGGTGACAGAGTAAGACTTTGTCTTTAAAAAAAACAAAAAAAAAAAGAAAGAAAGAAAAGGAAAAAAAAAAGACGTTTATATTCATTGCTTTGCCCACAATACCCAGGTGCAGTGAGCAATCAATAATACTTATTTTATGTTCATGATTCAGTTAAATTGTTTTATAAACCCACTTTTTTTGGTGTTGTTAGTATATGCATCAGGGCTTTCCTTTCTCATTCTGTAAGCTGGCTGTTTTGCTCATTTAAAGAGGAAGTTCTTGAGAATGAAAGAGATGAATTAACTCATCCTTGGTAAATGGATAATATGTGGGGACAGGGCCTTTGCCCCAAGTCTTTGGATCCCAAGTGCCCTCCTGGTTTCACCACCTCTTGCTGCTCTCCTCCCCACAGGACCACCATCAGGATCACCACCACCACTGGGCATTTTATTCCCTGTCAAGTGGTGAAGGCGTTCTTACCCAGAAATAACTTCTCCTTCTGTATCTAATTTGCAACGAATGCTCAGAATTGTAAAAATGAAAGTAATTTATTCACGAGGTAAAGCGAGTTTTCTGTTGAAATTATTTATGCTTTCTGTTTCTATTTCTAGCTTGAGCAATTTCGGACCCTGCTTTTCACTTCCGAAGGGGAGAAAGAGAAAAGAATGGTGGACAACTTCCGCCCCCTTCAGCCACTGATGAATCGCACTGTTCGTTCATCCTTCCGGCATGATTATGTGCTGAATGTACAAGCGAAACCCAAGCCGGCCACCAGCCAAGCAACCCCCTAAAACATTCATATCTAGGCAGTATTTTGCTTTTGCTTTAATATATACTAGCTTACTATAAATTGTTAACTAGACTATTCTAAGTGCCTGCATTTGATAATATTTACAGATGTGCATTTCTTAGCATGAGAGTGCTTCATCAGTCTTTGAGGAAGGCTATTCGGTACCAGCAAGAGACACAAGTTTCTCTTACAGATACCTGTTGGTAATTGTAATGCCTTTTTTTTTTCTTTAAGAGACTAGGTCTTGCTCTGCTGCCCAGGCTAGAGTGCAGTGGCCAAATGATAGCTCACTGCAGCCTTGAACTCCTAGGCTCAAGCAGTCCTCCTGCCTTAGCCTCTAGAGTAGCTGGGGCTACAGGTGCTGGCCGCCTGGCCCAGCTTGTAATATCTTTTTATGTCTGACATTTTTGAGCTATCTTTTTATGTTTATCCATTAGTGGTTCTATAGCACTATACATAGGGATTATAATCAAAATTTTTAACATGTGGTAAGGCACAGACACTGACCAGAACTCAGGCCTTGCAGAAACAGCCTATGGGCCCAGACTGGTACTTCCTGGCTGAATATTGGCCATGGTTTTAGATGTATTTTATTTTATAACATGAATGTGTATTCTTTCATAAGGGCTTATCAGTCAGTATATTTGCCCCAGTGTTTAGTTGTTACAAGGACATGATATGCTTACTTACTATCAGTTTATGATGTAGAAAATATATTTTGTAATTATAAGAAAACAAGACTTTTCCTATACCCAGAAATCCCTTTGCATTTCCGAAGATCAGATATTTTGCTTAAAGGTCTGATCATATAGGAAATATATGCAGAACATTTTAAAGAAAATGCCTGGCTGGGCACAGTGGCTCACACCTGTAATCCCAGCACTTTGGGAGGCTGAGGCGGGTAGCTCACTTGAGGTCAGGAGTTTGAGACCAGCCTGGCCAACATGATGAAACCCTGTCACTACTACAAATAAAAAATTAGCCAGGCATGGTGGTGAGCACCTGTAATGCCAGCTACTCGGGAAGCTGAGGCTGGAGAATCGCTTGAACCCAGGAGGTGGTGGTTGTAGTGAACCAAGATCACACCACTGCACTCCAGCCTGGGCAACAGAGTGAGACTCTGTGTCTAATAAAAAAAAAAAAAGAAAAGAAAAGAAAAAATGCTTAAAGTGCCTAGAACTTAGAATTCTTTCATTGCACATTTCCAGAAATATTTTTCTTTTCTTTTTTTTTTTTTTTTTTGAGATGGAGTCTCGCTCTGTCCCCCAGGCTGGAGTGCAGTGGCACTATCTTGGCTCACTGCAACCTCCACCTCCCGGGTTTAAGCGATTCTCCTGCCTCAGCCTCCTGAGTAACTGGGACTACAGGCACATGCCACCACGCCCAGCTAATTTTTGTATTTTTAGTAGAGATGGGGTTTCACTATGTTGGCCAGGCTGGTCTTGAACTCCTGACCTCAGGTGATCCACCCGCCTTGGCCTCCCAAAGTGCTGGGATTACAGGCGTGAGCCACCGTGCCCGGCCTTCCAGAAATATTTTTCAAAGGACTAGTAATCTAATAGCCTATAGTTTATATTATTATTTTGTATTATTTGCACGCTGTTACATAGTATATAATGATAATGTTTTCTACAGTGAAAGAGCTATCCCGTCTTCCCTTTACAACTGTCTGAACTTTATTTACTCATTAGTCAAGGTTCTTTGCAAGGCAGGTGATTAACTTAAATATCTCAGTTTATACAGTGGTTTAAAAGACTTTTGTTATGGTAATAGGGAGAGAAACTTGTCAGATAGGCTAAAATCTAGATAATTCTACATATTCTGAGGAATTCATGCTCCTGTGGCTCTTGCTTATAAATATCTTGGAATGTTTCTGAATGCCTCTAAGCCTATGTTCAGACTCTGTTGCGTCAATGACTGGTAGTATTTCTTTCATTAATATGTTTGTCATCTGGTCTGCAAGATAGGGTTGGATGAATATACTTAACACTACTGAACTGTACACTTAAAGATCGTTAGGAAGGAAACGGGACTACATCAAACTTAAAAATGTCTGTGTGTCAAAGGAAGCAATCAACAAAGTGAAAACGCAAGCTCTAGAATGAGAGAAAATAATTGCAAATCGTCTATCTTATAAGGAGCCCAAATCCAGAATATATGAGGAACTTCTACAACTCAACAACAAAAAACCAAATAACTCAATTTTTAAAAATGGGCAAAGGACTTGCACAGACATTTCTCCAAAGAAGTTATACAATTGGCCAATAAGAACATGAAAATATGCTCAACATTGCCAATTATTAGGGAAATGCAAATCAAAACCACAATGAGATATCGTCTCACGCCCATCATGATGGCCACTATCAGAAGAACAAAAAAATAACAAGTATTGGGGAGGATGCAGAGAAGTTGAAACCCTTGTGCACTGTTGGTGGTAATGTAAAACGGTGCAGTCATTACGGAAAACAGTACACAGGTTTCCCAAATAACTGAAAACAGAATTACCATAAGAATTACCACCAAAGCGGGATCTCAAAGAGATATTTGTACACCCATGTTCATAGCAGCATTATTCACAATAGCCAAGAGGTTCTGGAAGCATCCCAAATGTCCATCAACAGATGAATAGATAAAGGAAATGTGGTATATACAGTCAATGGAATATTATTCAGCCTTTAAAAAGAAGGAAATCCTGTCAAATGTACAATGTGGATGAACCTTGAAGGCATTATGCCAAGTGAAATAAGCCAGCCAACAAAAGAACAAATGCTATATGATTCCTCCATGTGAAGTATGCAAAGTAGTCAAAATCATACAATAGAAAGTAGAAAGGTGGTTGCCAAGCAACGGTTGGGGGAAGGGGAGAGGGTGAATTTGTATTTAGTGGGTACAGAGCTTGTGTTGCAAGAATTCTAGAGATCTGTTGCAAAACAAGTGTGATTGTACTTAACACTACTGAACTGTATACGTATAAGTTTGAGAAATATCTCTTTTAAAAAGGGGGAAATGTGAAGGCTTTTGCATGTATGCCCTAGGAAATGCATAGAATTCTTAGAAAGGTAAACATGGTAAAAAAAGAAGTCTTTGTTAACTTTCTGCAGTTCACCTGTTTCAAAGTATAGTTACCTTTAAAAGGGTAAACACACAAGATATGCATTTTCCAAAGCATACAGGCTTTCCTCCTAGCTGTCTTGTTTTTTATTTTTTTTTATTTTTTTTATTTTTTTGAGACAGAGTCGCGCTGTCACCCGGGCTGGAGTGCAGTGGCGCGATCTCGGCTCACTGCAAGCTCCGCCTCCCGGGTTCACGCCATTCTCCTGCCTCAGCCTCCTGAGTAGCTGGGACTACAGGCGCCCGCCACCACACCCGGCTATTTTTTGTATTTTAAGTAGAGACAGGGTTTCACCGTGTTAACCAGGATGGTCTCGATCTGACCTCGTGATCCACCCGTCTTGGCCTCCCAAAGTGCTGGGATTACAGGTGTGAGCCACTGTGCCTGGCCTTCCTAGCTGTCTTGTGAAACGATAAGTCAAAACCCTACTGCAGTGAGTTTTCCAAACTGAAGGGAGAAGCAATGTACAGAATGCCTGACTTGCCCTTACATCTTATACCTGGTGTTCTGGCATGATTATTAACCACACTCTTTTTCACTTTGAACCATGTCCTGGTTTGCATGGCCAGCTTCCCTGCAGAGGTGATAGAAACTGACTTGAGGCAGTTTCTTTCTCCATGCCTTAGTTAGATGACCCTCAAAGGGGCACAGCAGATTTCCCTGGCTACTGATACACCTTAACAAGAAGCTTGTGTTTTTTATGCCCTCAAAAGTGTTTTACTTATACTTTCCTAGACATAAAGGTGGAAAATGGGCCTAAGGTCTGTCAAAGGTCTTGGAAAAGAAGATTGTATTAAAATTGCTGTCCGTCTTCATTAAATAATACTAGATCGATACAATGCTTTCTTTACAGTATTAGTGGTTGGTGAAAGACTTCCTTCCTATTGTTACAGTATATGTATATATCTGTAAAATTAATGAGATATCCTTTAACTTGTAGATTAGAAAGCGACTAAAAACTCATAGGGGATTTACTAAAGAAGCAACAATGGGAAGAAGCAGCCGATCCTCCTCAGTGCACCTTTTTCTGTTGCACAGTACAGTGCACAGTGTGCTGGCATCACCATATAGGGCAAGCTGTGACCGCCTTTCTCCTTTCCCAGGGCTACATGGTGCCAAGCAGGTTCAGTGTACACTGGTTACCAACCTGTCTGATTCCATTGTGACAGAACACACTCACACCCAATACATTACATGAAGCAGATTTATTACTTACAGACAGGAAGCAAGGGACAAAAGAGGCCCTGGCTCCATTGTGAGCCAGTCCCCCAGGGCTCAAGAAAGCTGCCCAGGGCGGGGCTGATGGAGTCTTGATTGTACGTGCCCCACTTGCACCACAGCCTGCCTTGGGTTATATACCATAGGAGCCACATAACTCATTGGGCAAAGCTTTAAAGTACATCCTCCTTCCAGGGGAAAGAGGAACACAACCTCGCTGTCTCAAACAGTTCCCTAAATCAAGATGTTACATTCCCTAGGAGGGACAACAACAAGGCCAACCTGTTTCAGGCAGTTCCTCCATATCAGGATATTGCATTCCCAGTGCATTCTACAGTTATTCTTAAGAACTACAAGCAAGGAAGAAGGGAGAACTGGGTCAGTCCAAGGCCACCTGGAGAACTGTCTTGTACATGGGTTAGGGTAAAGTTGGCTATTCTAAAACTAAGCATCCGCCCAAAAGAAGTCTTGGAAGATGTCTTTCCCTGTTAAATTCAGATGATGGTAATTATAGTTTGGAAGTGGAATTGGCTTTTAGAGTTACTTCCTGTAATGAAATTAACAAGCAATTCAGGCCTATTTCTGAAAATGAATTCAGTGGTTAATTGTTAAAAATAAATGTCTAACTCCTATAAAAGGAAATTTACATTCATTTCTAACTCACTAAAAAATCTATGGCCGGGTGCGGTGGCTCATGCCTGTAATCCCAGCATTTTGGGAGGCCGAGGCGGGCAGATTACCGGAGGTCAAGAGTTCGAGAACAGCCTGGCCAATATGGTGAAACCCCGTCTCTACTAAAAAATACAAAAATTAGCCAGGTGGTTGTGGCATGCACCTGTAATCCCAGCTACGCAGGAGGCTGAGGCAGAAGAATCGCTTGAGCCCAGGAGGCGGAGGTTGCAGTGAGCCGAGATTTCTTAGAAGGAATTGTTACTTATTGTTCTGAAGTGAAAGTCTGGTCTGATTCAGAAGAAATGTTACAACAACTTAAACACTGATGCTTTCAGAACGGGCAGCAATTCTCAGCGTAAATTCTGATCACAGGGACCAGCAAAATTGGTGAGTTGCATAGCTACAACATTCTGTGCCATCCAGGGCACTCTAGTTTGGGGATACAACTGCCAAACCTCCAACTAGAGAGTTTAGTTTAAGATTTAGTCAAGAAGCAGAAAGGTAAAGGTGACAATGTGTAGTAAACCATGATAGATGTTATAAAAGGTGGAATACTTGTACTGGAAATGCATACAGCGCCTCATCCCCTCTTGAGGGGTCAGGAAGTTTTCACACTAATGATGATGGTGATGAGATGATGTAACAGCTAAAGTTTTGGAGGCATTCACTATTGCTAGGCACTGTATCAGCATATAACATGGCTTATCTTACTCAGTTTTCACAATAAAAGGGTTATGAGATGGGAACTATTATTACTATCTTGATTTTTACAAATGAGAAAACAGGAGTAGACATTAAGGAATTTACTCAAGATCACAGCCAACCAATGCACTGAGCTGGACAAGGTCAACTTGGGGGTGAAGGGCATATGTGTTGCTCCAAGTGTGTCAGTATAAGAGAGATTAGGGTGAGGTTTTATGCAGAGTTTGGGCTTCAGCTGAGTAATTCTAAGGAGGGATTAGGGGAAGGAAGGCAGTTTAGTAATTGAGTATCTCAGAAACTTTAATTTGGAGGAGAACGGAACAAAGGTAGGCCAAGGAAGCTATTCAATCACTCAAAAGATAGAGGTTATTAGTCATTTTACAGCTGTAATGCATCCTTGTGAGGAACATTTTTTGCTTGGCCTTGTCCCTGGCCTTGTATGTGTACATTACAGTCTGATTATTAGTTGGGATGATTTTTAGTTTCTCAATCCCTACTCTCATTGCCCCAGTTTAATTCCTCAACACCTCTCACCTAGATTATTGTGATACTCTAGTTTTATCTTTTAAATCCTTTATATTGCAAAGCAGAGTGATTTACCTAAAACACAAACACAACCACAATAAGCCTCTATTTAAAAAGCTTTCAACGGTTCACTGTTGTCTCTACAGAATGTAAACAGAGCGTCTTAACATGGCACACCAGGCCCTCCTTAACCTAGCCCTCCCAGCCCATCACAACAACTATATTCCTTGATATTCTCGAATTGCACTTTATTTTGTTTTGTTTTTTTGAGACGGAGCCTTGCTCTGTTGCCCAGGCTGGAGGGCAGTGGTGCCATCTCGGCTCACTGCGGCCGCCACCTCCTGGGTTCAAGCAGTTCTCCTGTTTCAGCCTCCAGAGTAGCTGGGACTACAGGCATGTGCCACCACACCCGGCTAATTTTGTATTTTTAGTAGAGACGGGGTTTCACCATGTTGGCCAGGCTGACGAACTCCTGACCTCAGGTGATCCACCCGCCTAGGCCTCCCAAAGTGCTGGGATTACAGGCGTGAGCCGCTGCACCCAGCCTCGAACTGCACTTTAAATTGGATAGCTGGGCGGGCGTGGTGGCTCGCGCCTGTATTCCCAGCTACTCGGGAGGCTGAGGTGGAAGGATTGCTTGACCCCAGGAGGTCGAAGCTGCAGCGAGTCGTGATTGCGCCACTGCACTCCAACCTGGGTGAAAGACAAGACCCTGTCTCTAATATATAAGAAATGAATAAATAAATAAATTCGATTGCCAAAATTCTTGCTGTTCCCAGCATATTCCACTTTCACCTTTCAGCGCCTTTGCTTATGCTGATCTGACTGTAACTGCATTCCCACCCTTCTCCTTCTGGGTAAAGGGCATCTTCTTTCCAAACTCAACTCTTAGCATCAGAAAGCTGTCCCTGATACTGCAGTTGAGTCGCATGTGATACTGAAAAAAAAAGAAAAAAGGAAAAAAAAGAGAGCTCTCCCTGAATCCCTTGGTGGACTATGTTAGGTAAACTTCATCTTTGCCTGCATCATATTATGTATTGGTTCTTCTCTGCCCCCTCGATTGTAAACTCCTCAGGGGCAGAGGTAACAGCTTTGCAGCCCTGGGAGTTAGGTTTGCTTAAGGGACCAGAACAGGTGTGACTGGCAGGGAGCGAAGTCTGGAGCTTTGTCTGAGGCGCTGATAGGTGGATCGGCGGAAGGACGCGGAACCTGGACAGGTCGGAAATAAAGCCGGGCGAGCAGCTCTGTGCGCGATGTGACTTCATGAGTGGATGCTGAGAAAAGCGGCAGAGTACGACTTTAACCGCCTAGCCACAACACGTCCTGCTAGGGCGAGGAGGGAGACAGTGATACAGCACTGGGCAAGTGCTGAAGCGACAATTACTTCTAGGGCGGGGTAAAAGCCCCAGAGTATTTTTGCTGGAAGGAGGTATTTATTTGAGCAGGGTTCTGGAAGACGAGCCGCCGAAGGGTACCTCCGGCTTTCCGTTTCAAGTCCCACGCTGGTGGAGGTTGCTCGGTACCCGCGCCTGCGCGTGCCCGTCTCGACTCTTAGGCCCGCCCTTTCCTGCCAGACCTGGAGGGGCGGGGCGGTGCCGGCAAGATGGCTGCGCCCGAGAAGATGACGTTTCCCGAGAAACCAAGGTAAGCGCCGTACGGGGAGATGAGCAGGCGAGCGGGCCGATCGTGGGCATGGAGGATGTGGTGGCAGGAAGAAAAGAGAAGCTGGGCCAAGCTAAGTGAGCCACCGCGGCAGCTCCATTCCTTCCTGGTGCGCGCTCTGGTGCCCTCCCCGGACTTGCACGGGCGGCTGTGGCTCAGGCAAGCGAGGAGAGGATCAGGTTGGCGGATGGAGAAGAACTGTCTGGGAGTGGGAGGATGAGGCGATGATAGATGGCTGTTCTGTAATTAAAATACAGGAAGCAAGGTTTCTCTCCTCAGCACCCGAACTATTTCCTTTCATTGGGCACAGAGGAGCGGGGAGCTCGGGCAGCGCTGCATTGTAGCCGCTGATCGTCGTGTATATGTCTTAATCTTCCAGCCACAAAAAGTACAGGGCCGCCCTGAAGAAGGAGAAACGAAAGAAACGTCGGCAGGAACTTGCTCGACTGAGAGACTCAGGTGATGGACTCTTTATTCTGTTTTCTGTGTTGTGAAATTGCTCTGTCCACTCCAGCCCTAACTTGAAGCCCCAGTGTCAGAAGGAAGTCAAATATTGTGTCGGAGGAAAAATAGCTGTGACTTCTGCCCCCAAGTAGTTATTTAGAAACACATGTCAGAAACAATGTTAACATACTAAAGGCAGGAAGAGGAAGTCTTGGTGAATGATCGCCCACTGATTCTGTGTAACTTATAAAGTATCTAATATTACAGTTGCAAGCTTCATGAATTACAGCAGCTAGCACAGTCCTTGCACACGTAGTAAGTATTCGGTGAATGTTTTTCTTCGTAAAACCAGCAGGAGTTGAAGGTATTAATTAGACGTTTTGCAAGTTTTTCTCAAACTTGACTAATATGAGACCCTTGGTTTACCCAAATTATTATGTTATTCAAATATATATCAACATAATACTAGTTATGAAGCTCATTTATTTATTTTTGAGACAGGGTCTTGTTCTGTTGCCCAGGAGGGATGTGCACAACCACGGCTCACAGCAGCCTCCACCTCCCAGGCTCAAGCAGTCCTCCCACCTCAGCCTCCCTAGTAGCTGGGACTACAGGCATTCACCACCACACCTGGCTAATTTTTTCTTTTCTTTTCTTTTTTTTTTTTTTTTTTTTTGAGACGGAGTCTCGCTCTGTTGCCCAGGCTGGAGTGCAGTGGCACGATCTTGGCTCACTGCAGCCTCCGCCCCCTGGGTTCAAGCAGTTCTCCTGCTGCAGCCTCCCGAGTAGCTGGGATTACAGGCGTGCGCAACCACACCCGGCTAATTTTTGTATTTTTAGTAGAGATGGGGTGAAACCCCATCATGTTGGCCAGGCTGGTTTCGAACTTCTGACCTCAGGTGATCCACCCACCTCAGCCTCCCAAAGTGCTGGGATTAAAGGCGTGAGCTACCGCCCCTGGCCCACCTGGCTAATTTTTAAAATTTTCGTAGAGACGGGATTTCACTGTGTTGCCTGGGCTGGTCTCGAACTCCTGGCCTCAAGCAATCCTTCCACCTCGGCCTCCCAAAGTGCTGGGATTATAGGCATGAGCCACCACACCTGACCTGAAGCCATTGTTTGACTATAAAACAATATATGGGCTGGGCGCGTGGTGGCTCATGCCTGAAATCCCAGCACTTTGGAAAGCCGAGGCAGATGGATCACCTGAGGTCAGGGGTTCGAGACCTGCCTGGCCAACATGATGAAACCCTGCCTCTACTAAAAATACAAGATTAGCTGGGCTTGGTGGCAGGTGCCTGTAATCCCAGCTACTCAGGAGGCTGAGGCAAGAGGATCAGTTGAACCTGGGAGGCAGAGGTTGCAGTGAGCCGAGATCCTGCCACTGCACTTCAGTTTGGGCAACAGAGTGAGATTCTGTCTCAAAAAACAAACAAACAAATAAAAATACATTTATAAATTATAAAACTAAATGAAATTACACATTCGGTAAAATTTAAATCTACATCAGGTAATGCTAGGGATGATGTGAAACTAATGCTCCTCACAATATGTATATGGCACTGATGGGAGTTTGGAATGCCTCTACTAATGTTGCCTTATAGTTATTTACCACTTTTTCTATGAAATTACTGTAGAACCTTTATTTGTACAGATGGTCATTTGACCTTCACATGGCAAAACCTAACATTTATGTATTAAATCTACCTGCTTAATGCAATAAAATTAGGACTTAGTTATAAAATTATGTAGTAGTTATAAATCCAGATGGGAGCACTGAAATCACACAGTAGTACTGGCTTATAATGATTGTCATCCGCATTATCCAGAATATGCTCATGAAATTATCCTAGACAATTCTTAAAATCCAGAGACCATGGCCTCAAGTAACTAGGATTCTTGGACCTTGAGAAACATAGCCATAGAGGTTTTATTTACCATTGGTGTTCCTGAGTAATTATTTTAGTGTCAGTACTGGGATATTTAGAATGGAAGGAGCAGTGTGTTTAACTGCAACCTGTGTTAGCATTTCTGTCTTATTAGTTGAAAACTCATCCACTAGAGGCAGAACAAAGCATCAGGGATAAAAGGAAAAGTAGAATAGGTTGGAGTTATTGAGGCCCTTATTGTACTTCGTCTCTCCCCCCTTGAAATTTTCAGCTACTTTACTTTGTTCATTTAATCTGTTTTATTCTAAATATTATATATTCTAAATTTGTTTTAACTTCTTTCTCTTTTTCTTTTCCTGCACTAAATCCTATAACAGCTGGTATTTGTATTGTTTTGATTTTTTTTTTCCTTTTTACTTAGCAAAATGTGTTCAGAATGAGCCTCTGTGGAGAGTCAGGCGAGTCATGTCCCATGGTAGTTTAGCCCATTTTAATGGACTAAATCCAGGTCACTGGTCTGTCAAGATTATGTAACTAATGGCATATCCAAGACTAAGCACCTGTCTCTGCACTTCTGCTCCTACTTTTGCCCACTCCAACTCACAATTCTTTGCCTAGTGGTACTTCATGAATACTGTAGACTATGGAACACTCCTGGTTTTTTTTTTTGAGACAGAGTCTCACTCTCTCGCCCAGGCTGGAGTGCAATGGCACGATCTAGGCTCACTGTAACCTCTGCCTCCCAGGTTCAAGTGATTCTTCTGCCTCAGCCTCCTGAGTAGCTGGGATTACAGGTACCCACTATCATGCCCGGCTAATTCTTGTACTTTTGTAGAGATGGGGTTTCACCATGTTGGCCAGGCTGGTCTCAAACTCCTGATCTCAGGTGATCTGCCCACCTTGGCCTCCCAAAGTGCTGGGATTACAGGCGTGAGCCACTGCGCCCGGCCAGGAACACTGCTGTTTATTGTAGCACACGTTAGATGGGTAAACATTACCCAGAAGGCTAGAATGTTGAGTGTAACTATGAGAGTGCCTTGGCAAATGATTGGAGTGCCTTGGCAAATGATTTCTGGAATAGTGAGCTCTTAATTACAGATAGCTTCTTTGGCATCCATTCTACTTCAGATAACTGGAAACAAGCTACCTCGTCAGAAATTAAGATATTAAAAGCAAGTTGCAAAACTATAGCATGATTCTGTGTGTACAGTTACATGTACAGGTTGAGTATCCCTTATCTGAAATGCTTGCGTTGTATTTACCAGTTCAGCATCCCAAATCCAAAGATCCAAAATTCGAAATGCTCCAATGAGCATTTCCTTTGAGCATTGTTGTCACTCAAAATATTTCTCATTTTTGGATTTGGGGTGCTCAACCTGTATAATACCATTGGATATACATTTGATCCTTGAACAATGTGGGAGTTAGGGGACTCTGACCGCCCCCCGCCCCTCCCCACAGTGGAAAATTTGCATATAACTTTTCACTCCCCCAAAACTTACTATTAAGTGCCTGCTGTTGACTCTAAGCCTTACCAATAACATAAACAGTTGATTAACACATACTTTGTATGTTATATGTATTATATACCATATTCTTATAATAAAGTAAGCTAGAGAAAAGAATGTTACTAAGAAAATCCCGAGGAGGAGAAAATATATTTGCCCTTCATTAAATGGAAGTGGTTCATCATAAAGGTCTTCATTCTCCTTGTCTTAATGTTGAGTAGGCCGAGGAGGAAGAGGATGATTTGGTCTTGCTCTCTTGGGTGGCAGAGGTGGAAGAGGTGGAGGAGGTAGAAGGGAAGGCAAGAGGGTAGACGGCACTTGGTGTAACTTTGCAGAAATACATTATAATTTCTGTCTGACATTTTTGCTTTTTCATTTCTCTAAAAATGTTTCTATACAGTACCAATTCTTCCACCACTTGCTTTAGTTTAAATGCATTAGTTTTCAGTATAGAAGGGTCCATAAAAGAAGTCAAAAGCAGTCTTGAATAATTGGCCCTTCTGCCAGATTGTCTAGTGTCAATTTGTTTTCTGGCACTGCTTCACCTCAGTTTTCTTCCTCATCACCTTGCACTGGTTTGGAAGGACTCATCCCCATCAAATTGGCTTTTGTTAACTACTCTGGTGTGTCTGTTAGCTCTTGAATTTCTTCAAGATATCTTGAGACCCTTCACCCCGACCCCCCTGCACTTTTCCCCCCCCCCCATATTTACAATCTCTTTCACGATTTCCTTGATTGGCTCTGTCTTAAGTCCAATGATGCCATGCACAATATCTGGACACATTTTTTTCTCCAGCAGGACTTTGTTTTGGGCTTGATGATTTTCATGGCTTTTTCTATAACAACAATAGCATCTTCAATGGTATAATCTTTACACACTTTCTTGATACTCTCTGTATTAGGGTTCTCTCCCATAGCATTGACAATCCTTTCCGTAGAGTACCACGTGTAATGAGCTTTAGAGGTTCTTACGACCCCCTGGTCTAGAGGCTGAATTAGAAACATTGTGTTTGGGGGCAAGTAGACCACTTTGACACCTTCAGTGTTGAACTCATGGGGTTCTGGGTGGCCAGGGGCATTGTCCAATATTAAAATAATTTTAAAATCCAGTTCCTTATTGGCAAGGTACTTCCTGACTTCAGGGACAAAGCATCAGTGGAACCAATTCAGAAAAAAGGATTTCCATTGTCCAGGCCTTCTAGTTGTACAACCAAAAGACAGGCAGCTGGTGCTGATCTTTTCCCTTCAAGGATT
Organism: Homo sapiens; assembly: GCF_000001405.40. Lineage (NCBI taxonomy): Eukaryota > Metazoa > Chordata > Mammalia > Primates > Hominidae > Homo > Homo sapiens. The sequence continues at coordinate 15,795,650 of NC_000023.11, forward strand.
GGGGGTGGGGGTTAGCAGCTTTATAGATAAGGGCAGTTCTGATCATAAACCCCACTACGTTTTCATGAAACAGTAGAGTTAGCCTGTCTCTTTTTGTTTTCAATCCTGCTGCTTGCTTCTCTTCCTACTAAATGTCCTTTGTGGTGTTTTTCTAGAATAGGATACTTTCATCTGCATTAAAAACCTGTTCAGGCCAGGCGCAGTGGCTCACGCCTGGAGTCCTAGCACTTTGGGAGGCCAAGGCGGGTGGATCACGAGGTCGGGACTTCGAGGGCAGCCTGGCCAACATGGTGAAACCCTGTCTCTGCTAAAAATACAAAAAGTAGCTGGGCGTCCTATTCACGCAGATATCCTTTCTCCTCAGTGATTTTCTTTTTTGTTTTTTGTTTTTTTTTTTGAGATGGAGTCTTGCTCTGTCGCCCAGGCTGGAGTGCAGTGGCATGAACTCGGCTCACTGCAACCTCCGCCTCCCGGGTTGAAGCAATTCTCCTGCCTCAGCCTCCAGAGTAGTTGGGATTACAGACACGCACCACCGCGCCCGGCCATCATGACTTTTCTCTGCTTCTTGAGAGCACTTCCAGCATCGCTAGTCGCACTTTGTGTGAGTCTCATGATGTTATTCAAGGTTTACCATTTTGTAGTAAACACAGTGAAAAATACGCCAGAGATCACTTCTTACTGCCATACACAATTTACTGAAGAGATGAACTGCTCATGCAGAGATGAGTAGTGTCACAAGGTGTTTTAAGTGAATACTCATAGTATTTGAGCTCACTGCAATAGCAGCAGGAGGTGGCTATGAAATTATTGCAGTAGTGCAGTGTGTACTACAGTTAATTTTTTTCTTCCTTCTGTACCTCATTGGATGCGTTTTTTTCCTTGTTTTGTACTACAGTTAATTTCATGCAGTTATGATTTAATACTGCATATTTATGTTTGTTTACATTTTTCTCAACTGTGAATGTGCCATATATGGTCTATAAATATAAGTTTTGATAAATTTTAACTTTAAAAAAAGTTGTCAATGATTATGTTGTAGCACAACTTTTATAGTAATATTCAAGGAAAAATGTTTGAGACCGAACTTCTCTGTCTTAGAATGGAATGAAGTCAGAGATCATTTTGTTTCAAATCGTTTTTTTTTTTTTTTTTTTTTTTTTTTGAGACAGAGTCTCGCTCTGTCGCCCAGGCTAGGGTGCAGTGGTGCAATTTCGGCTCACTGCAACCTCTGCTTCCCAGTTTCAAGCAATTCTCCTGCCTCAGCTTCCTGAGTAGCTGGGATTACAGGCGTGCACCACCACACCTGGCTAATTTTTTTATTTTTAGTAGAGATGGGGTTTCGCCATGTTGGCCAGGCTGGTCTCGATCTCCTGACCTCAAGTAATCCGTCCACCTCGGCCTCCGAAAGTGCTAGGATTACAGGCATGAGCCACCGCTCCCTGGCCTGTTTCAAATGCTTTAAGCAAGGAAACAATAAAACACTTAACTTATATTGTAACAGTATCTGTATATGTGCTGCTCAAGCCAGCACAATATTGCTTAACAGTATCTGCATTAACTTTTTTTTTTTTTTTTTTTGAGACGGTGTTTTGCTCTTGTTTCCCAGGCTGGAGTGCAGTGGCGCGATCTTGACTCACTGCAACCTCCACCTCCCGGGTTCAAGCAATTCTCCTCCCTCAGCCTCCCGAGTAGCTGGGATTACGGGGGGCTGCCACCACGCCCGGCTAATTTTTGTATTTTTAGTAGAGATGGGGTTCACCATGTTGGCCAGGCTGGTCTCGAACTCCTGACCTCAGGTGATCCGCCCGCCTTGGCCTCCCAAAGTGCTGGGATTCCAGGCATGAGCCACCACGCCCAGCTCTGCATTAACGTTTTATAATAGATTTATATTTATGGTAGCAAATGATAAAATAGACTAGTATGTACATATATTTTATGCATTCATGACATACCTTTTTCTTAATTTTTTTCAGTGTTTCTAGGCCATGCCACTTACCTATTTTTTTTTTCAAATTGTTGCAAATATCCCCTAAATGTTCCAGTGTGTTTACTGAAAAAAAATCTGTATTTAAATAGACCAAGGTGGTTCAAACCTGTGTTGTTCAAGGGTCAGCTGTATTGTATGTATATGTATTGCATATGTCCGATTGTACACGTGGGGAAAATGCTGTACCCAGAACTGTTAGCAATCACTTCTGTGGAGTATATGAGCTTGGTTTCGAGGTGATGGGGAGTTGAGTGAGTCAGTCAACAGGTGTTTGTGAGTGTCAGCTGTGTCTATGCCCTGTCTAATCTATGGCATACCTCTGCAAGTAGTCAGGCCATATCCTCTGTGCCAGGTTCTCTGGCGCTTTAAGTACATTAGATCATTTAATTATCTGAACAATTAGATACTATTTTATATGATTGAGAACTTATTCTACATTTGTTGCCCATTTTAATTCCAGCTGCTGAAATAATAAAGTTTACTTACTTAAGAAAAGTAAATTATTGTAATTATCTAAGACTGGATGAGCCTTCAGTTAGAACTGTACTCAACACATGTGACAAACAGACTCTTTTTTCTTTAAGCCTGACATCTGTAACATTTCTTTAAGATTATTTCAGTCTTCCATTTCTCTTCCACTTTCACTGATTTTTTTCCCAAATTTTGAATGGGAGAGGATGTAAATGTCTATTCTATTAAAAGTTGTTTTTTCATGTTTTTATTTGGGAAATGTTCTAATCTACAGAAAGTTGAAAAAAAGAGCACAATAAATATCCATGAACCCTTCAGCAAGATTTGCCAGTTGTTAAAGTTTGGCCTTTCTTTCTTTTTCTCTATTTAAAGAGATACATACATAGAACATTTTTTCTGAACCTTTTGGATGGCAGTTGCAGATAGCAGCACCTCACCCCTAAATTCTTCAGCTTGCAACTCCTAAGAATAAGGACATTCTCCCGCAGAACCACAATACCAAACTTGCACCTGAGTACATGAGCAAGTAATTCAATGGTATCATATACAGGCCATATTTAAACTTCCCCAAACCAGGATTGATTGTTTTGAAAAACTCAAGCCAGTTATCTTGTGGAATGCCCTGTATTCTGGATTGTTCTGTCTTCTCATGATTAACTTCAGGTAACAACACTCTTTAGAACAAAGGATTACAGAGCAGATGTTGTAAACTTCTTATTGCATACATCATGAGACCTTTCACATCAGGTTGTTGCACTCCCGGTGATGCTAACTGTGGTTAAGGTGTTACCCACCCAGGGCCGGACATGCTGGCTCATGCCTGTAATCCCAGCACTTTGGGAGGCCGAGGCAGGCGGATCACGAGGTCAGGAGATTGAGACCATCCTGGCCAATGTGGTGAAACCCCGTCTCCACTAAAAATACAAAAATTAGCTGGGCATGGTGGCGCGCGCCTGTAGTCCCAGCTACTTGGGAAGCTGAGGCAGGAGAATCGCTTGAACCCAGGAGGCGGAGGTTGCAGTGAGCCAAGATCGCGCCATTGCACTCCAGCCTGGCGACAGAGCAAGACTCCCGTCTCAAAAAAAAAAAAAAAAAGTGTCCAGATCGCTCCATTGGAAAGCATTGCATTTTTTCTTTTCTAATTAGTCCTCATGTCTGGGGTGATATGTTGAGATAGTGTGAATATACTCTTCCTAGCAAGCTTTCATTCGATGTTTTTAATGTCTTTGTCTAAATTTTTACAGTGGGGGTTGCAAAAGTGATGATTTTTCTACTTAAGTTTTTCTCCATTTTTTAGTTACCATTCTTCTGTGAAGATGGATGTTCCCTTCCACACCCCCACCACCTTTTTTTTTTTTTTTTTTGAGATGGAGTTTCACTCTTGTCGCCCAGGCTGTAGTGCAATGGCACGATCTTGGCTCACTGAAACCTCCACCTCCTGGGTTCAAGTGATTCTCCTGCCTCAGCTTCCCGAGTAGCTGGGATTACAGGTGCCTGCCACCATGCCAAGCTAATTTCCTTTTTAAGTATAATTGTGGAACCATTGATTAATTTTTAAATGTAATGTGCTATCTGCCACCCCTATTGTCCTTTTTGATGCTTGTGTTGTACCAAAGAAGGTTGATCAGAGACCTTTTTGTTAGAAAGTTTAAGAAAAAGATTTTTACCATAATTTTATACATTAAAGATTACATGTATTTTTTTCCTGAATTTTTGACCAAGGATTTGCAGCACTCAGTTTAATAAAACATTTAAATTCCCTAGGACTCTCACAGAAGGAGGAAGAGGAGGACACTTTTATTGAAGAACAACAACTAGAAGAAGAGAAGCTATTGGAAAGAGAGAGGTCAGTGCTAATTGAAACACTTAAAGTGAATGAAGTTATTTTATTGGAATATTATCAACCTTTACTAACCAGTACCAGTCTTCTGTATAAAATCTTGTACCAAATAGGTCTTATAAAATATCCTGTATAAAGTATTTAAATCTGTAGTTGATGGGCTAAAACTAGATGTTATTTTTTTTAAAAATGGAAGTACTTTTCTTCTGTTTTTGCTAATTTATAATTTTTTTTCTTTCTTTTTTTTTTTTTTTTTTTTAGACGGAGTCTCGCTCTGTTGCCAGGCTGGAGTGCAGTGGCATGATCTCAGCTCACTGCAATCTCCGCCTCCCGGGTTCAAGCGATTCTCCTGCCTCAGCCTTCCGAGTAGCTGGGACAACAGGTGTGCACCACCACACCCAGCTAATTTTTGTATTTTTAGTAGAGACAGGGTTTCACCATGTCGGCCAGGGTGGTCTTGATCTCTTGTGATCAAGTGATCCGCCTGCCTCAGCCTCCCAAAGTGCTGGGATTATAGGCATGAGCCACTGCGCCTGACCTGTAATTGTTTTTGAAAACAGAAAAAAAACAAAAAAAATTAACAAATGTAAAAAGGGAAAAGACTTTAATAATTGCAACACACCCAAAGATAGCCACTGTTAAGAAAGAGAAAAAGAAAGTGTAAATGTACTTTACGTGTGTCTTTCTATAATGGCATGATATTTATACATATTTTTCTATAAATTGCTTTCTTGCTAAATATATAGTGCATTTATTTCAGTACTGATGCAGGGATCTAATTCAGCCATTTCAGTGGCAATACAGTACCCACTGTACAGATGTAGCATAATTTATTTGCTATTCATAGTTTATTCATTTATAATTTATAGTTCTCTACTGATGGACTTTCAGGTTATATTGGTTTTTCACTCATATGTAAAAAGTTGCAGTAAGCATCCATGCTTATATATCCTTGGTAATTGTCCAGTTATTTCCTTAAGAACATGACTAAAAATGAGATTGTTGGAATCAAATCATAAGTCCATGTAAAATGTAGATGGCCAGGTAGAAAGGGCTTCCTGGTTTGCAGTTTGCAGCCCTTCTGGCAGTGAATGTAGGGGCCCATCTCCCCATACCTTCACTCATACTAGGCATTATCAGTTTATAAAACTATAATGAAACTGTTTCAAATGCACATTTCTGAATTAGGTAGAGTATCTTTTTATATGTTTTATTACCTATTTGTAGATTGCTCAAGTCTCACACCTTTCTCTTTTGGGATACATGTTTTTTTAAAATTTGTTTTTGTTTTGTTTTGTTTGAGACGGACTCTCGTTCTGTCACCAGGCTGGAGTGCAGTGGTGTGATCTCCGCTCACCGCAACCTCCACCTCCCAGGTTCACACGATTCTCCTGCCTCAGCCTCCCGAGTAGCCGGGATTACAGGCACGCACCGCCACACCCAGTTAATTTTTTTTTGTACTTTTAGTAGAGATGGGGTTTCACCATGTTGGCCAGGATGGTCTCGATCTCTTGACCTCATGATCTGCCCGCCTCGGCCTCACAAAGTGCTGAGATTACAGGTGTGAGCCACCGCGCTCAGCCGAAATTTCTTAATGTCTCTAAGCTTCTATTTCCTTGTCTGTAATATGGAGATAAAGTCAATCACAGTATCCACCTCACAGAATTGTGAAGATTAAAGGAGGTGATGGATGTATAGTGTTTAACACAGTGTCAGCAGATGAGAGGTGCTGTGATAGCTCTAGTTCTTATTATTATAGATTTCTGTTATGATGAAGACAATAGATACGGTATGAAATAAGAGAGTAATTTTTTTCCTGTTTATTTGAAATGCTTCTTTTAAATCACATACATGTATCTTTGTGCTCCTTAGATCTTTATTTCTTTATGAGTTGCATACTATTATTGAAAAGCAAGAAAATTATGTAAAAATACTGTATGACTTTATGTCCTATTTCAAAGCAGATGTATATTCAAGTTATTAAATTTTAAAATTTTTAACATTTTACTTTCTTGTGGTCTTAATTTATATATCATTTGGTTCATTTATATACAATTATATGTTTTTCAAAAGATTTGTAAATCAGAGTTGTGCCCACTGAAACATCTATATGGTACCCTCACACATGGCATAGGAACACTGATAGATGCAATGTGCCAGCCTCTGCCATGGCTAAAAGATGTGTTCCTGGAATCTGTATTTGGAAATGTAATATATTTTATTTAAAATTGTGGTTAGGTCCCCAGACTAGACATAAAACTTTACTGAACTCCTAATACTGCTGAAGTAATATAGAACAGTTTCTCATATTTAATTTCCCTTTTATAAATTCAGTGGAAGAATGAATTTGAGGTTCTACACACCTAATTGGCAGGTAGACTTTGGCAATCTAACCCCCTCTTTATATTAGAAATTTGTGATATTGGATGTCTGAGACACTTGCCACTTTAAGGTAATACCACTCATTATAATTGGTCATATAAAAAATAGACTAGACACTCACTAATTTATTTTTATTTTTTCATTTTTTGAGACGAAGTCTCGCTCTGTCACCCAGGCTGGAGTGCAGTGGCATGATCTCGGCTCATTGCAAACTCCGCCTCCCAGATTCAAGCGATTCTCCTGCCTCAGCCTCCCAAGTAGCTGGGATTATAGGCGGCTGCCACCACGCCTGGCTAATTTTTGTATTTTTAGTAGAGATGGGGTTCACCATGTTGGCCAGCCTGGTCTCAAATTCCTGACCTCAGGTGATCCGCCCGCCTCAGCCTCCCAAAGTGCTGGATTACAGGTGCGAGCCATTGCGCCCGGCCCTCACTAATTTATTTTTATAACTCCATTTCTTAAAACCTGTAGCTTTATTTTAAAAACATGATTACAATGTACTTTTATTTTCCTTCTTTTGGCTGTTTAGGTGTTTGGAGGCAAACCACAGGAGTCTCTTAACTGTGTGTAGTAGTAGTCCAAAGGTTTATGGCAAAGGATACTGGGTTTTCAGCGTGCTGCCATCATGGAATTGCTACTTTTAAGAATAGGGGCTGGGTGCAGTGGCTCACACATGTAATCCCAGCACTTTGGGAGGCCGAGGCAGGTGGATCACTTGAGGTCAGGAGTTCGAGACCAGCCTGGCCAACATGATGAAACGCTGTCTGTACTAAAAATACAAAAATTAGCCTTGCGTGGTGGTGGGCACCTGTAATCCCAGCTACTCGGGAGGCTGAGGCAGGAGAATCACTTGAACCCGGGAGGCAGAGGTTGCAGTGAGCCAAGATCATGCCACTGCACTCCAGCCTGGGCAACAGAGTAATACTCTGTCTCAAAATAAATAAATAAATAAAAATAAATGCATAGAATAGGAAGGGAAATGCTTTCTGAATATGAAAAGGTAGATGCTGCTTTGAAACTTGCTACCCATTTTATTGTCACCTAAACATCACTGTGATCAGTCTAGAGGGAAAGTCATAGTGTCCTTTTTTCTGTAAAGTATGTCACAGCCATATATACCTATGAAATGTAAGAGAGATTTTAAGTTATTACCCATTAGGAAGATAGTTGCTGACACGTGGTGCTTTTCCAAAAGCTCTGCTCTTCTCGTTCTCTTACACCCACTTGACTGCTTTAATAGAAAATAGCTTTCGTGATATTTGAATCAGTCCCAAAATGTGTCATTTTGCTCTCGTGTGTGTGTGTATTTGTGGATTAATGCCCATTTCTTTTATCTGATTACATCATTATACTGATAGGCAAAGATTACATGAGGAGTGGTTGCTAAGAGAGCAGAAGGCACAAGAAGAATTCAGAATAAAGAAGGAAAAGGAAGAGGCGGCTAAAAAACGGCAAGAAGAACAAGAGGTATGGTAGGAATCACGTAACTAGTGAACAAACTGATTACTTCACCATAATAACTCTCATGAAGAGTTGCCTATCTTGGGAGGTTGGAGTGAGCTGAGATCACGCCATTGCACTCCAGCCTGGGCAGCAAGAGCGGAACTCCATCTCAAAAAGAAAAAAAAAAAAGAGTTGCCTATCTTGAACTTAAAAAAAAAAAACAAAAAACTGATCTTATTCAGTTTGCCAGTGTTTTAAGTTTTTCATCTATGTGCGCTGTATGTGAAATGTTTTTAAAAAGTGACTGAAACAAAGTTACTTTTTCTTCCCCTTTAAAGAGAAAGTTAAAGGAACAATGGGAAGAACAGCAGAGGAAAGAGAGAGAAGAGGAGGAGCAGAAACGACAGGAGAAGAAAGAAAAAGAGGTGATTCCTGTCATGGGATGTGCTGTGTGATGAGTTTGAAGAATAATCAGTAGGCATGTCAGAGTTTGGGTTTTTTTTTTCTCTTTTTCTTGTCATTTCATTGTTTGTTTGGAAAGAATCATATTTCAGTTTAGACATAACACCAGAGTTCCCTTCTGATGCTCTTCTTCGGGTCCGTGCAGTGGCAGATTCCTTAAAGTTTTCTTCAGCTTTACCCTATTTACCCTTTATACTGGGCATTGGCAAATGTTGTAAAGGGCCAGATGGTAAATATTTTAGGCTTTATGGTTTGGTCTCTGTGGCAAACATCCAACTCTGCCAGTGTACCCTGAAAGCAGCCATCGATAATATGTAGATGAATGGGTATGGCTGTGTTCCAGGAAAGCTTTATTTACAAAACAGGCAGCTAGCCCTTGCTTTATAGCAAGTTATGTTCTTCTGAGGTTCTGCTGTATATGAGTTGACTTCTTTAGAGAATAATACTTTGTTTTGTTTCCACATTTATTTAGGTCATAAGAGAACTGCTTATGACATGTCAGCAAGAATTAGAGGATTTAAAGAAATCAGGAACTCAAATATTGAGGAACTAGGAAACAGTTTTTGTTATTTGTATTAAATCTTGACTTCCTCTTCCACTTAGGCTATGAAGATAATTGTAGCTAACACACAGTTGCTTATTTAAAAAAAAAAAAAAATCTGTGAGGCATATGTGTGTATGTATCTTCTCTATCTTCCAGGATTCTTTTTTAAGGATTGATTTGGTATGTTTTGCTGCTATTCCTTGACAGTATATTTATTTCAGAGGTATCACAGCTCATCTTCCCTTGACTGATTCATCAGGATTTGTCTTTTTTGTAATACAGCTAAATTTAAATAGCATAAAATTGGATAATCACCTTATAATTGGGAAAAATGCATGTGTCTTCATTGTAGTCAATATGGGGCAGAAGCAGCCTCCACGATCTTTGTTTTTTGTATCTTAGGCCATCAGTTAATTTCAGTGCAGATTTTAAACACCTTTATTTGAGCACTTCTTTCCAGATGAGGCAAGTTCATGCTAGGTTTTTAGGGGGCAGAAAAATTGTTTGGAACTTGTCATTTTTTTATAGAGAGGAATTAATTCCCATTTTAACAGTAGAGTGTTCCTCAACTGAGGTCTTTCAGGAATTCAGTAACAGCTAAGGCCTCTTTTGAATGCTTTTGTTTCAGAGGAAATCTGTGAGACTTCAAGGAGAAATGAGGGAAATGAAATAGATTCTAAGCTTATAAAAAAGAATCAGCAGTATGTGTTCCTGCTGTATGCTAGACACTTCGCTAGCGGACAGAGACAGAGCAGTGAAAGACACAGTCTTTGCTCTCATTGAGCTAGTTTTTTATATGGGAGTGTGAGATGATAAGCAAAACAGATCATTCAAAATGTGATCATATTAAGTGCTATAAAGAAATAAAGCAGGCCAGGCGTGGTGGCTCACGCCTGTAATCCCAGCACTTTGGGAGGCTGAGGCGAGAGGATCACGAGGTCAGGAGTTCGAGGCCAGCCTGGTCAACATGGTGAAACCCCGTCTGTACTAAAAATACAAAAAATTAGCCAGGCGTGGTGATGGGCGCCTGTAGTCCCAGCTACTCAGGAGTCTGAGGCAGAAGAATCACTTGAACCGGGAGGCAGAGGTTTCAGTGAGCCAAGCTTGAGCCACTGCACTCCAACCTGGGCAATAGAACTAGACTTCGTCTCAAAAAAAAAAAAAAAAAAAGAAAGAAATAAAGCAGAGTGATGTGATAGAGTAATGAGAATAGAGTTGTGCTTCTATAGATTGCCTGCTCAAGGAAATTTCTGAGGAGGTGATGTTTGAGCTGACACCTGAGTGGAGAGATCTCAGCAAGAAGAAGCCTGAAGCTTGAAGGCTGAAAAAAGGCCAGGGAACCTGAAATCTAGAGTCCAAAGGAGAGAAGGGCAGTGGAGGAGGTTGCTGAGGGAGAGGGGGCAGTGGAGGAGGTTGCTGAGGGAGAGGGGGCAGTGGAGGAGGTTGCTGAGGGAGAGGGGGCAGTGGAGGAGGTTGCTGAGGGAGAAGGGGCAGTGGAGGGTAAGCAGAGTCAGATCATGTAGGGCTTCCTGGATTTGAAGGAGGAGTTTGGATTTTATGTTTCCTATAATGGGAAGCCATTGAAGGGGTTTAAGCAGGGAATGACTCTGTCTCATTTATATCTGTACCTTTTAACAGATCATTCATTTAAAAAAAAAATTTTTTTGAGATGGAGTCTCATGCTGTCGCCCAGGCTGGAGTGCAGTGGCGTGATCTCTGCTTACTGCAACCTCTGCCTCCTGGGTTCAAGCAATTCATATGCCTCAGCCCCCCGAGTAGCTGGGATTACAGGTGCCTGCTACCACGCCCAGCTAATTTTTGTATTTTTAGTAGAGACAGGGTTTCACCATGTTGGCCAGGCTGGTCTCGAGCTCCTGACCTCCAGGGATCCACCCGCCTCGGCCTCCCAAAGTGCTCGTGTGAACCACTGCACCAGACTTTTTTAACAGATCATTTTTACTTTACTGAAACCTCTGCCTCCCGGGTTCAAGCGATTCTTCTGCCTCAGCCTCCTGAGTAGCTGGGACTACAGGCGCCCATCACCACACCCGGCTAATTTTTTGTGTTTTTAGTACAGACAGGGTTTCACCATGTTGACCAGAGGACAAGGAGAGAGAGAGGAATTCAAGTCATATTTTTAGGTTTTTAGTTTGAATAGACAGATAGACTGGCAACACTATTCACTGAGGGAGCATTCAGGTGGATGTGGGCCAGGGAGTGTAGAGGACAAGAGTTCTGTTTTGAGCACCACAAATAAGCAACTAGACATACGAGTCTTATGTAATGCTTTAAGGGGCTAGGGAAGATAAGACTGTCTGTTAAACATAGGTACAACTTGTTCAAATGCCAATTAGGTAGAAATTTACTGGCATATTGCAGAACCTCCTTTGCCTTATTAAAAAGTTAGAATTTTCTCCTAAATGCTAATTACCACTGGTCATGTCATATTTTAGCTTCTGCTAAATGTTTATGATTTCATCTAGCATTGTTTTTTGGGTTTTTTCGTTTGTTTGTTTGTTCGTTTTTTTTTAGACAGAGTCTTGCTCTGTCGCCTAGGCTGGAGTGCAGTGGCGTCATCTCGGCTCACTGCAACCTCTGCCTCCTGGGTTCAAGCGATTCTCCTGTCTCAGCCTCCCAAGTAGCTGGGATTACAGGCACGTGCCACCACACCTGGCTAATTTTTGTATTTTTAGTAGTGACGGGGTTTCACCGTCTTGGCCAGGCTGGTCTAGAACTCCTGACCTCAAGTGATCCACCCGCCTCAGCCTCCCAAAGTGCTAGGATTATAGGTGTGAGCCACCATGCCCGGCCTAGCATTGTGTTTTATATTCACTAATACCCCCTTTTACGAACTAGGACATGGTATATATACTCAAATATACTAAGTATTACTATTATTGAAACTATTATAAGACTATTTTAAATATTTTGCAATGTGATCTGGTAAATTTTCTATTTGAATAGAACGTCTCAGCTATGGGCCGGGCACGGTAGCTCATGCCTGTAATCCCAGCACTTTGGGAGGCTGAGGCGGGTGGATTGCTTGAGCTCAGGAGTTCGAGACTAGCCTGGGCAACATGGTGAAACTCCGTCTCTACAGAAAATACAAAAGTTATCCAGGCGTGGTGGTGTGCGCCTGTAGTCCTAGCTACTCGGAAGGCTGAGGTGGGAGGATCACTTGAGCCTGGGAGGCGGAGGTTGCAGTGAGCTGAGGTCACGCCACTGCACTCCAGCCTGGGTGACAGAGTGAGACCCTGTCTCAAAAAAAAAAGAGAAAAGTCTCAGCTATATATCCTTTGAAAGCTTTTCAAAAGATCTGTGATTCAAAAGAAAACTAGAACTTGTGTGCGTGTGTGTGTTTTAATTGTTCCACTTGAGATTCTTAACCAGAGAAACCAGATGTGACTTACCTGACTTCTGGGTTTTTATTAGTCCTGTGTTTGCACCATTTTAGGAAGCTTTGCAGAAGATGCTGGATCAGGCTGAAAATGAGGTATTTTTAAAACCTTACATTGATAATTTGAGACCAATTAATGTTTCCTTAGAAATAATAGTTCCAGTAATGTTAGTTTCGTGGTAGGTTAGTTAGATCATGTTTGGATATCTGGACTCATGTTTATGATGCTTTGATTTATACAACAACAACAAACTTTATTGATGAACAAATACAAATGGTATTCATGACCCCTGTGGACTGGACCTGTTTAGAGTCCTTACAGTATGTTTAAGCAACATCACATACCGTTAGCCTCCAGTGGACGGTTTACCTTGAATCAGAGTAACTTCTATTTCTGTCTGTGGTGGTTCCCTAATAAGTTCTTGGACCCTTTTTTTTCTCTTTTTTTCTTTTTTTTTTTTTTGAGACGGAGTTTTGCTCTTGTTGCCCAGGCTGGAGTACAGTGGTATGATCTCGGCTCACTGCAACCTCCGCCTCCCGGGTTCAAGCAACTCTCCTGCCCCAGCCTCCCAAGTAGCTGGGATTATAGGTGTGCACCACCACGCCCAGCTAATTTTATATTTTTAGTAGAGATGGGGTTTCTCCATGTTGGTCAGGCTGGTCTTGAACTCCTGATCTCAGGTGATCCACCCACCTCGGCCTCCCAAAGTGCTGGGATTACAGGCGTGAGCCACTGCACCCGGCCTTCTTGGACCCTTTTTAGAATGGATGGAAACCTTGGCGACTGCCCCTGGTGGCAGTAGTGATACCAGATAAAGGAAAGTGACCAGGAGCCAAGAGAGACATGGAGCTCATGTCTCAGTACCGTTGTTTGTAAAGTCTTGATTGCCTGTTCCAACTTAAATGTTTGCATTATTAAATGAAACAATGTTTATCTTTGAGGAAAATATTTTAATATACTTTGAAACATTTCGTCTTTCATGGGTTTTTACTCCACCAGTAAAGTCATGGTTATTTTCAACAGTTGGAAAATGGTACCACATGGCAAAACCCAGAACCACCCGTGGATTTCAGAGTAATGGAGAAGGATCGAGCTAATTGTCCCTTCTACAGTAAAACAGGAGCTTGCAGATTTGGAGATAGGTAACTAATTTTGTTTTATCATGTCAGAATGAAGTGATTCAAAATGCTGACGTTTTTGAGTTCCCCTTTTGGGAGAGGCGCATGTTTCCATTTCAAATGTCCGTCATCAGACATCTGCTGCCTTCTTGCTGCTGCTCTCGTTTTCCCAGCTGATCATCCTCTGCTTTGACCATCCCTGTTCCCTCTATCCTTGTTCCCTGGGTGGGCTTAGCCTAGTTCTCTGAGGGTGCTTCCTTTGCATTCTGCATCTTTAGGAAGCCACTTTGCTTGTTGGTTTCTTCCTGAGCTTGCATTAGTCCATGGTGGACAACTGGGTTGGGGAAATAATATATTTGAAGAGCTTAGAGCAGCTTGGCTTTATTTTTTGAAGGGCACACACTGTCCCCAAAACAGGCTTTTAAAACTTGGCATGTGCCAGGAGTTCCAGGCTGCAGTAAGCTATGACCACACCACTGCACTCCAGCCTGGGTGACAAAACAAGACCCTGTCTCAAAAAAGAAAAAAAAAAACAAAACTTGGCATGTGTAAAGGGATATCTGTGAAAGACAGGATCCAAATGAGGAGAGGAAAAGTGTTTTAATTTCTGTTGTCAGTGAGTGTGCCCAGACTCAGGTACAGACCGTTGGGTTCAAAACGGGCTTCAGTGGCTGCCAGTTTGGGAAAGTTGCTTAAGCTCTGTGTGCCTTCGTTCTCTCATCTATGAAATGGGATTAAACATAGTCTCATCTTTCTGAGGGGGCTGTGAGGCCGAAATGAGCACACACACCCGTAGAACAGGGCCCCAGGAGTGCTTGCTGGCATTTTCATTATTGTGACTCTTGATGTTATTCTGTGAGACACTCTTCTTGTTCCCTGCCCCTTTTGGGTCAATGTTTTTGAAAGAAGACGTTCATGTGGAAACCTAGTGTTGATCTCTTCAGTCATTTAGCAAGTCTTCGAACACCTATTATATGCCAGGTAATGGTGATTTTTATAATTTGGCCTGTTTATTAATGAACAACTTAAAGTAGGTAAATAATTCCTAATGGTGAATGAGTCCATCTGAGGCAAAATCTGATAATTATCACCATATATTCTGCAGAAGAGAAGATCTAATCATAACCTTAACATCCTATTAATCCTGAAAAGGGATATGAATAGTAAAATTCAGATGTATTTAATCAGAAACCATATGTCATCTGTCAGCTTTACTTTATTCATAAAAGTATCCATGCTGTGAGGTTTTTTTCCTTCTTCTTCTTCTTTGAAAATATATCCTTCTCTATGGTTCTCTCCTTTTTCTTTTTGAATTTAAGCGTTCACACCATTTTTCATTTTTTAAGAACAGTGGTTCCCAACCCTGGATGCACATTAGAGTCATCTAGAAAGCTTTAAAAAATTATGTCCTACCTCAAGTTGAGTAAATCAGAATATCAGGGCCAGGCGCGGTGGCTCACACCTATAATCCCAGCACTTTGGGAGGCCAAGGCAGGCAGATCACTTGAGCTCAGGAGTTTGAGACCAGCCTGGGCAACATGGTAAAACCTGGTATCTATAAAAAAAAAAAAGTAAAATAAATAAATAATATATTTATATATATTTATATAAAAATATTATATAAATAAATAATAAGAATACCAGGGACTTGGGTGGCCTTAGTTTCAAAATGTCCTCAGGTGTCTCTAGTGTGCCCTAGGATTGAGAGCCACTAATGTCAAGTGTGTATGTCCTTTTGTATTTTAGAGGTGGGATTGCAGATGTCTGGAATGTCTGTGAAAAGAGTCATGGGATCTGCTAACTAGTAGAAAGCCTCCTCTTGAAAAACTGGGAACTAAGAAAAGGAAAGAGACTTTATTCCCTTTGATACCTTTAGAACCATTTCTCAGATATCCACTTTATCTAAACAAGAAATGGTAATGATTGGTGTAAAAAACTTCCCACCAAAGAAAAATGCACTGTGAATTACCTTTCAGAGACAACTGAGACTCCATGTAAGTTCACATTTGCATGGGTACTTGAACCAAATTGCATTTAAGGTTTTCCAGCTGCAGGATCCCTCATGTAGGATCTATCTCTAACATTTCCTCCAAATTTAAGACCCGTGGTAGCCTGATTCTTGATTCTCACCCCCCCCCCTTTTTTTTTTGAGACGGAGTCTCGCCCTGTCACCAGGCTGGAGTGCAGTGGCATGATCACAGCTCACCGCAAGCTCTGCCTCCCAGGTTCAAGCGATTCTCCTGCCTTAGCCTCTCGAGTAGTTGGGACTACAGGCGCATGCCACCACACCTGGCTAATTTTTTTTGTATTTTTAGTATAGACGAGGTTTCGCCATGTTGGCCAGGATGGTCTCGATCTCTTGACATTGTGATCCACGTGCCTCGGCCTCCCAAAGTGCTGGGATTACAGGCATGAGCCACTGCTCCCGGCCTAATTCTCCTTTTGTTGGGCATAAGTGAGAGGAGGGGAGATGTCTTAAACGATTTCGAGAACTTGGTTGACAGGCCCTACCTTGTGGGAAGAGGGAATGGCCCGTCATGCTCTCAGATCCCATCTCTCCTCAAGTCATTTCAAGGAAATATGGACAGTGGTCAAATTAGTTTGCGAGCATTTCTTTTTTTTATTTTATTTTATTTTATTATTATTCTTTTTTGAGACGGAGTCTCGCTCTGTCGCCCAGGCTGGAGTGCAGTGGCACGATCTCCGCTCACTGCAAACTCCGCCTCCTGGGTTCGCGCCATTCTCCTGCCTCAGCCTCCCGAGTAGCTGGGACCACAGGGGCCCGCCACCACGCCTGGCTAATTTTTTGTGTTTTTAATATAGATGGGGTTTCACCATGTTAGCCAGGATGGTCTCGATCTCCTGACCTTGTGATCCGCCCGCCTCGGCCTCCCAAAGTGCTAGGATTACAGGCGTGAGCCACCGCGCCTGGCTGCGAACATTTCTTACAATTTTCATAGGCATATGAAATTTTACCATCACAACTATCAAAGTATAACAGCAGTGTGGAGATTTTCATCATTCAAGTGATAAGTTGTGACATGAAATTCTGCGAAATTTGCAGTTACAAAATCCAGCACCATCCCTTTAGACAAGTAGACTGCTCTGTTCCCTTTTTATGGAGAGCCTTGGTGACTTGCTCCAGATCGTACAGCTGTTCTGTTCTGTCGTTAAGTTTTGTCAGAGCATCAGAGGAACACTTCCATAACCTCAGCATTTCTTTGGCTGGTTGTTTTTGTAATTAGTACAGAGTTCAATTCTAGAGCCATGCTGGAATTGGTATTTTTTGGAGTCACAGCTTTGAGGGGAATCTATTTGTTTTTCTCCTAAAAGGTAATAATTACTAATGGAAGGTAAAACTTAGTGGTCTATTTATACCTCACTTACTTCCAAAAGTGATTTAAAGAAGGTTCGTGATCTAGCACATTAAGTTAGAGAAAGTAAAGGAAATTGAAAGCAAGGAAAGGAAGAGAAAGTGAGTTATTTTCTCCAGGTTTTTATTTCTCCATATTTGAATTCATCTCAAGCAGATAGTAAGCTGTCATTCTTACCAAAAAGGAAGAATGAGTGGTATCTCTAGAAAGACAGAAATTTTCCTGGCACCAGATTCTAAAGGTTTCTCCCTTGGAATATTTTACAAAGACATTAAATAGGAAGGTGGACAATAACTTTAATAGATGCTTTATAACAGTTGCATATGTAATTTTCATGAGGATGTTTCTTACAGTGACCTTCGATAAATGATTGCAGCTTCACTTTAACATGCAATGCGGGGATTCTATGTAGGACAAAGGTAATGCGTACCAGGAGCACTTCCCTGAGAAGAAGAAAAAGAGGAGTAGTCAGTTAGCTATACCCGAGGGGGCATTTGGATACCCACACCATTTATTGGCCATCCTTGGCCTAAGGTAATATCCAACAACTGTGGGTTTTTGCAGCAAACTGACTTAAGTATCAGAATAATGGGTAAATATTATGCCCTAAACCAGTGGTTCCCAAATATGGCTGATCTTCAGGACCAGGTAGGGAGCTACTTTGAAAATATGGGTCCCCCACCCCTTGAGGTCTGATCAGATGGTCTAGGGTAGGAAGTAAGAAATCTCAGTTCTTTCCAGGTAATTCTGAGAACCACACAGGCTTGGAACCACAGCTTTAGACTGCCTTCGTAAATGTCACTTCTCTTAGCTGAGTTTTCAATAAAAGCTATAGGGCTGGCCTTTTGTATACACTTAGATTATAAGGACTGTCTTTAGGCCAGATGGGATTTTTCCCCAGACAGGGACTTTGGTTCTATTCCAAAACTGACAAATGCTTATTTGACATCCTGGGAACTAGGGCCAAGTTCATTCAGATCTAGGAATCCCTTGAGCAGAATTTTAACCTCATTAAATTAGTTCCTTGTTTAATTCTCTGCATGCTTCATACTTATAACATTTTGATTCACTGTTAGTGTTGCCAGTCAGGTTGAGTCTTTGCTCTTTGTTCTATCAGTAGTTGGGAAGAGGGATCTAATTACAAGGTCTCTAATTGAATAATCCAGGAGGTCATTTGGAAAATAGAAAATTTCACGTTAATGAACGTTGATGAAGCATTTCTGAGCTGAGCATGGTGTATGCTGGGCATTCTGTAAGCATTATCTCAGTAGGTGCTTAGATAGACATTACAGACATGGAAAGTGAGTATTATTAAACATTTAGTCATTTCAGGGCCATTGTTGTTTTTTCCCAACACGTCCTATTCTTCAACTTTCTTTCTTCCTAAATTCTGTGGACTCCCCTCGCCAAAAAAAAAAAAAAAAAAGTTTTTGTCTTACCAATTTTTAACTAGCAACCTAACCAGGAAAATTTTGTTTATTTGGAACCTTGAACTACATTTTTCCTCCACATTGTATGTTAGGAGAAGGAAGGAAGTAAGAAAGTAAACTCATATGAAGGATTTTTGAAATATTACTCAGGTACAGCCTGGTCAGCTTAGCCTTGGTCCAGTTTAAACTATGAAAATAAAATTGTTCTTCATAATGGTTGGCCACCTTCATTAAATAAGAATTAAATGATGCAGGTATGGTAGCTCACACCTGTAATCCCAGAGCTTTGGGAGGCTGAGGCAGGAGGATCACTTGAAGCCAGGAGTGCGAGACCAGCCTGGGCAACATAGCGAGACCCCGTCCCTACAAAAATAAAATTATCCGGGTGTGGTGGCATACGCCTATGGCATGCGCCAGCTACTCAAGATGCTGAGGCAGAAGGATCACTTGAGCCCGGGGAATTCAAGGTTGCAGTGAAGTATGATCATACCATTGCACTCCAGCCTATGTAACAGAACAAGACCCTGTCTCAAAAACAAATTGTATTTATTACACCCCATCGTGAACAGGCACCAGATTGTAGATTAATGCAGATGTCTTGGATCCCTCTCTTCCAAGCCATATGACTGACTTGGGCAAGTGTGCTTTTCTAGGTCTCAGCTTCCGTCTTTGCAAAGTGGTGAAAATACTAGCCCCCACTGTCCTAAAGGGATAAAAGGACCAGAGGGGAAAAATGTAAAAATGCCATGAAAGCTACAAGATGCTGTACACAGATCAGATTGAATTGCTTCATTAACTGGAAATTCTTGGATTACTATATTGTCTAAACATTGAGTCCACTGACGATTGTACAGAACCAGGATTGCATTGTTAGTTCCCACCTTCCTCTCAGCAGTCCCGCATGTGACATCTTCATGCCTGTCACCACATCCTGTCACACCAATCAGCGGGCCTTCTTTTCCCCTATGGTTCAACATGTATAGGCTTCCTGAACTTCATTCAAAGGCAGCTGAATGGTATATGAACTTTGAAATGTTTCCAACTTGACATTAAAACAGCAAGTGCCAAGTTTCAACACTTAAAAAAATCCTCTTAAGCGCTGAAACTTGGCATCTGAGTGGGGTTTATTATCTTTCAGTTAAGTCAAAACAACTAAATTACATGAGTTTCTATCTCAAAATTTAAAGCAAGTGTTTTTTTGTTTGTTTTTTGTTTGAGACGGAGTTTCGCTCTTGTTGCCCAAGCTGGAGTGCAATGGCACAATCTCAGCTCACTGTAACCTCCGCCACCCGGGTTCAAGTGATTCTCCTACCTCAGCCTCCTGAGTAGCTGGGATTATAGGCACTACAGGCGCACGCCAACACGCCCGGCTAATTTTTTGTATTTTTAGTAGAATTGGGGTTTCACCATGTTAGCCAGGCTGGTCTCGAACTCTGGACCTCAGGTGATTCACCCGCCTCGGCCTCCCAAAGTGTTGGGATTACAGGCGTGAGCCACCATGCCTGGTCTAAAGCAGTTGTTTTGTGAGTAATTTTCAACTATTGGCCTAGTGAATTTAAGCTTTTCTTTCATACGCAGATGTTCACGTAAACATAATTTCCCAACATCCAGTCCTACCCTTCTTATTAAGAGCATGTTTACGACGTTTGGAATGGAGCAGTGCAGGAGGGATGACTATGACCCTGACGCAAGCCTGGAGTACAGCGAGGAAGAAACCTACCAACAGTTCCTAGACTTCTATGAGGATGTGTTGCCCGAGTTCAAGAACGTGGGGAAAGTGATTCAGTTCAAGGTGGGCATGCGTGTGGAGGAGGGGACTGGTTTGCTTCACCCTGCAGTACTTAATGGCACAAGAGAGCTGGGACACAGGCTCAGCTGGGGTCAGGCACGCTAGCACTCTATAAATGTGACTTCCCTCTTTCTCTCTTTCCACCCCCTACCTTGTTGCCAATGTCACGTCAATACCACATGAAATCATAAACATATATTAGCATGGTATTTCCTGAATGCTAGGGGTCTAGATTGGAAAGGATCTTTCATTTATTTAGTAGCTTTGTGCTCCAGTTCTTTTCCAGCACATGAATTCTCTGTATCAGGTCCCCTGCATATAGCCATCCAGTCCTTCACTTAGAAGCTGCATGTGACAAACGGTGCATTCCCTTCCTTCCTCTGTAGGTGGCTTCCGTGTGCAGTGTGACACAACTTCACTCACTAAGTTTGTTGGTGCATTGTGTTGACAGTGCCGACTTAGCTTCCACCCAAGGTGTATGTTCTTTCTTCTGGAGCCACACAGGAACATAAATCTAGATTCCACCACCTAACCCCCTTCTTTTTTTTACACTGTTTTTATTCATTGGATTCTTTCAATACTGAATATAGTATTATACAAACCATGGTCTGTGATGCAGCATACTTGGTGAAAAAGGCATTCAGATGACACATAATTATTTTAAAATATTCCTTAATGCAAGGGTAAGGCCAGATGTAATCTCTGCTGCCCCCAGGACCCATTAGTTGAATTCTAATAGGGTGAAGCTTCCTGCCTTGTCTGTGATTTCATCAGATCTGAGCTGGAATGCCTTTGTTATGTTAAGGCAGGGAAATTGTCCCATAATTTGGGAAAAGACAGGAATAGAACCGTGATTTTTTTTCCTGCAAGTTGCAAATGATGATGAAAAGTTGGAACACCCCCCCAAAAATGAAGATATTCCTGACATTTAAGGCTATACTTCTATCAACCGACTTCAAGATTTTTAAAAATTCTTTTTATTTTTTTTTTCCTCCTTAACCTTTTGTTTCTGGGGCATATGCCTTCCTGTCTTCACATTACTTGTCAGCACAAGCAATAACTGCTAAAGTGGAACTGCCTGGTCACAGCCACACAATACCATGTTAGAAGCACTGGCCGAGGAGGCCATGTGGTTTGACTAGCCTTGTCACTTCTTCCTGCCTTTTCCTTATCCTGAAAGTGAGGGGACTGGATTACGTCAGTGGTTTTCCTCGTAGGGTTTCTTGATTATACTGCTTCTGTGAAGTGGTAATGGGAGGGCTGCTTTCAGAACTGCAGAGTAGTTAATGGAAATTGCACCCTTACTTGCAACAGGCTGCACCCACAAACCACAACCACCACAACGTATTTTTTCTTTTGTTTAGAGTTCTCTCATCCTGGCTTGCACAGCTGACATGGATTCCCGAGGCCTTTTATTCTTCCTTCTAAGGGTGGTGTTACAAACTGTCACTGAGTATGGATCCTGCTCGTTTTGGGATACCCTAAGAAAAATACTCTGGAACAAATTTGTAAAATTATAGATTCATTTTGAACATAAACGCTAAACACTAGTATGAATATTTGAGGACCTTTTTACATACTATTATATAAAAACAAATCAGATTTGTCATTGTTGAAGGCAAATGATCAAATATTTAACCTAACTAGTAATAGGAACAGTACATATGAAAATGGGATGATATTCACACCTATCAGGCAAAAAAATTATAAATTCTATTAATACCAAGAGTAGATGAGGATGTGTACATTAGTAAAACCACTTCAGAGAGCAGTTTGTCAATACCTAGTGAAGGTACGTGTAACCTATAAATTGGCACACTCCTGGCTATGCACAGTAGAGAGCTCTTTATACCCACAGAGACCTGTTTAAGAATGCTGACTGCGGTACTGTTTGTGGATGAAAAATTGGAAGCATCTTGAAAAACCATCATTCTAGAGTAGATAAGTTTTATTATTTGGTATATCCAGTATACAGTAGTTAAGTTTATGTGACTACATCTTGAAAAAAGAATATGGAATAAATACTATTGATATAAAATTTTAAAACATACAAAGCAACACTATATGTTGTTTATCAATACGTATTACCTGTTTCTTTGCATATGTATATATATGTGTATACCCATTATAAATAATGGACATTTATATGTATGATACATATGTGTGGGTTTTGGCATGCATATGATGTATGTATATATGCCTGTATCTGTGTATTTGTATTTGTGTCTGTGTAGGTCTATGTATGTATATGTGTGTTTGTGTTTGGAATGTGAAGGCTACACTCCTAGCCTGTGGAGAGTGTTCACCTATGTGATGGAGGAGGGAGAAGAATGGGATAGAAGGGCTTCAACTGAGTCTTTAATGTTTTACATATGTAAATATTCTCATTCAGAAGTGGAAAACGTTAGTGTTAAATCTGGGTAGTGCATATATAGGCTGATTGATATCTTCTGTATTTTTATGGATGTGTGAAACATTTCATATTTGTGGGAGAAAACAGACCTGGACCAACAGGGATCAGGCACGCTGCCATGTGCCAAGTACGCCTTAAATAGATGCAAGAGTCAGCTAGTATCTCTATTTTGCAATCTTTGATTGGTAACTACTTTGGGGAATGTTAGCCTGGACAAACAACATTTGATGAATGGCTGGTTTCTTTTCCTGAATTTTTTATGATAGCATTCTTCATTGCTCCCTAGGTCAGCTGCAATTTGGAACCTCACCTGAGGGGCAATGTATATGTTCAGTACCAGTCGTAAGTATTCTGCTTGTGGATGTCTTCCTGATTTGTCACAGTTTGTTGTTCTGTTTCTGTTGATGTCTGGGATTTTTCCACTGGATATATAACTTTCATGTATTTTATTTCTTATGTTTTTATTTTTATTTTGTTTTTTTCTTTTGAGACGGAGTTTCGCTCTTGTTGCCCAGGCTAGAGTGCAATGGCGTGTTCTCAGCTCACTGCCACCTCCACCTCCCAGGTTCAAGTGATTGTCCTGCCTCAGCCTCCTGAGTAGCTGGGATTACAGGTGCCTGCCACCATGCCCAGCTAATTTTTTGTATTTTTAGTAGAGATGGGGTTTTACTATGATGACCAGGCTGGTCTCGAACTCCTGACCTCAGGTGATCCACCCACCTCGGCCTCCCAAAGTACTGGGATTACAGGCGTGAGCCACTGTGTTTGGCCCAGCTTTCATATATTTTAAAATATTTAAATAAAATTAAAGTTTAAATAAATCTAAATATTTAAAACTTAAATATTAAGAGTTGAAACAGAAATATAGAATGGATGTGAAAATAATATAAGCCGGGCATGGTGGCTCACACCTGTCATCCCAACACTTTTGGAGGCTGAAGTGGGAGGATTGCTTGAGGCCAGGAGTTCAAGACCAGCCTGGTCAACATGGCAAAACCCCATCTCTACTAAAAATACAAAAAATTAGCCAGGCGTGGTGGCAGGCACCTGTAATCCCAGCTACTTGGGAGGCTGAGACAGGAGAATCGCTTCAAGAGAGACCTCATCTCTACAAAAAAATTTAAAAATTGGCCGAATGTGGTGGCATGTGCTGGTAGTCCCAGCTATTTGTGAGGCTGAGGCAGGAGGATCACTTGAGCCCAGGAGGTCGAGGCTGCAGTGAGGTATGACTGTACCACGACACTCTAGCCTGGGGGACAGAGTGAGAGTAAGACTCCATCTCAAAAAGAAAAAAATAATAAATTTATATTTCATTCTTTATATATTTACATAGTTTTGAATGTTTTACAATATGGTTATATTATTACTCATAATTTTAATAATTAAAATACAAACTAATAAGGGATAACTAGAATAGAGAACATAAAAGCATTTATAGTGAAAGAGCCGGAGATTGAAGCCCAAAATCATCTTAGTGTGCATTTGACCAGCTAAGAGAGCAATTAATGTATCATTTCTTCTTATCTTGCTGTTTGCCTAGGCCATACCATGGCTAATGGGTTAAATTAACCAGTGTAATAAGAAGAACAGCAATCCTATCTGAGAAAGAATAGGCCCTAATAATGGAAAACACTTCTGCATTTTTAATGGTCCAATCTTTTGGATTAAGACGGTTTCATTCAAGCCAATTTCCATGCATTGAAACCTCTCCGAGGGTTAGTAAAAAGGGTTCCTGAATAAATTGGGAGCTTTGGGAGCTTGACCATTTTAATGACTCTTCCCTAGGTACAAAATCAGTGAACTTGGTGGTCCTACAATAAATTAATAACGGGGTTAATTAATAGTAGAGCTAATCTACATATTAGGAAGTTACTGTAAAGCATATCATTTGATTTTTGGTTTAAAGGGAAGAAGAATGCCAAGCAGCCCTTTCTCTGTTTAACGGACGATGGTATGCAGGACGACAGCTGCAGTGTGAATTCTGCCCCGTGACCCGGTGGAAAATGGCGATTTGTGGTAAAAGACAAAGTGATGATTTTTTTCCTCAATTGTTCCACTGCTATATAAAGGGATATTCTTTGGGGGAAACCCAGTATTTTCAAGTGGTGAGGCATAGCTTTTTGCCTCACACAGTAGATGAGCAGAGAACTTTATATAAAGAACACCACAGTTTAGATCTGTAACCGACCTCAATGAGTCACTTGATAGATGAAGTGACTGAGGTCACAACGTATTGGTGACAGAGGTGGGGCTAGAATTCCAGTCTTCCAATCTTCAGTCCTGGGCTCTGTGTCTGACAAATCAGGAAGCCTGAGGAGTTTACGTCTGTGGAAGCCCCATTTCCCTTGTTGCAGTTTCAGAGGTATTTTATATTCATTGGCTCACTTCACTTGAGCTGTTTGTTTGTTTCTTTCTTTCCATCTTTATCCCTAATGAATCTTCTGTCATGACCACCTACGTTACCTTGCCCATAGCATTTCCTGCCTTACTTGGAATAATACATCCTTCTGTGCACTAGAGACTAATTGTAGGCTTGGGATCAGTTAAACATGAATGCAGTCAGACTGACATCGGACAGTGGCAACCCAATCAGGAAATGATCCAGTCTTGTGCAGAATAGCCAGCAGTTTTGAAGGCCTAGTTATGTTCTGATTTCTCTCAGTGGACTGTTCCCTAGGTGAAAAGAGATGAGCTCTAAATGCCTCTGGGGAGCACTTATCTTACCGTTTACTTGTGTTTCTTTGCTGTATACATGCCTGCCTAACGCAAAGTCAGAATCTTTGGCAAGCTTGTCTTCCTTGGATTCTGTCATTCTGAAACCATTTATGAAGGGAAAAGAAAGATTTTAGGATTCCTGGCTAAGGGAAACCAGAAGAACCATTACACTTTAAAGGCTCGGGGGATGGAAGAGGTGGAATTGTTCGCTCCATAAAGGCAGTTACTTTTGTCAGTTCCTGGGAATCCAGTGTGAGTTCAGTGAGGAGCTTCTGAGTGTGACCTTGACTCCTCCAAAGCAGGGGACTATTTCATTAAAAAAAAAAAAACACTTTATTTTCCTTATTGACTAAAGACACTGAGCATCTTTTCATTATTGGCCATTTGTATGTCTTC
Source organism: Homo sapiens (assembly GCF_000001405.40). Taxonomy (NCBI): domain Eukaryota; kingdom Metazoa; phylum Chordata; class Mammalia; order Primates; family Hominidae; genus Homo; species Homo sapiens. Next base: position 15,821,412 of record NC_000023.11, read on the forward strand.
TTTGGAGAGATGTCTGTTTGGATCCTTTGCCTATTTTCTAACTAGGCTCTTTGTCTTTTTATTATTGAGTTGTAAGAGTTCTTGGTATATTCTCCATACAAGTACCTGGTCACAAATATGATTTGCAGATATTTTCTCCCATTTTGTAGGTTCTTTTCACTTCATGTTCTTTTGAAATACAAGTTGTAAATTTTGATGAAATCCAACTTAACTATTTTTTTGTTTGTTTTGGTGTCACATCTAGGATGACATTGCTTAGCCCAGGGTCACAAAGATTTACTTGTATGTTTTCTTCAAGGTCATAGTTTCATTTCTTAACATTTAGGTCTTGGATACAGTTTAATTTTTGTATATAGTATGTGGTACGGAGGTATTTCACTTCTAACTGTTGTGCATATCTGGGGAATTTACTGCTTTTAAAAAACGTTTGAGAACCCCAAAGATCTCAAAATTGTTCGAATAGATTTTATCTGTGATAAGAATCTTCTGTATTAAAAGCACTTAGTGAATTTGAAGCATTAGTGTAATGTTTATAATCTTAAAGTTTAAAGAAAATATAGACTCCTCTATGTTTAATAGGCCTTCTCTTTTTTTTTTGAGAGTGAGTCTCACTCTGTCGCCCAGGCTGGAGTGCAGTGGCATAATTTTGGCTCACTGCAACCTCCACCTCCTGGGTTTAAGTGATTCTCATGCCTCCGCCTCCTGAGTAGCTGGGATTACAAGCGCCTGCCACCACGCCCAGCTAATTTTTGTATTTTTAGTAGAGATGGGGTTTCGCCATGTTGGCCAGGCTGGTCTCAAACTCCTGACCTCAGGTCTGTGCCCGCCTCAGCCTCCCAAAGTGTTAGGATTACAGGTGTGAGCCACCGCACCTGGCCACGCCTTCTCTTTTGACCAGTGGTTCTGGCCTGTTTCCTCCATGCCATCAAACCGTGCTACCACAGGGACCCAAAGAGCTGGCTATTTGATGTTAATCAGGGATCAAAATCGTCAATCAGTGGGAAGGTGAAACCTGGAGAAGATAACGTGGTCACCATTTGCTCAGTTGCAGTCTGCACCATAATCCAACAGGGGCACAGGCTATTCTGCTTAATGAAAACTTCTGATTTGTTACCTTTCAGAGTGTCATTTATTAGAGCACGTTTGAAATCGTGGGAACCAAATTATGACATCAATTTATGTAAGCCCCTTTTACATAATACACAGTAGAAAATAGTTCTAGCATATCCAAATATCAGAAATGTACCTTCGGAAAAGGATAAAGTAGCATCTTCAGAATATGCAGTGATAAGTGCTGTTTCATCACTGTGCCATTGCAGGTTTATTTGAAATACAACAATGTCCAAGAGGAAAGCACTGCAACTTTCTTCATGTGTTCAGAAATCCCAACAATGAATTCTGGGAAGCTAATAGAGACATCTACTTGTCTCCAGATCGGACTGGCTCCTCCTTTGGGAAGAACTCCGAAAGGAGGGAGAGGATGGGCCACCACGACGACTACTACAGCAGGCTGCGGGGAAGGAGAAACCCTAGTCCAGACCACTCCTACAAAAGAAATGGGGAATCCGAGAGGAAAAGTAGTCGTCACAGGGGGAAGAAATCTCACAAACGCACATCAAAGAGTCGGGAGAGGCACAATTCACGAAGCAGAGGAAGAAATAGGGACCGCAGCAGGGACCGCAGCCGGGGCCGGGGCAGCCGGAGCCGGAGCCGGAGCCGGAGCCGCAGGAGCCGCCGCAGCCGGAGCCAAAGTTCCTCTAGGTCCCGAAGTCGTGGCAGGAGGAGGTCGGGTAATAGAGACAGAACTGTTCAGAGTCCCAAATCCAAATAAACTAGTTTTGTTCTTAAATGATTGTATATCTTATTTATTATGGTTGCTACATACTCGGATAGAAGGCTATGAACGCAGATGGGTTCGCAAGTCTGGCTGAACCCTGTGTAGCCTGGAATTCTATTTAAAAATATTTTTATTCTCTTATAATCATGAAGTATGGTTAGTATAGAAAACATAAAATACATAAATAACAACATGAAAATTACTTGTAATCCTAACCCTGAGAGAGAACTAAACATTGGAGCATTGTTTTAGTGTGTACACTTTTTTCTTTTTTTTTAGAGATAGGTTCTCACGAGCAGTGGCGTGATCATAGCTCACTGCAGCCTCAAACTCTTGGGCTCAGGTGATCTTCCCATCTCAGCCACCCAAGTAGCTGAGACTACAAGGTACACACCACCACACCTGGCTAATTTTTAAACATTGTTTTGTGGAGACAGCGTTTTGCCATGTTGCCCAAGCTGGTTTTGAACTCCTGGGCTCAAGTGATCCTCCCACCTTGTCTTCCCAAAGCGCTGGGATTATAGGTGTGATCCACCACACCCAGCCCTATGTACACATTTTTTAATACAAAGAACACATATGAATGCAGTTGAATATGCTTTTATTCACAAGAAGCAGTCATACTTCATCAAGCCCTATTCTTCGTTTTACTCACTGCACAATATGGATCAGTTTTTTCAACCATATCCTCATTGTTAGATTTTTAATTTTGTACTATTCAAGAATCCTGTGCTGAAATCAATCCTGTGATGGATTTTCTTAAATACTTCCACATATTTTTGATCATTTCCTTAGGATAAATTGTATCAAGGACATGAATACTAAAATATTTCCAAGTTGCCTGCCAGAAGACTATAAAAAATTTATTATGTCAATAAACTTTGCTGCTCCCACAACGCCAAGTAATTTTAATCCTTACCAATTTGATAAATTTTATGTGTTCATATATTTAATGTTTTTTTATTCTTGTTGGCCCCCTACCCCTTTTTTTAGAGACAGGGTCTTGCTATGTTGCCCAGACTGGAGGGCAGTGGCTGTTCACATGATCATTGTGCACTGTAGCCTCAAACTCCTGGGCTCAAGCGATCTTCTTGGCTCAGCCTCCTGAATATCTGAAACTACAGGTGAGCCCTGCTTGTTTGCCTTTTATTAATAATCTATTGGATTTTTCTATATGTAATAGCTGAACAGCTTTTTTGCTTTAAAGTTCATTTTCTCAGTTTTAAAGTACTGATGGGCAAAGTCCATTTTTTTTCCTCCTACTCTTCAGCTGGGGGCTGTCGTGTACTTTTTTAAATAGTGTGTTGGAAAGTTCTTTATATAGGAGTAAAGTTTATTTTTGTCATTTCCAGGAATATTAGGGTCATTGGTACTAAATATGCCTAGTGTTAAAGCAATCCTGGTATAAAAATCTCAACAGAATGGTCAGAGAATAGAACCTAATGCAGAAAAAGCTTCAGGCAAAATATTATACCTAGATTTCTGATCATAAATAAGATGCTCTCCAGCTTTATCAATTTTTTGTCGCTTTCTTTCCATTGACATATTTGGGATCTAGAATTTTGGAGTATGTGACATTTTTCAATTTGAGATTTGGGAATAAGGACTTAAAACATACGTAAAATACTGAAACGTTAACGAAATTTAAGTAGGAAGAAAGTTTCCTCAAAATTGGAATTTCTGCATGATATCTGTTAAGGATGAGAGTTCTTTCATGTGTAGTCAATAAAAGAAATCATGCATGTGGCCCAGGATAATTTCACTTTAAAAAGTTGGATTTGTTCCAGACTCTAAATGCCTGCTTCACCCTGAAAATGATTGACCTAGAACTATCTACTGATTTCAGTAACGCCGAGTAATTATCATTAAATTCAGTATTTTTTAATACTTTTCTAAATACAGTCAAGATATATGCAATTAAATGTGGTCTGCAAAGCTGAAATCTTAATAAATCATGGAGGCTAAGAAAGAAAACCACCATCTTGAGCTCAGGACAACTGAGATATTGATGACTTTCCCCTCAAATGTTAATAGGCAGGGTAGAAGGGCAGGAAGTTTTTAAACCACTGACTGGTTCATTATCCTGATAAATGTCCATCTTGAACTTAAATTTATTAGTTTTTTTTAATATATATTGCCTGATTACTATTTATGTTTCAAAAATTCCAACTATACATTGCTAGCAGAAACCCACAGGCCTGTTTTCAGTGAATAGCTAGCTGCATGTTGGAGGCTTTTTAAACCTATAAACGTCTTTTTTTCCAGTAGACTAGCAACTTAATTTGATGGTAGTTCCTGCCTCCTTCTTAAATAGCCCAGTTTTAGAATGTAACATTTCCTATCTGTAGTAATAGGAGGTCCCTTAACTATCATGATTACCATAGATTTGATTTGTTGCATAGGTTAGGTAGTACAGTCTGCAAGTATTAGTCCCTTTCTGTTGCATGTGCTAGCACCTTCAGTTCACAAGGGGGTAAGAGGAATCCAGTTGATTTGAAATACCTTTTGAGTAACAGTCTAAGTTGTTCATTCAGAAAGAGTAGAAAAGTCAACTGCATCAAGGTTTTAAAAGCAGCATTTATTGATTGAAAATAAATGTGTAGATAGGCTCTCAGTATGGAATCCATGTTATTTTTTAATGAAGTACATGAAGACTCCTTAGATCTTCCACCATGTATCTTGTGTGTGCTTATAACAACCACCATATTCAAATGGAGGGGAATTTTCAACATTTTACTGAAAAAAAAATGAGAAATTCTTCCTTCAGCAGCTCTGCATAGTTTGACAAACTTTTGGAAAGAGATAAAAACACACTCCAGTGTTTGTACGTTGAACGTTTATTACAACTAATTGGCGATGTGATAAGACAGTGCTCACGTGGCCTGAATGTTGGTCACAATCACAACAAAGCTTAATCCAGCCCAGCATATATAAGTGAAAATATAAACCATGAAGACATGTTTAGATATGTATAAGTACTTAGAAAAGTGACGCTGAACAATTACATAGCTTTAAAAAATATAGAGCCATCTAATGCCATTTTACCTCATTCAACTCTTTTTTGTAAGAAATGTGTCTTTTTAAATTTTTATAAGACTTCTGTTAACTAGGCAGTGCCATGGAAAGAAAGGAAGCTGCTGTAAAGTGTGCAGCACTTCTAAGTGGAGGGAAGCAAAATAAATTTAGCTTTAACAAGTACCCCAGAGGGAACATTCGTGCTTTAAACAATGACTTTACACATAATACTGTGAAGAGAGCAACACGTTTTTTGTAAGATACTGTTATGAAGAATTCCTGGCAAATTACCATTCTCACTTTATTTTGGGGCATCAAAAACAACTAAGTATTTGATTATGACCACAAAAAATTCATCTCAGGAGTCAAATGTGCCTTGGCCTTAAAAATTATGTGCTTACTATTGTGAAACAATCCTGTTTCTCATCCCAGATTCAGAATGCCTAAGAAATAATTTTTAGTGTAAGAAGTATCACTCCAATTTAGTCATTAAAAATAATCTGTAGTCCTTTAAAAAAAAAAAAAAAAGGTATGTAATTTCCAATACAAGTCTTTGGAGTAAATTTGCTTTTTAAAGTTTCAACAAAGTTTCCATTCATTTGATATGTGACATGTCAATTCCCTTTTTTTTTTTTTTTACATATGCTGAAATGCTGCACTAGTCTTTGGTTTCATAAAACCAGGTTTCACATTATAATTTAAGAGTTTCCTTTGTCAAATACAGTAATTAATAAATGTATACTGCCTGATTTTACATGTATATGATGTGCCATTTTCATATGTGCACATAATCAGATTAAGAGAAACTGACCTTTAAACTTTAAAATATCCAGAAAAGGTATCTCTTTCTGCACCATTCTAATTCATATTTAAGTCCCTTATCACTTAATTAACTAAAGTTCCCTTTTAAAAAAAAATTGTGTAGGCATGAATGAAGCGGCTTAGCAAAACAGTAATACTGACAAGACATCATCTTACACCATGAGCTAACATGGACATGAAGGGAGTGACCATCTACAGTGTGTGAAATGCCACAAGAAGTCATCAACAAGGGAGGAGAGTTATGTCAGTCCAATTTCTTCAAGAACACTACGTGGGGTTTCAGCTTCCTGTGGAGGGAAAATGTGAGACTCTGGTAAGCAGATCCAGGGAGTCTTGAGAATGTGAAACATTGACATGGAAGAACATGCTTGTTTTAGAGAATCAAGAAAGCAATTTCGTGTCACAGTAGCATTCTAGTTGACAGCCATTGGTTATTTAGGGTTTTGTGCCCTCAAAATTGGAGACCACAAAAGGACGTTTTCAGCATTCATTAAGTACCTGCTAATTACCTACCAATGTGCTAGATGCCGTTGCTGTCATGCAAAAAGCAGTCAAGCCCAGTGCAAACCTGCTGGCAATTTATGAAATCACTGCTACTCAATTATATATATGAAAGATAAGTTATCTTAGTGGTAAAATTCAAAACCTCTTCCCTCCGAGTTCCCACAGTTCTTCGCCTACTGTTGTGTTCCATGCTTTTTGTCACATGCATTTATAGAAATGTCTTCCTCTTGGAGTTTTTAGTTAACTGTGTCCACAGCGGCAAGTCTTCAGAAACAGCTATCTTCCCAGACCTCCCCAGTGCAACCAATGGCATCACTAGAGGCCACATATGCAAAGAATGCCATGGGCCAAAGGCATTTTTATTCTATGTAGCAACCAGCACTGGTTTTTAAGTGTCAAAGGAGGTCAAAACAAAGTAAGCATATCCAGGAAAAAATTATTTAATAATTTTCCAAAGTGGCTGATTTTGCAAATCACAAAATAAAGGACCAAGGAGGCCAACTTTCAGGTATTACTAGCAACGAATTTTGTAATTAAAAGGCAACACTATATTTTAATGATGGAAAATAATATAAATTTTTGGCATCCAGTAATAAACTTACTTTCGCATCCTAATCATGGTACAGCACAAAGCAAGGAGAAGAGAAATTATATTAAACCATAAATCTTTAGAATATTAATTGCATGTAAAGCACTTCATGGTGTAATCTTAAGTAAATTACTTAAACTCTATGGTCTGTTTCCTTATTTGGAAAACATGGATAATAGTACTTACCTTCATATGTTGAGATTAAGTGAATTAAGGCTCTGCCTAATTTATAGAAAGTGCTTCAAAAATGTTAGGTGATATAGTTACACAATTGAAATCGAAATGATTTAGCATTTATTATTAAACGCAAGTACTATACACCAATTCTACTTATAAAGCTCATATGATGACCTTTTAGTATGTCTGCATAGTAATAAAAATGGGTAAAAATCAGCTTTAGCGAAAAAAGGTATTTTTTTAAAAAGAGTCTAACCTATGAAGTATTCTTGCCCCCTCAAATTGAACCTCAATCTAGTCAGGTTACAGATCTAAATAGAAATGAGGGATATAAGAACAGCTAAACATTGCCATATGAGTATGATGGCCAAATCCATAAGGTAGGACATCCTGCAGCATAAATGACCTCGTTTTAAAAAAAAAAAATGGCAAGGCGGGAAAAAGCAGACGATTTGTTAAAGATTAAAAGAGACTTAAAACGCACATCAATCAGATACAATGTGAGAGTCTTGGTTGGAATCTGATTCTAACAAACCAAATATAAAAAGGCATTTTTCAGACAATTAGGAAAAATTGAGCCAGGCATAAGATAGTAATTATTAATTCCTGTTAATTTTGTGGGGCATGGTACTTTATCTGTTAGGGACACATACTGAAGTATTAAAGACAAACTGACAAGATGTCTAGGGCTTGCTCTAAGATACTGAGGCAAAAATGCGGGGAGTGGTTGGGGAAACAGTATTAAGTTGATGGTTCTTGAAGCTCAGTGATGTGTACACGAGGGTTCTTTATACTATTTCCTATACTCGTGAGTCTTGAAGTTTTCATGATAAAGTTTTTTAAGAAAGTCCAGTGGAAATGATGTAACACCCAAGAGTGATGTAAGCCAATCCCTTTCATTTATATTTAGCCTTAAGCATTAAATACACTGAGAATGACATCTAAATCTCATAAATATTCAAGAAAAATTTAAAATAATTATTTCCATGTAATGTTAAGTAGTTTAAAGGTTCATGTAGCCTTGAATGTATCAATTAAATAATGCCTCCATTGAATTCTACAGTTTACATTCTCAGCTTCTCCATGTAAAAATGCCCCACAGCTACTCCGTGGAGCTGGTCAGACTTTTCCCCATGTGCTCACTGCCTGCAATCTTATATAGCATTTCCTGTAGAGAATCATACTGCTTATCAAATATGCATTATTGAAAATATGTGTCCTTTCTAAAAGGCCTAGTTTCAAAGAATTATTTACACATTTTATTCTTGTGAGACTTGCACAGGTAGAGTTTTAAAATAAATTGTGGTGATAATATAAAATGGAACTTACACATGTTCACACTGAAATTGTAGCTCAAAACTACCCAGAAAAACTATTATCTATCTAAAGTAGTAAAATTTATAGAAACAGAAAGTCGAATGGTGGTTGCCAGGGGCTGGGGGACAGGGAGAAATGGGGAATTGTTGATTAATGGGTATAGAGTTTCAGTTCTGCCAGATGAAAAAGTCCTGCAGATCTGCTGCACAACAATGTGAATAAACTTAACTAACACAACTGAACTGTACACTTAAAACTGCGTAAGATGGTGAATTCTGTGTTATGTGTTTTTAACCACAATTTAAAAAATTTGCCTAGAAAAATGAAAATATAAAACGTTATTTTATGAGGGATGGAAAAGAAAAAGTCATTCACATGAGACGAAGTACATGCAATACTTTTATTTTAGACATGCAAGGAAAGCTATTTCAGAATCTACTAATTTAAAGCAAGCAGCTGTATACAGACAGCAAAAGAAGCAACATTTTGTTACAGCTTAGCACAAGGCATCCAACACAAACAGGCATGAGACAATGCATATTTATGTAGCATTAAAACCAGATGAATAATATATTGTGGGGCAGGAGGAGGAAAGGAGGGGAAAAAAAAATAGAAATGAAAGACCAATGTTTCTCAATGCTTCCAATATATAATGCTAAATTTCCCACCTGATTGATAGCACATCCAGGTGCTTCAAATGTCGTGCATTACAGTGAGAATGTTAAGAATGGAAAATCTTATCTGTGTACCTGCCTAATACTAAGTTTGGTCAAAACACATTTTCATAGATCTTCTTTCAGTGATAAATCGATTTGAACATCTTGTGAAGTTATTGTTTAATAACTTACTTAACTTAGGCTTTATGCTCTCTAGATATAAACAATGAATTCTTTTCCTTTTATAAAAAAATATGCTGCATGTTTTATTAAAAGAATATGCAATAGTTACCAATATTAAAGGTTTTAAAATTCAGAAATATAATGCCACAGTTAACAAAGTATCAAGTATTTAAATGAGGACTTAATATATTAGAATGCCATCACTAGTAAAATATAAGTATTTAGGTATTAAAACTGAATGAATATTAGAATTTTTGAACTATATAAACTCAGCATTAATGCTTTGAAAGAGTTATTATTCAGCAACAGATATTGCAGAACAGACTTCAGACATAGCTCTCTAATAAGTTCTTAAAGGGATTGTTTGATATTATTATATAGCACAAATGTGATTCAATAAATGTGGCACTACAAAATTTCTTAATACTGAATGTTTTAACCTTAAATATTATATAATGGTACAAATTAATTTTAGTTTCTTGTAATATTTTCACATATACTTTTATGTGATACATTAGAACACATTAGCTCATACAGATTGTAAGATAATCACACAAAATAGTTTCTTTTTTTAACCTCCATATTTGAAGACCAAACTACACTATATATTATGGCACTGCTTATTTTGACCTAGCACTTCAGCTATATTTTCTTTGGTAAACATTTTAATGATTGTCATGTTTTCCTCTTATAAGATAAATCACAGATGGTTCATTAATAATATGTATGTGTTTAAGATTTAATATTACTCAAAACACTTCTAGGTCATATTTTGTCAAGATGAGATTAAATCAGTTGCAGAAAGGAATGAGCTGTATCAAGATCACATATAGAATGAAAATAAAACAGAAAAGTTTGGAATGTGAACAGGAAAAAAATACAATCATAAAAGTACTAGTTCTAAAATGTTCTACTATTATTATACAAGACAATAAATCACCATGCTGAGGATATTTTCTTTCATATGTATATCAGCATTCTATTTCCTCTGTGAAATTCTGCATACTCGATGAGTAGTCATTTAGTACACAGGGACATTAAAATATTCATGACGTGGCTACAAAAGAAATGCATATATTCTTACACACAGTATACAAACTGACACAGACACAATCAGATTTCTAGAACATTTAGCTCACAGTAAAGATAACTAAAACTTAAGTTTCTGTTTGCTTTCATTCTTTGGTTTAAGGCTGAATATTTAACTTCTAAACAATGCCCAAGACTTTAGATTCATTTTTTTCTAACTTTACTACATACAGTGTTCAAAATGATGACAGACATCCTCCAGAAATTTTACAAAATCCTAAAACACTATATTTACTACTAATATTATGAAAAGATTTTCAGTGTAAGTCATCTGGTCAATACTGAGTTGACCAAAAATTCAATTAGAATATTCCCCTTCCACCAGTATTTAAATTCATTAGTTCATTTGTATTACATAAACTAAAGAACCTAGAGAAAAATCTTTCCCAATAAAAACTGGAAAAGTAGTCACTCATCTGGTATTTTAAGTAGCAATGAAGGTTTTTAACCGTTTACTTATACCTACAAAAGCAAAAAATCCAAAGAATTTGACTGAGACTGAGGATATTACTTTTTTAAAAATCCTCAAGACAGATTTTAACGAACTCTCCAGATTTGAGTGTCTACAGAAGGACTTCTAGGGGCTCTGAGAGTTCCCTGAAATTAGAAACAAAATGATGTGCAAATTTTCCTGGGGTGACAGCCCATCATCCTTCAGACTCTCAAAGGGATTATATCCCCACCAGAAAGCAAGTTTAAAATTGCTTATTTGAGTGTCTTTAAAGTATCCTCATTTTAATATTTATTCAAGTTGAAACTTTGAAATGTTGAACTACAAAATCATGTAAACTGTTCCAAGAAAAATATCTAACAAATCCCTAAACTTACACAACCATTAATTACAAACGTATCTGAGGACAAAAGCCAGTTACATTTTAATCCTCAAAGAATTCCTAAATATTTTAAAGAGATAGCTGCCCTTTTCCCCCAACTCAGAATATAGTGGAATGAAGCAGCAAGTTAAAATCATATTAATAAGAAATTAAACTCCCAACTACTTCATTTTCTCACAGAAGCTCTCATTTTCATAGGGAAATTCTTCTGTATCAATGGCATTAGTGATTCACAGTATTTAATGAATGCTTTATTGTCAATGAACCTCTGAAGCTATTTCCATATTCTGTGTAAAAAATAAATTATAAGCCCCAATAATGGATCATTATCCAAGCAAAATTCCCTATGAAAATACCAGTTTAATGAAGTAATTGGGACTATCCCTTGGGATTTAATGTAATTAGACTTTTCAGGTAATGCTAAAATATAAATAACAAACTTGACAAAATTGTCATTACAAACTGAATTTATATATCCTACTACATTTTGATGCATGTCAGTACTCCAGCACGTATTCTAGTACGCTTTCTTAAACCCAATGAAACTCTTGCTGTGATACATAGTCTCTGTTTTCTGGAGAGAGAACAAGAAAAGTTTAAGTCTGTCAAATAACCTTTTGCCTAAATAATACCAATCTGTCAAATAACCTTTTGCCTAAATAATACCAGTTCTTTGAGCCTTTATATTATAGTTTATCATCTTTTTCTTTTCTCTCTTAATTTTCTATCATACCATGTAAAAACCAACCATCGAGAGCTTACGCTCATTAAAAGAGAAGAGGTGGTTTCCCAAACAGGGCGGAGTATGCAACCATTCCTCCCCAGGAGACTTACTATGAACTACACCAGCAATTCTACAGGAACAATTCTCAATGTGACCACCCAGGCATTTCCACCACTTATACCCTGACACACCTTTTACTGCTTTTAGGAAAGAAAAGGGTTGATGATAAGCCAAACTATTCTTTATAGCCATTGATCCATATTACTGTACTTAAGTAAGAAATTACCATCTATTAAATGTGAGAATACTCTTCATAGGGAGAAACCCCTCTTCACTGGAAAAACATCCTTCAAGAAGAAAAGAAACTCTAAAATGCACAAAAATAAATGTATTATTTTTACCATTTTAAATTGCTTTAATAACGTTTTAAATAATTTCCCAGTTTAGACTTCTAGGGTCTGAAAAAGTTCTGTTATAAATGCCTTAAGGACCACTTAACATTTAAGGTAATTTTTTAGCTAAATTATATGCCCATAATTAACCAAAATATTTTTCTTTCAGATACAAAGAAAGTAGATTCAATTATAAATTCCAGTTTATACCTCTTACCACCAGTACCTCTTGTGAGTCACATAAAAATTATATCAATTAGGAATTAGGGAGGGTGAGAGTAAAGTCTGTCATAGCACACAAGGGACCCTGTGCAGGCCTAGGCCTACTATCTTGTTCTTCCCCTGGGCACCCGTAGGAAATAGTCACATATAATACTCAGCAAACTATCCGTTTCTTAAAACACTAAAACCCCAGTGATTTCAATTAAGTGGGAATAAAGGTCAGAATGAAAACAGTGAGAAAAAATTTTTTAATCCAGTTGTATTGTACAACTATAAACCATGTATTGTCCTTAGTACAGGTTCTCTGGAGACCTATTCTTTGAATAAGGATGACAATGTATTATTTCAACCTGAAACGGGCTTTCAATCCCAGGAAATCTTTTTTGCTCCTCACTAATTTGCTCCCCACCAAGTCTACTGCCAACTCCTCACACTGTCCTCAAGCTATACACCCCTCCCCTTCTCCCCAGTCCCAACGATTCTCCTTTAGATGATGTCATTTCTCAAGGCCAAGAAAATGACACTTCCTCAATTTTGCTCATCTTACTCATGAATTAAAGAAAAAAAAAGTCTACAGCTTTACCCCATTATCACCACATAACCAATGAGAAAGACTCTTCTCATCCGAGACCAATGTTTTTGATTCCACTCCCATTCTCCCTTCCAAAATATATATATATATATATATATATATATATATATATATATAATTTTTTTTTTTTGAGACAGAGTCTTGCTCTGTCGCCCAGGCTAGAAGGCAGTGGCTTGATCTCAGCTCACTGCAATCTCCACCTCACGGGTTCAAGCGATTCTCCTGCCTCAGCTTCCTGAGTAGCTGGGATTACAGGCACCCACCACTGTGCCCGGCTAATTTTTGTATTTTTTTTTTTTTTTTAGTAGAGATGGGGTTTCACCATCTTGGCCAGGCTGGTCTCGAACTCCTGACCTCATGATCCACCCGCCTCAGCCTCCCAAAGTGCTGGGATTACATAGTGAACCACTATGCCCAGCCCCAATATACTTTTTCTTTTATTCTATTCCTATTTGTCCTTCTTAGAAAACATGCACTTCCACTTTCCCCTGCATGAAGAAAAATGTTGTTCTCAACACCCTACAAAAAGGACCAGATGTAGTGGGAAGTGTAGGATGACAAACAGCAGAGAGAAGTCAAGTTACACCTGTTCTCAAAACCTAAGACAAGCCCTGTTACCGTGAAATTTCCTAGATATTCACCATACTAGGCTTATGACTCACAAGTAAAACCAACAGGGAAGCTATAACGAACACTGATAAAATAGGAATTATCTGCAGGCTTAAGTCTTGTTGACATGAGAAGTGCTTAAGTAAATCAATGGTATCGAATATCTATGACTGAATGCCTAAACTCCTGATTCTCTTTCTAGTAGTACAATGTGGTAAAAGAAAATAATTTACATTTAATGAAAAGTAAATATAAATAAGTGTAATTTCAAGTTATTGCTCTACTGCAGTTTTTCTTATAAAAGGACTTCTTCACTTATTCCTTGCACTATAAAGTGGTATGCTTAGTCCTTCACATTCTAGAACACAATGGTCCTTTTTATGGCCCCTAATCAAATTCTATGGCAAAGGATGCAAAGTCCTTACTCTCAACTCTGGAACCCTCTTCCTTGTGCCAAAGACCAAGAAGGCCAGAGACTATCTTATCTCACTACGATCTATTTTGAGCAATGAATGAAAAAACAGAAGAATTGAAAGCACTCTATAAAGTGCCTTTTAGATGACAGGGCTCCTGGTGTCAGTCTTACAAGCATTTGTGAAGTGCTAAGAAAGTCAAGCGATTTTTTTTTTTTACATTAAGTTAGCTATGAGTGGCAAGAGTTACATGGTTGCTCCAGATGGTTAGTGTCTAAAATGGCCAAGAGCAGAGAAGTGCTTTACTTTACGTGCTGAAACTTTATTTTAGTAAATTCTACTCTAGTTTTACCATCTGGAGCAACACGATGTATACTCTTTCATTCACACAGCAGCATTTTTTCATTTTTTAAAAATGTGTAATACTAAATACATGCTTGTTTTTACACTTCTGGAAAAAAGAGCAGGGGGAGCTTCAAAGATTTTCAGAAGTAACACGAGTTAGCTAATATCCTGCTCCTAAGCCTGGGCAACATGGTGAGACCCTGTCCCTACAAAAAATAAAATAATAATAATAATAATATCCTGTTCCTAGATCTTTTCTCACTTGATATACTTTGAGTATCCTTCCATATCATTACAAAAAAAAATCGATCTCATTTCTTTTACAGCTACATCAGTTTCATGTATGGTTGTACTATAATTTTCTTAACCTATTTCTCATTGATGAATATTTGGGTAAGCTTCAATGGCTTATTATACTAAGCAATGTGTCTCAGTACATTTTTGTTGGATAAAATTCTTTGAAGTGTAACTAATGGGTCAAAATGTATGTACACATTTAGTCATTAGTAGACATAACCAAACTAATCCTCCAAAACAAAATACAGCTTTTAAGTGCTCCTCTTTGCCAATCCAAGAAGAAACAAACAAAAAAGGGTCTAGTTGATTTTTAACTTTGCATTCCCTTAATAAAAGGACCATTTGTTTTGCTTTCATCTGTGAATTACATATTCATGTTTTCTGCCATCTTTTTCTATTGTGCTGTTGATCTATTTCTATTACACTTGTCTTATAAATTTGTCTTAAAAATAATGATGAGGATAATTTACTACATCTTATAAATAACACTCTAAAACCCATTAGTTATCAAATACTAAAGACAAATCACTTTATCTACCAGTTAGTTGTGCTTTTAAAATAAAAAAGCAGAGGCCAGGTGCAGTGGCTCACGCCTGTAATCCCAGCACTTTGGGAGGCCAAGGTGGGAGGACTGCATGAGCCTCGGAGTTCAAGACCAGCCCTGACAACATGGCGAGACCCCATTTCTACTGAAAATTTTTAAAAAATTAGCTGGGCATGGTGGTGTGCACCTGTAATCCCAGCTACTCGGGAGGCTGAGGTGGGAGGATCACTTGAGCCCAGGAGTTCAAGGCTGCAAGTGAGCCATGGTGGTGCCACTGCATTCCAGCCTTGGTGACAGAGTGAGACCCTGTCTCAAAACAAATATACAAACAAAAAAAAGCAGAATAATTAACTTAGCAAATATAATTTGTTTAAGAGTGAGGGGTCTCACTATGTTGCCCAGGCTGGTCTCAAACTTCTGAGCTCAAGGGATCCTTCCACTTCAGCCTTCCAAGTAGCCGGGATTATGGAAGTGTGCCACTGTGCCCAGCTAGCAAATATAATTTTAGACTGCAAAGAAATATTTTAAGCATGTTTTAGGACATGCTGTATTGTATTTGCCTTGGAATACCCTAAATTAGGGTTTTTCAAAGGTAAAAGATTTCTTGGAATCACAGAATTTCAAATACTCAAATGCTACTAAATATCTTCACTAAGTAAAACCTTTAAGGCTAACAGGATGCCAGAGAACAACAACAACAAAAAGTCTATATATGCAACAAAAGTCTATATATGTAAATTCTGGTCATTTGAACTATTCCTCCTTTAAGAAATTAACAAATCCCTAAAGTGGCTGGGGAGATTGGCAGAAAATTCAAAGGTGTTCTGTCTGCAGGGTATACTCAATTCAGTTTCCACATAAAAACTCAATTACCTTAATAGAAGTTAACAGATTTGGCTGTTGTTGAGGAAATTAAATTATAGAGTGACATCCTACAAGCCTTGCTGTAGGGTGGATTCTAAAGTCAACCATAGATTATCTCCCCAGTAACTGGTCATTATGTAGAGGTAATTTTGGTGAATCATAGAGATGACTTTTTTTTTTTTTTTTTTTTGAGACGGAGTCTTACTCTGTCGCCAGGCTAGAGTGCAGTGGCGTTATCTCGCTTCACTGCAACCTCCGACTCCCTGGTTCAAGCGATTCTCCTGCCTCAGCCTCCCAAGTAGCTGGGATTACAGGCACGCACCACCACGCCCAGCTAATTTTTGTATTTTTAGTAGAGACAGGGTTTCACCATGTTGTCCAGGTTGGTCTCGATCTCCTGACCTTGTGATCCACCCACCTCGGCCTCCCAAAGTGCTGGGATTACAGGCGTGAGCCACCGCGCCTGGCCTAGGAATGATTTTTATAGCTATTTGTATGTTCTTAAGCACATTTATCCTTTCTTGATTTTTTGCATTTTTGATTAATTTTTAGCCACTTATTTATACTGTGGTCTACATATAATATTGAAAAGATATAGCAGTCTATAAATGTAAATGGAATCTTTACTCCATAGTGTTAAATTAAACCAAGGCTTCTTAACCTGGGCACAACTGACATTTGAGGCCAGATAATTCCGCGTTCTAAGGGGGCTGTCCTGTGCACTGCAGAATTCTCAGCAGCATCCTTGGTCTTCACCTACTGGATGCCGGTAGCACTGCACCCCCAATTGTGACAACCAAAAATGTGTCCAAACATTACCCAATGTCCCCTAGAGGGGCACAACTGCACCACTCCCACTCCATGGGAACCACTGAGTTAATCTAATTGGCTCTAGTTGGTGGGTAAGATTATATTCTAGTGTGTTTGCCTGTATTTGCTAATTTTTCCAGAATGGGAATTTTTATTTTTAAAAAAAGGCCCTCAGAGGAAACAAAAGAAAATGTCAGTAGGTGAAAAAAGGACTCAAACGTGACATTTTTCAGAAAGTATTTTTTAATTAAAAAAAAAATCACCACCGACACCACAGACTATTCCCTTTGCAGGTCCCTGTGCAGGTTCCAACCCTAGGGCTCATGAAATCAAATTACTAGGTCAGGATCAGCATTTAAGAAAAGAATAGAATAGAAATAGCAAGCGGAAAATCCTCAAAATTTTGAAAAGTATGAAAAGAAAAAAGGCTCAAAAACACATAAAGCAAAATGACTACAACCTGAGAACCAGAGAGTAAGGACACTGGCCAAATTATTATTTTATTTATTTATTTATTTTTGAGACAGAGTCTCACTCTGTCGCCCAGGCTGGAGTGCAGTGGCCTGATTTCGGATCACTGCAGCCTCCGCTTCCTGGGTTCAAGCCATTCTTGTGCCTCAGCCCCCCAGGTATCTGGGACTACAGGTGTGCACCACCACGCCCAGCTAATTTTTGTATTTTTTGTAGAGATGGGGTTTTACCATGTTGGCCAGGTTGGTCTTGAACTCCTGGCCTCAAGTGATCCGCTTGCCTCAGCCTTCCAAAGTGCTGGGATTACAGGCGTGAGCCACCATGCCTGGCCAAATTGTTTCTTATTAAATGTAAAATGAAAGGCAACATTTGTCCTGCTTTCTGCCCTTCCTTTCAAGCACTTCCATTTCAAGCATTAATGTAATCAAACTTCATTTGTCCAGAATTTGTTATAATAAACCCTGATTAAGTTTACCTATAAAAAAACTAAAGTACGCTGGCAATAAAAGACTATAGTCTTGTTAACTTTAAAAGAGGCTTGAAGGTTTTAACATGAACAGTAGTAATTACAAAGGAGTTACACGAGTTTGTCTTATTTAAGCAAATCTAAGAGGATTTATATCAAAATGCTTTTTGCTGTTAAATGACATTCTTGTACATATTTGGAAGCATCTCTTTTTTTAAAACAATTTAAGATATTCTCAAGTTGGACTAGCATGCCCAAATATTCTTTCTTTTTTCTGTTTTCCCTCCCTCCCTCCCTCCTTCCTTCCTTCCTTTCGGCAAAGTTTCGTTCTGTGGCCACCCAGGCTGGTATATAGTAGCATGATCATGGCTCACTATAGCCTGGACCTCCAGGGCTCAATCAATCCTCTCACCTCAGCCTCCCAATTAGCTTGGACTACAGACACACACCACCATGCCCAGCTAGTCTTTTTTTTTTTCACTTTTTGTAAGGATGGGGTTTCACCACATTGCCCAGGCTGGTCTCGAACTTCTGGGCTCAAGCAATCCAACTGCCCCGGCCTCCCAAAGTGCTGGGATTACAAGCTTGGGCCACCGTGCTCAGCCCAAATATTCTTAATTATATCAAGAGCTGACCTTTAAAAAGTCCAAAACTTCATATTAAAAGATATGTTATTCAATACTTCAAAAAGTACTTATTAAAATAATTTTAAGTTACAAAAGCTTCATTTTTTAAAAGAAATCACTTTTCTCCTAAGATTCTTACCTTTCCATTTGTATGCAGTCCCACAGATTATTACTTTCACAAAAATATAGCATAGTACTAAGATATATCATGCAGCCCCCAGCACTAAAACAAATCAATTTTAGCAGCGCTAATCCTCCGTAGAGTACCACTTTCTAGATGAGGCAGATAAACAACTGCAAATCCAGTAAATCTATTCATAAAGTGGATCATCTCAAAGTAAAAGCAAATTCATGAGTATTATGCTTGCTTTTGGTACCTCACTTATTTTGCATTTCACAGATTACTTTAGTGAGAAAAAATACCAACAGCAAACAAAGCTCAAAAGAAAAACAACACCACAAATTTCAAAATGATGCTGTTAGTATAAAAAAGAAAGGTTGACACATCTCAAAGCACTAATCAACACCATCATGCATCAACCGCTAAGGGTTAAAGCCCAAATGCCCAGTATTTAACTATTTGATCTTCACGGATCAAGCAAGGACTTAGAAATCATCTCACGTGCAACAGTATTTGCATAGCACTCCATTTTATCCATGCCACAAAAATGGTAAATTTAGTAGTTACCAATAAATAAGTTGGGGATCAAAGGGACTAAAGCCTTAGACTGCTCTTTATCATAAGATATCCTCAGACAAACCTCCCCATTCTTCATTCTGGCTCTATAAAATTAAGGAGCAGAGAAAAACTGGTAAGTGCTTGACTTTACAGAAAAAAAGCCATACTATTATTTCCTTTGTCATTATATATGTGTGTGTTTAAATAAATCCAACTACATCACCACCCCCCACCATATCCCTCCAAAAATCTAGCTTAAAATAGGTGGTGGGGAAAAGTATTCCAAGTATTGCAAAGAATATCAATTTAGCAATTTCAGCATGTTGTACTTTAATAATTTAAGAATCATCTTTAGTACCAGTGGCATGTTAAGACAGCCAAACATTAAAAAATGGATAACGGGCCAATTTCTGGGCTTTACCCCCAAATCTAATTATGTATTCATACAACCAAACACCAAAAGGAATAAACATGAAGTTTGGTCTAGAAATGTCAAAACTAATCCTTTATTTACCAAGTAATGAAGTAAAATAAAAAAGATATCTTTATTATCTAATCACAATATCTGCTAATATTTTAGCAACTATTATTTGAATGTACATTTAATGTTACATTTTTATTACTAACTGTAATATGCTAACAGAAAATCTGTATCCACTGACCCTCTTCCCTATTTGGCTATAAAATGAAGGACTACCTTAAACTATGTGTTTATACAAATTGGGTAAGAGAAATTTTTTTTTAATTTTTCTGAAGAAAATAAGCATTCTTAAGGATAGAAATGTATATTTCACAAATTAAAAAAAAATCAAAATCATTGAGATGTGTATACACCTTTAAGCCAACAGATAAGTACATGATAAGTTCAAAGTCATCTTTGGTGCTTAGAAATAATCAATTCAAGTAAAAGACCTGACACTAAACAGAAAAATAATGACACATGAAAAAGTAGATTAAAATTGACCAATTAGGACTTCTACTACAAATGTAAGTCTGAATTTAGATCTTCACAGCTATATTTACAATTTTGGAAGCAAAATCATTTCATGAAATTGATTAAGTGAATGCTATACCCCAAACTATAAGACCAAAAAAGTTATTATAAATCCAGGCATTTTGATCAATCCAACAAGAAATAGGTTGAAAAATATTATTTATATCTACATATCCAATAAAAAATTCCAACTGCTGATAATCTGGACAATAAAAATTTGCAGTCTAAGAAGTCAAAGATGGCACTGTCTTAGGAAATCTACTCTTTTCCACACAGAAAAACCTCTGGGAGAATTATGAATTTCTCACTATATGACTGAGAAACAAAGAAGTTCATATCTAAAACAGAACGTTTAAAATATATATACCAAGACAATACATAACTGGGGTTAGGGGAAGTGCACAGTGGTTAAGATTTTACACAGCTGTGAAGCCTAGTAGATCTGGGTTTAGAATCCTGGTTTTGCCAGTTGCTAACCAGGTGGCCTCAGACCAGTCATGGAACCTCACTGAGATTCCACTTTCTCATTAGGCTACCTCTAACCTTTCACAGGGTGTCTTGAGGATTAGCACAGGATGCTTAAAGCAAACTGCTGAGCCCAGGGCCTCACATACAAGCACTCAAGCGTTAGTTACCATCATAATTATTTTTGTTGTCATGGTATCCAAAACAAAAAGTTTTCCAGCAGTTTGTGGAGTGCTTTTTCTCTTATTCCACTTGCTATTTTATGAACATAATATTCAAATACTCTCCCACAGATGTAAACTTGTATCATGCATCAAAAATATAAATGAATCTATTTTTAGGAAACATGCATCTTGCCATTCCTGCATTTCTTCTCAGAGTATGTTGATGAAGAGAACAGAATAACCTGAAGCCTTACTGCTCCACACAGACTTGAGCTTGGCTTCATAATGGCCTTAACCTACGATGTATTCTCACTCTAAATTCAGAATGGACCACCACCTACTGCTTCCCCAAGACCTACATGGCTAAGAAAAATGGTTCACTCAGACTGCTAAATAGACAATGTCTCAATGTGGTACTCAGTTTCGTTTGTGTACAAAGCAATGTAAAAGTAGTCATAGAAGAGAAACAGGACCACAGCTTTCTTCTAAAGACAAGGAACTGTAATTAACAGTACTCATTTCTTTATTTTAAACAAAGGTTACAAGGGGGTAAGGAAAATTTTACATGGGACCAACCATACTCATCCTATGCTTTTCTCTTTGCACTTACTTTCCCCAATTAAAGACATAAAAATAGGCTGGATGCGGTGGCTTACGCCTGTAATCCCAGCACTTTGGGAGGCCGAGGTGGGTGGATCACCTGTCAGGAGTTTGAGACCATCCTGGCCAACATGGTGAAAGCCTGTCTTTACTAAAAATACAAAAATTAGCTGGGCATGGTGGTGTGCACCTGTAGTCCCAGCTACTTGGGAGGCTGAGGCAGGAGGATTGCTTGAACACAGGAAGCGGAGGTTGCAGAGAGCCGAAATTGCACCACTGCACTCCAGCCTGGGTGATAAGCGAAACTCCATCTCAAAAAAAAAAAAAAAAAGACATAAAAATAGTACTTCAAACAGAAGGACAATATTAACTATTAAAATACTCCCATAGGGGAATATATATACATATGTACATATACACACACAAATAAATGTGGATCTGCAATAATGTTCTTATCCCCTAGTACATTAAATACTGAATATATGCTCTAAGGTAAACTTAACATTGCTGTCATATTCTAAGGCCCATAGCAATTTCCCAGTAGCATTTAAAAATCCAGGCACAGCTGGGTGCAGTGGCTTACACCTTTAATCCCAGCACTTTGGGAGGCCAAGGGGGACGGATCATTTGAGGTCAGGAGTTCGAGACCAGCCTGACCAACATGGTGAAACCCTGTCTCTACTAAAAGTACAAAACTAGCCAGGCATGGTAGTGCAAGCCTGTAATCCCAGCTACTCGGGAGGCTGAGGCAGGAGAATCGCTTGAGCCCGGGAGGCAGAGGTTGCAGTGAGCCAAGATCGTGTCATTGCACTCCAGCCTGGGCAACAAGAGCGAAACTCCATCTCAAACAAACAAACAAAAAATTACTCTCCAGGAAAAATATTAAAATTAAAAGTTGAACTTCAATAACTTTAAATACATTTTAAAGCCAATGTAATTAATCAGAAAATGATAGAAAAACTTGGAAGAAATGCCAGGTTCTGACAGAGCAGAATACAGATCTGTGACAAAATATGAAAGTGATCAAGGGAAGACCTATATGAAAAATTCCCAATTTCTAATCCTGGTTTTGACCTAATTTTTAAAAAAGTCTGATTAGTGAACAGCAAAATAAGGAGATACTAACTTTAAAAACCAATTTTACAACAGTAGAGTATATGCTTATAGTCAGCGCACCTGATATTAAAAACAAACCTCCAGAATAACATTTCCAATCAATTGGTAAACCACTGTGGCAAACTGTACACACAAGGCAAAAGGTCTGTGTTCATTTCACTACTGAAGAGTAGATGGCACCAGGGCTGCCAATCTAATACTTCACTTTTGCAGGCACCTTAACCACTCTTCTGATAACTACAAGATCATTAAGTGTACAATGCATTGTCTCACATTTAGTAGATGTCTATCCAGATGATGTCATCTCAACTTCAAGCAATCCCCACAACTGTCCCAGTCAGTGACTGATGCAGTGAGATTCTCAAACAGCTTTCCCTTCCTCACAGAGTCCAAGAGTTAAGAAGTTAAAATGGAGAAAGTAAGTTACTCTTCTCCCCTTATTTCACTCCCTTAAAACTGAATGCCTCCAAGGCTAAAAAATGGGACTGAAAGTCACCTTTGGTGACTAAAAAAAGACAAGAACAAACTGATAAACATGTATGTAACAAAGAAGGGACTAAAATAAACTGGAAATACAAAATCATATTTTCAATGCTTCTGGAAAATGAACCAGTGAGCCAAAAATATTCAAGACTTTTACATACATGCAAACACACACTTAACAACTACTTTAGTGAAAACACATTTCATTTTTCAATATTTACTAATCACTTCTCATGCTGTAAGCTTTCCATATGATAAAAATCACAATTAGCTCTAAAGCATAATTCAATTTGGTATCTGAATTAAGGTATCATTAAGTTTTTGGAAAAAGGTAGCCTTATCTATGAAATGTTAAGCTTCAGAAATAGAAGGTACATCAGCATCAACTGCACAATTAACCCAAGATGACTATGGTAATTAGAAAGAAAAGGGAGTTACACATCTGGGGATATGGAGGTAAGACAAGAATGCAGTTTGACAGAACATGGTTTGTTATTTAAGAAGAGCAAAGAGAAATGCAAATACTGTTTAGTTTTGCTAACAAAAAAAACCTGGAAGTTTCTACAAAAAGTATAATTAGAAAACACTATCATTTGCTTGGCTACTTTTGCATTTAATGGACATGAGGTAAAAATATGAGCCAATTTGGAATTAAAATGTCATAATCTCATAGTCAACTCCTGATTATCTACACTAATGAAAAAGGGGGTTATCTTAAACAATTTGAAGCAATAGATGGAGAGTTCTCAACTTACTGCTACTTTCAGCCAATCTTTTCCCTTCTTCAAATAGTCTGTCCTCTAAAGGTTTAGACTCCAGTGTTTTAGGGTCCAAAAAGGGCCATTGGGAAGAGGCCTGACCGATAGACCATCTCCAAACTGAACCATCCATCCATAGATAACTGAGTTGACGTGACTGACACATATTCCAGTCAATAAACTGCACATGGATGGACACTACATGACAAGCATGCTTCAGAGTACTTTCTGAAACTGTAAGAATGATGAATGAGACTTCCCCAGCAAGAGCAAAACATGCTAGTGCCTAGTGAAGAGAATAAGTAGCTTACCTCCTGCAGTAGATCAGCCTGCTCAATTGCTTTAAGGACATTTTTCTTGGATGTTTCCTGAACTTCCCCTCCCAAAAGAAACTCATCCAAAATAAAATAAGCCTTCTCAAAATTAAAGATGATATCTAGTTCACAGACCTGAAAAGGAAAAAAAAAAGAAAAAAGAAAAGAAAAAATTGTTAAAACTTGCAGAAGCAGAAGATGCTTATTCACTATCAGGTAGTGAATAAAATCGAACTAGAGTGAATCAATCTTAACTCTTTCTAAAAATGACTAAGTATCACTGGTTTAAGTAAGCTTAATTTCCAAATCTCAAGTACTTGAAAACATATTCCTACAAGCTAAATAAGACTGGGCTCTGCATGTTCCCAATATGGACAACTTAATAATTTCTACTAATAAATAGTCATTCCCACCCTCTCCCGCGGTTAGAATCCCCAAGACAACCAAAAAATAAACTTGTTAGAGAAAAGGTTCCAAAATATACTATGGCATTCAATTTCCTAAAATAAAATACTACTCACACTGCCGAAATACTTGTCAAGTAATTCCACATAACGATGAATTATTTCCAGGGTAATTAGTTCATTGTCCTGATCCTCAATAGCACAGCAAAAATACAGACTAGCATATCTGTAACAAAGTACAAATGTGAAAAAAACTGTTATCCTATAATGATGTTTTCTAAATATATTTTCATATCCTATTATGAAAAGCCCCAAGTTTATACAGTTTATTTCTTCTTTCACGACAGTACAGATTTTTCTCATAGACTACAAAAGTAATAAACGCATAACAGAAATTTTGAAAAGCATAGGCAAGTATAAAGAAAAAATCAAAATAATCATACCACTTAGAATAAGTGATTTTGCCCTTCTTCCTTTCAGGTTCTTTTCTATAAGCATTTTAAAACATAGCAGACCCAGGTTTTTCCTAAGTTTACTTAATTAAAACAAAATATATAGCAGATTAATTCAAACTGTAAGTACAGAGAAGAAAACAAACCTTCCAACTGAAGGAGGACTTGTTGAGGATAATGCCAAGGTGAGGTCAATATTTTGGGATATTTTATTGGAATATGTATAATATATACACAGAGAAGACCTTAAGTCCTACAAGCTCAATAAATTTTCAAAGTGAACTCAACTATATATCAGCACCCACATCAAGAAGCTGAACACTACTGAACCCTGAAACTCCTCTGCTACCCTCTCCCAGTCACAACCTCCCACCCCCAAGGGTAACTATGCTCTTGACTTCTAACAGAATAGAATTGTTTTTAAAAAGGTTTCTAGGATTGCAGAATAAACCATACGAAAAGAACAACAGCTCCACGTTATTACAGAAGTTAGAGAAAGAGAACAGAAAGTTCCTATCACTTAAGGGAAACAGAGGCCTGTTCTCAAATTTACCAAGTTCTACACTGTTGAACTGAAGTGTAGTTTATTTACCCTAGAAGAGGGAATAAGGTTGGGAAACTTATATTCTCCTTCAAATTAGGATTCTAGCATATGGAATCATGTTATGCTTGACCCAAGGAAGCAAAACTTCAACCCTGAGGCATAGCAAGTCCTTTGAGGAGGATTAAAAGGGCATTTTAAAATGGTTTACATGTACTTAAGGCTTTTGAAAAGAAAGAAAATAAAAACCTAAGATAGGCTAAACACAGAACATTTCAGTGGAGATTATAATTTTCACTGAAGATCACTTAAATGATTTTTAGAAAACACAATGGGCAGTTACTGCTCGTAGCATTAATGTAAAATAATACTGTATACAGAATAACACAACCTGTTTTGAGACTCAATGAATTCTTGCTCCTTAGTATGAAAATAACTAGTATTCACACAACAGCATTAATTTCATTATTAAAACCATTTCATCTTATTTGATGTTTTCAACAGCAAGTACTATCTTTCATCCTTGATCACAGATTAAAAAAAGACAAAAAAAAAATGAGGCTTAAGAGTACAGCGCCTACAAGTGCTAGTACTGGGATAAGAAACCTGATCTTTTGACCTTAACTCCAGGCCTTTTTCCACTGTATCATACAAACTCACTTGGCATATATATCATGAGTTTGTGCATGTCTACTCTACCTGACTTCCACACTCAGTAAGTTATTTAAAATGGTGGAGCTACTGCAGTCTTATTGAGAGGAGGTATTCACATGTGTTCATTTATCATCATTGTGAAGGGAATAAGTCATGGAAGACAAAACAGGGCATCAATGCCAACTTTAACAAAGTGCTCCCTCTCTTTCCCATCGTTACTGTTTTTGTTTGTCTATTTAAAAGAGAATAGAGTATTCCAACTCTCCATCCTCCCTAACCCATGCTCATTAAATAGAACTTTGAATTTGAGGAAACTGATAAATGACACATAAGATTCCCTGATTTAAGAAAACTAAACATTAAAGGGACTGACATAAAAATGGTAGATTAAAAACCAGATATGACTAGCTGATAGGAACAGAATGCTAAATAATTTATTATACAAAGTTTACTAACAGTTTCAAGTAAAATTCCTTTTATTTAAGATTTCCTCATGCTACTATTAAACAAGCTAATGCTCGTACCATCCTCGCTCCTTATCCACAGTACTGCCTCTTTACTTACAAATAAAAAGCACTTAAACACTAGTCAAAGGTCCTAAACTGCATGAATCACTTGGAAGCATTAATTTAAAAATCATCAGAAACAATGTGTCTAAGCCCCAGCCAGTAATGTTTACTTTCACTCGGAATGGAAAAAGAATAATCAAATTAATGAATTCTTTGGTGTAGGTGAACAGATAGCTATCAGGATAATAATGTACCTCTTTCCAGAAAGCTTAGGGCAGGAAAAAAACAGAAACATAATAATTAAGTACCATTCACTGAATCCTCGCCCTACATGAGACATTAAATGTTAGCTAAGGCTTTTGCATATTTTACCACTCTAATCCTCACAACAACCGTATCCATGAGATACCATTATTATTTGCATTGATAAGAGACCCAGGTTTGAGTAACCTGCCTAGGAACAGCAATTTGACTCTAGAGCCCAAGTTTTACATTAAAAACTATAGCCAGCAATTGCATTAACGTAATCCCATACCTGGCAAAAATTAAAATGTGCTCGAAACAATATTTTAAGAGCTTTGAAGAGAAGTAAAATATGCCATACTGATTTAGTAAAAGATTACCAAGAGAACCTGAAGTGTACTTCCTATATTTAGGACCAAATGGTTTTAAAAAAATCAATAATGAGCTCATTTTGTTCTCTTAGTGCCTATTTGTAAGTCTAAATCTGAAGTAAAATTAATAATAGACTAGTAAGAAGAAAGGTATGTTTGGTTATTTTTAGCACAGTGGATTAAGGCTTACTCTAATTACTGGCACTCAGAGAACATCTGAAAGTGCCTATTCTTATATTCAAAACACATGACTTCTCCGCAGTCAGCTAAATATCAGCTAAATATCAGCTGACTGTGGGTGAATGTAGCTGAAGTGTTCTCAATACCCACTGGTATGTCATTAAAAATTCTTTTGTTAGTAAAGAAAATCAGTAAGTATTCTTTAACAAATTATCAAGCTAGTAATTTGGAGATATATATGTTTTTAAATTAATTTTAAAAGACCTTAATCCAGTGACTCTTCCACAAAATGCTACACAAAACAGGAATCAAAAAAGCACAGTATTCTGTCTTGAAGGGATCTTCAAGAGCATTTAGAGATAAGGAAACAAAGTGACTTGTTTAAAGTCATAAAACTAGCTAACGTT
The DNA here is from genome assembly GCF_000001405.40 of Homo sapiens. Lineage (NCBI taxonomy): Eukaryota > Metazoa > Chordata > Mammalia > Primates > Hominidae > Homo > Homo sapiens. Next base: position 15,849,143 of record NC_000023.11, read on the forward strand.
ACAAAGGGAACAGAACTTAAGTCCCCAGATTTTCAGTCTGTCTTTTCAGCTAATATTATTCTTATCCATCATTCCCCTCTCAAAAGGGGGAATTTGTATGCCAAATACTCAGGATGAAGAATGTAGATGAGATAATTTAACAAAAACAACAAAAATCACTTGCTGATATGAACAGCAGAAGTCCCAGTCCAGAATTTCTCAGGCGCTAAGCAGTAATTCTCCTGCTTAAAAAGCTCTTCGCTTCCAGCAGTAGGGAAAACAAACCACCTGTTTATACCAACAAAAAATATGTCCGTAAGTGGTAGAGTAGATGAGGTTTTCAGTATGAAATGGAAGGGGGAACGTATAGAGAAAGAACTGATAAATTCCACCTTTTGTATATGACTGATATCTCAATAAAGCTGTTTTTTTTAAAGTCCACCTTTTATTTAAAGGTGCTTGATATAAGTATCAGAGTTGGATTAGATACCCTTTGTAGCTTTCAAAAGAAAAAGTAGTGGCTCAACACGGACAGACTGAGTGACATGTGCATGAACACCAAGCAGTGCTTTCCTTTCTTCCCATAACAGCCCATTCCTGGGATTGAATCCCTTGCTGGTATTTTCCTCCTCCACACGGGGGACTCCTTCCCCTATCTAGAAATAAGCTTAAGCCTCTCACACCTTCTTTTTTAAAAACCTTGTCCCCCACTCCTATGTCTATGAGTGGTTACCACCTCGTCTCCTGTCCTTCACAGCAAAGTTCCCCAAAATAGTCTACACATGCTATTTAAATTTCTCCACCTCTTCACACTTCGCCCCATTACATCGAGAGTTCTATCTCCACTATTCCACTGAAAATGTTCTGGCAAAGGGCATTATATGAAATGCTCACTGTAAAATCTACCAGATTCCTTCCTCACTTTCATTGAACTTTATGCAACATCTGGCATTGGTGAAATTTCTCATTCCACTCTGAAGGTCCCTTCTTCATCTCCTTTGCCTGCCACTTGAATGCTGGTGATCTAATACTTTGTCTTATTTTCCCCAGACTTCCATACTTACACCAACCACATCCCACCAGAAAATCAGGCTTCTCTTAATGAAAGTCACATAGACATCCCCAAATCAACTCACCCCAAAATAAGCCGAGTTATCTAGCTCACCTTGTACCCCATCAGCAAACCAGAAATGTGGAGATCACCCCACTCCTCCCTTTCCTTCGCTGCTCTCTCCGCTTTGTTGTTGTCGTTGAGGGTCTCACTCTGTCACCTAGGCTGGAGTGCAGTGGCCCAATCAGGGCTCAGTGCAGGCTTGAACTCCCAGGCACAATCAATCCTCCCACCTCAGCCTCCAGAGCAGCTAGGAATACAGGTGCATGCCACCACGCCCAGCTAATTTTTTTTTTTTTTTTTAATTGTAGAGACGGCGGGGTCTCACTAAGTTGCCAGGGCTGGACTTGAACTCCTGGGCTCAAGCGATTCTCCTGCCTCGACCTCCCATATTCTTCCCACTTCTAGAGGTGACCAAGTCTTATCAAACCTACCTATTTGATAATGGCTATTTAGTGACAGCCCTCCTTTCTAGCGCCTGGGTTCAGGATCTCACATAGTCTCCTACTGATCCTGCAGGTGCCAGTCTCAGCCCCTCCTGCCCTCATCCATTGTCTCAGTTCAATCTTTTAAGATATGTAAACCTGATCTTTTTCCAGCCCTGTTTAAAATCTTTGCCTCTAAGCTTAAGATCTGAGTTGCAGCCCCATGTCAATCACTAACTGGCATATGGCCCTAGACAAGTCACTTCTCCCAAATTTGCATTCTTTATAAAATTGAAGTTTGATCAACAACGGCAGTTTTCAAACTCAAGAACTGTCTCCTGTGCAGAGGGGTAAAGGCCAAGTGAGCCAGGATACAGGATCCTCATTCCTGATTTCACAAGGAGCAGCCTCACTTCCACTCATTTTATTTAAGGTTCTACCCATGGGGCAAAAAGCTTAAAACAAAACAAAACAAAACAAAATCACCTGACTAGATCACTGTAAAACATCTCTCACCTCTCAAATGATATGACTTTTCTATAATCTTTAATAAGACCAAACGAAACACTGGATACAAAATCACCCAAAGATACAAAATCACCAAAGATCATTCAATAATAAAGAGGAGTCCTCAGTATTTAAGAAACTTATGTCTTGTAATCTCCATTTCTTCCCAGCCATCTCCCTGACAAAATATCCAACCCATATTTGGAGTGCAATAAAGGGAAGCTGAGAAGAAAACCAGACTTCTCTCCCACCCTCATTGTATCCCATACTGTTACTTCCATGTATACTCCCCACACAAGAGAACTTTTTATATGCAGAAATGCTCTTATCTTAAATTCAGCAAATTATTCAAAAAGAAACAAATGGGGAATGAAGTAAATGTCCCCTCAAAAAATGTTCTGTAAAAGAAGAAAGTTTATTTCTTTTAACCTACTTAGAACAATCTTGAGAAATTTATTTTAGGGTATTCAGGGTTTCAGATATTTATAAAATAAAGACGTATAGCATTAAAAAAATTTTAGTGTTAAAAGCCAATCTATGAGTCATTTTGTAACATCAAATTTTTAAAAAATCTGTCCTTGGAAAAATTATCTGTCATATTTAATTGCACCCCCACCATAGCAACAAGGGTACTTAAAAGTTAATAAACACTACTTACAAACACATCTCATGTATACACAAAGTTTTTAAAACATCTATGTGATTGAAATAGTCTACATAGTCAAGGTATTTACACGTGAGTAAGATTCTAAAAATCAGATAAAAGGCATGTCAAATATTAGTCATTACTTTATAGATTTTCGGGGAAAAAGAATTAGACTCTATCTGTACTTGTCTCAATTCAGAGAATTACTCACACAATTTAAAATACTGACCCTACTTTCCCCTGCAATGAAATGAATTCATTAAACTCTTCTATAAAGATGATTAAGCATGAATAATCATTTATGCCTTTAATTATATAACTAGTTTTCAAAGGATTTCCCTGCCTTTATCATTTCAGCCTCAGTAATTATCAATCAAAACACTAGTTATTTTAAAAACACAAAGCTTTACCTTAAACCTATTTCATCTAAATCTTTATTAATCGTTATTTATAAATGTCATCACTGAAGTCTGCAATTTCCTAAATGACCTAACATTTGATTCTATTTCACCTTTCTGACAAACAAAAATTATACCTTTTGTAAACAATCTTCAGATCTCGCCACTCAAGGAAGCTGCACATTTTAGGTTTCCGTGCTAAAACGGTCTGAACAAGTTCTCTTGTGATCTTTTTCTTCTCTTTGTCTGATAGTGGGACATACCATTTTTGCAGTCGAAGCTTTCCCTGACGACTAAAAAGCAACATAAACTGCATCTGTTAAGATAAATAAAATCAAGATTACATGTAATACTTTGAATCAATAAAGTTAAGATTATGTGTTTCACAGAGAAGTTTTGGGGGATGGGGCATTTACATGACAAATGATTAGTAGCCATCAATATTTCTATGCCAATTAAAATAGCAAGAAATTCTTTTGGACAGATCTTCCTCTAGATGCAAACCTTCCAATCCCACCTTGTTCCACATTAAGTTTGAAGGGGAGTGTGCAGGAGAAAAAAGAAAAATGGGTAATAAGCTGAAGTGAAATTTTTGAAGAAAAATAAAGATCACTCTTTCAATTTAAGAAACTATTTTCTACCTGTGCTATACATTGCGCACTCTCTATATGCATCAAAAGAGAATGGTAGACATCATCTGGTTTGGGTACTTTTGAAAGAAACAGAAGACCTGCTATTTTTCATCCTGAGGCCGTTCTAGTTCCAGGGTGAATTACTTGCAGACAGTAGCTTATGTCTTGGAATGTTCTCCTCAGTTTATGATGGCATATTTTAAGCAAAACAGAATGATCCAAAATATTAACTGAAAAATCCCATAAATACAAATTTTCATTAATAAAAAAGTATGTTTTCATCTGACTTTTAAAGCATTCCAACTTAAATATGTACAAAATCTAGAACTGAGTTAATGTATTATGAAAAAGAAAACAAACGTTTAAAAGGCCACAATAAGATTTACACTTATTAAATAAGATTCAGCATTGAAACATTACATGAAATACTTCATTTAAAATAAAAAATAGTATCTACAGATGGAATGGATGCTGAATTCTAGTGTGTTTTATACTTAAACTAATTTGTATGTATTTATTTGTGATCTGCAAATGTGTTGATTAGTCTGCATGTTTCATTTTTAACGCCAAGCTTTTTGTAATCCAATTGGTCATCTCAACTGCAAACAGAAGTATTGTTTCTACAAAGGTAATTTAAAGGCAGAATTCACATAGGTATCCTTTTTTCTTTTAATCACTGTTAAGTTCCTTTAACAGCGTTACTGCAAATAAGATTCAAGCATGATTCTCAAGATTCACCACACCATCTTGAATTTGAACACGGGGAGGGGAAATTTACAGAACCAATGTAGAATAAAAATGGGCCCTAAATTTCGGTAAGAAATTATCGTCGCTTTTTGTAACCACCCAAAAAGGTATCAACAAGATATCTAGAAATGTATGACGTGGCAATTCAACTTTAGTAAAGTTAAAATGGTCTTATTACCTCACTTAAAATGCGTCAGGGGAACAAAATATAAGGACATTATTAGGTGATACCAAAGTGCCTCCCGTGCAAGTCCTGAAGATAGCGGCATTCGAAGGGGGCAGGAAGTGAAGCATCAACTGGGCATTTACTGCAAACCCGTTACCAGAACTTGGAAAAGAATGGACCTCGTATTCCTAGATCTTGGTGACCAGAAAGGGTGAGGGTTTGCCTGCGAAGAGTATGGGCTCAAGGCTGTCTGGAGCAGGGTCCTGTATCCGCCCTACCACTTTGCAGGACGAAAAAACAATGTATTCTCCTTAAAATAAATTATGTCCTAACATGGGACGAAACCCGGTTGCAAAGCACGAGTATTCCTTCCCTCGTGTTAAAAACCAACGCTTTGATTTTGCCGCAAATCACAGGGCACCACAATTCCTCGAGACTGGCATTAAAAACAATGGGCTCAGCCGCGGCGCGGGCTCGGGGCCAGCGTTCCTCGGGTCCGGCCGTCGCCGGTGCCTCCCCCCCACTCCCGTGGCCACACTCCATCACTGACCAAGCCCGGGAGAGGTGACAGGCAAGGAGCGGAGCAGACAATGGCATCCGCCGCCGCGCAGGGGGCGCCAAGAGTCCTCGGCCGCCACCGCCCCCGGCCCCTCCCGAAAGCGCCCCGCAAAACTTGAGGCGATTCCCGAACCACAGGTGCCGCGAGGCTGTCGCGGAGCCCGGGACTGGCCCCCACATCCCCGGGCGCGGCGCGGAGTGGTGCGGAGGGCGCGGACACGGAGAGAAGTGAGTTGCGGGCGCGGCGACCCAGTGGCGGGCCGGGCAGGCTCGGGGTGGGGTCGTCGGGGCGCGCGCGGGGTGGCGGGGGGCGCGCCCAGTCCTCCCTCCCCCTCTCCCCCATCCCCGGCGCCCCCTTTCGCCCCCAGGGACTTACGGCGGCCGCGGGCCGCGGGCGCGGCGGAGCTTGGCCGGCGGCGGCGGCGGCGGCGAAGGGGAAGCCCCTGTCGCCGTGCTGAGGAAGAGAAGCCGTGGTGCTGTGGGGAGGACACCCGGCTGGCATAGGGCAGGCTTAGGCGGAGAGGGGAGGGCAAGCTGACAGACCCCGCCCCGGGGGCCGGACGAGGGAGGAGCCGGGGCTGCGGCGAGCTGAGGGGCGGGCTAGGCGACGCGCGGGAAGCGGCTCAGCGGTCGCCAGCGGCACCGGAGGCAGCGCGGGTAACCGCTGAGTCCAAGGCAGCCGATTGGAGGTTTCTTCGCTGAGGGGAGGTGCGAACCGGAAGCCGGGCCACGTGACCCGGAAGCGGCGTTTGCCGGGCCCGAGCGCCCGCGCGCCCGCGCGCTCTTGCAGGTGCCTCCGGGACGCGCGCGGGCGGCTGTCCTGCTTGTTTAATGATAGGAGGACGGGATTCTGCAGCGTCCTTAGCCTAGCGGGTGGTGCGGGGCAGGGAAGTTCCGGACAGCGAAGAGCCACGTTCGAGCTCTAATGATTCTCTGTGTCCCCAGAGAGGAAGTGTGAAGTGTGACGGCTGACGAGGAGGGTGGGAGGAGACGAGGGAGTGCTGCAACTCTGGAAAAACAAGTCAGCTCTTCTGTGGAGCTCGTCACGCATTCACGGGCCTTTTGCTATCATTCTGCCTCAAAATTGTCCGGAATCCGCCCTCTCCTTCCCATTGCACTGCTCCAGCCCTAGCCCAGACACCTTCCGCCCCGAGCTTCGCGGGAGTCTGTTCCCTGGGCTCGCCTCGCCCATCCTCGGTGCTGCGGACTGGATGAGTTACCGTCCGTTCGGCTGAAAAGCCCGGACAGCACCTCACCTTCGAGATCCCGCTTCCTTCACACTGGGTCGCCCCACCAGCCGCCTGGGTTCCAGTTTAGCACTGCCGACGACTTGCTGTGCCTGGCATGTCCTTGCTCCCAAATGTCACATCTATGAAGCCTCACCCTAAAACCCTGTAAGAGCGATTCCCTCTTTCACCCACATGCCCGTTAGCCTTTATTTAGCACACCTTAAATTGTATTCATTTTGCATCTCAATCTAGTTCACAGCCTGGTATATAACAACTAATAAATGTGAGTTGACTGATAAAGACTATAAAATGATAAATTTGTTAAGAGCTGTAATGCTGAGCGTAATGCCTGGGCATAATGGATGTTCATAATTTTCTGAATGATAGAATGGATGAATCATCTAGTCATTTACAGATAAGGAAAGGGGAGTCCCACGGGATTAGGTGACCTTCCTTGAAGAGCCACGGGTTTCCCATATCGAAATGCTATTCATTACCCGAGTCACCTAGGTTCTTACAAAGGAAGCGAGAAAATTGCTTTTGTTGGGCCATGCCCCTTTTGCAGAGGTTCCTAAGTATAGTCGCCAGAATTTTTTTAATGGCCTAAAGTAAAAAAAGAAATGCTAAAATTTTCACGAAGCTAAATGTAATCAATGTAAAGGAATCCTTTATTAGGGATTATATTCTTTTTGTGTACATTATAGTATCTATGAAACTAAGACAGTAGTTTTGGGGGCTTTTAAAAAATGCTTTTGTATGACAAAACAAAAAGAAATGTGTAATACTTCCCCTTTTCAAGCACTACTGTGCTGCTTGGAAAGTTTCCTACTAACATGTATGATTAATGTATACTGGAATATTAAAGAAAGGGGACGACACACGGCACAGAGCTGGCTTTCTGTAGTTCTTTAGGTCCCCCTCGCCCCCACCAGATTTCTCCCTACCTAGTCATGCCCCAAAGGTGCTTTCGAATGTCCCATTTCTCTCTTACTACAAGAAACAGATGCCATTAACCAGTTAAAAGATAGCTCTAATGCTACACAATGAAAACTCGCCCTCTGAATCCAAATGCTGCTTTTCTCTTTTTCTGTACAAAACACTTATATCCTGAAGGTTCCTGAGATAGCCACTTCCAAGTTTAAACTCTGATTATGCTCCTAATGTTGCTCTGAAAATGAGGACGGGAGACTTGCTGATGACATACTGGCAGTCTCCTTTCCTGCTCCTAGCCAAAAAAAGGTGGGGGTAGGGGTAGGGAGGGGAAGGAATTGTGGGAAAAATAATTAGCAGCTGAAAGCAGCTATTACATAATCTTGGCTGCTTATTAATTTAGCAGAAGGAATGGCTTATTAAATTCTAATAGCAACAGCACAACTGCAAACAACCTAGCAATTAACAGTGCAGGGCCCATTATTTTGTTAATATGTTCTCTTCTTTTGGCAAGTGTATGAGAACAAAATTTATAGAAGCAGATGGTCTTTTTCAATAGATTATAGATGGTTTATTCCCTAGTCTTAGTATTAAGTGCTAATTATGCATTCACTGTGAAAGACAAAAGAAACATGGTTGCCATCTTTGTTAGTAATTAACTGCTTGACTTTGATTCCCACAATTTCCCAATTGTAGGCTTTGTTATATACATGTTTCTTCTCACCTAGTGTCTTCTTCATCCGTCATGTCAATTGGTTATCTTTTTTAATCCTGTTTTTGTTTTCTAGATGGTCCTGATTTATTGGTGTTAATATTGATACAAGAATTATATACAAAATTCGTTTCATGAAAAACTAAAAATCAGATTTTATACTTGTTTCTTAAATTTGAAAAAAATGCTTCACTGTCATTTATGCTAAATGTAAGAGGTGAGGGGAAAATAGAAATCTTTACCTTCTAACGATAAAATTTTGAGACTTTTTATGTAATCTTTCCAAAGTTTTCAAAAATAATTTTAGTTTCCTATTAAATGTGTGATGGCCATATACTTTTATCCTCTCACTGTCTCAAAATACCATTAATTTTTTTTAAAGGGACTATTTAAAACACATACCCACGTGGAAAATAAGAGAGGGAACATTTACATGAGGATGTCGATAAGGATGTCAGGATACACTGTCAGCTCATCATTTAAACACTGATGATTTAAAGAAAAATTGTCATATATTGATATTATGGAGGAGCAGAAGTGAGGGAAGGTTGAAATAATGCTAAATCCTCATGTGCTAAAGGGAAGAAAATAGATAACATCTAAAATAAATCACGAACTAGAATTATTAGCATATTCTTTCGATACCAGGAAGTAAATCCCAGAAGCAATGGTGAATTTCTTTCCATGGACAGAATCTTGCAGTAGGATGTAATAAAGGGTATTATTACATTTTACTTAGGTTTTTTCTTAAATAATTTTTTAAAATATTGTAAGGAGGTAGATAAAAACCATTCCATTAGTTGCTAGCTCTGTATTATGGACTTATACAGAGTTCCTTTAGCCAGTCTATAGATTATTTAGAAATTATTAAATAAAAATGCCCAATAATGGAATTCAGTGCTGAAGCCTTGTAGATCACAGAAAGTGTAAAAAAGATGTTTAGAGTTTGTGAATTTGCATCTCCAAAGATAAAGTTGTTCCAGGGAGAAAAATGGCCTAAAATAATGAGGATTTGTGAACCAAATCATTTCAAAATAGATAGAGCTGTCACTGCCAAAGTCCTCAACAATGAGCTAAAGAGAAATGTGGAACATATGCTCTTTCTCGAAGCCTGTTTCCATAGCTTTGAATAAAATGCAGGAAAATTACTACTGCCCTATGAACATTAGGATAGAGCAGTGATTCTCAGCCTGGGCACTTTTGCCTCCCAGGGGACACTTGTCAGTGTCTGGAGACATTTTGGTTGTCACAACTAGGAGTAGTAGGTGATGCTGCCAGCATCTAGTGGGCAGAGACCAGGGATGCTGCCCAGCATCCTGCAACATACAAGAGAGATCCCATAGCAAAGAATGATCCAGCCCCAAATGTCACTAGTGCCAAGGTTCAGGAAGAAATCCTGGGTTAGTCACTGAAAATATTAACATGCAGTAGCATATTTTTATAGACATTTCAAGAAATGGAACAAACATTATCTTCATATAAGTTTCTCTCTCTCTCTCCCTCTCTTTCTCTCTCTCTCCTCCCTCTCCCTCTCTCTCCCTCTCTTTCTTTCTCAGAGTTGGAGCCATTATTCTTAATATCTGCTAGATAAAATCCTTAACTGCTTAAAAGACTGGAGGCATACATAAAGCAGTCAGTATTCTTTAATAGCAACTAGAATAAACTATCCAAACTGATTTTCAAAAAATGACCCCAGAATATTAGTAAAAGTTACTTAAGCACTTGAATCCATGAGATGCCTATTCCATCCATACATACATTGTAAATGTTTGTTAGGTATCTACTTTATGCTGGGGCACTCTGGAAGGTAATGAAGATATAAAGACAAATAAGATATTGACTTGGTCCTAAAGCTCCATTTCTTCTGACACAGAATTTCTAGTCTTTTAGAGACAAACCCTGGATGGTCAAAGGATAGTCATCAACCAAACGTATGAACATTTTCTTTTAGGAGACCCCTAGAGATGCTTCATAGAACCTTAGATTTCTGTAACCAACACGTTTGAAAACTATGTGCTCTCATGACCTCCCAGGGCTCTTCGCAATATTTTCGTTCGATGAATTTCTATGTCACTCTTAATTCACAGCAATATAAGAGAGAGATTCTGTATGTTTTAAACAAACGATTTCAAATAATGTCTTGATTTGATCCTTGAAGTGAAATGCTTCAACAATGATCTAACTCAACTCCAAATCGCTAAACCAGTGGTTCTAGAATATTCTTTTAGAGGACTTGTGAAAATACAGGTTGCTGGGCCTCATTCCCATAGTTTCTGATTCAGGGGGTCTGAGATGAGGCCTGAGAATTGCATTACTAACAAGTTTCCAGGTGATGCTGATGCTGCTGGTCTGGGAACCACACTTTGAGAACCATTGCTCTATACCACAAAAAGCTATGATATCCAACTAGAAAGTTGTGATATAATTTTCATGGTCTAAAGGAAACTTGAGATCTGAATATTTTTTTAATCGCTGACCTCATTAAGCCCGAGAACATTAGAAGAGTAATATTCCCAGTTATATTCACCTGAAGCTAAATCTGTATGTACAACTGAGAATGACATATGGTCATTGTATGCCCTGCACAATCTAATGCACTATAATATTCTTTTTTTTTTACTTTTTTTAAAATTATACTTTAAGTTATAGTGTACATGTGCACAATGTGCAGGTTTGTTACATATGTATACATGTGCCATGTTGGTGTGCTGCACCCATTAACTCATCATTTACATTAGGTATATCTCCTAATGCTATCCCTCCCCCTCCCCCCACCCCATGACAGGCCCCGGTGTGTGATGTTCCCCTTCCTGTGTCCATGTGTTCTCATTGTTCAATTCCCACCTGTGAGTGAGAACATGCAGTGTTTGGTTTTTTGTCCTTGCAATAGTCTGCTGAGAATCATGGTTTCCAGCTTCATCCATGTCCCTACAAAGGACATGAACTCGTCCTTTTTTATGGCTGCATAGTATTCCATGGTGTATACGTGCCACATTTTCTTAATCCAGTCTATCACTGATGGACATTTGGGTTGGTTCCAAGTCTTTGCTATTGTGAATAGTGCCGCAATAAACATACGTGTGCATGTGTCTTTATAGCAGCATGATTTATAATCCTTTGGGTATATACCCAGTAATGGGATGGCTGGGTCAAATGGTATTTCTAGTTCTAGATCCTTGAGGAATTGCCACACTGTCTTCTACAATGGTTGAACTAGTTTACAGTCCCACCAACAGTGTAAAAGTGTTCCTATTTCTCCACATCCTCTCCAGCACCTGTTGTTTCCTGACTTTTTAATGATCGCCATTCTAACTGGTGTGAGATGGTATCTCATTGTGGTTTTGATTTGCATTTCTCTGATGGCCAGTGATGATGAGCATTTTTTCATGTGTCTGTTGGCTGCATAGATGTCTTCTTTTGAGAAGTGTCTGTTCATATCCTTTGCCCACTTTTTGATGGGGTTGTTTGTTTTTTTCTTGTAAATTTGTTTGAGTTCTTCCTAGATTCTGGATATTAGCCCTTTGTCAGATGAGTAAATTGCAAAAATTTTCTCCCATTCTGTAGGTTGCCTGTTCACTCTGATGGTAGTTTCTTTTGCTATGCAGAAGCTCTTTAGTTTAATTAGATCCCATTTGTCAATTTTGGCTTTTGTTGCCATTGCTTTTGGTGTTTTAGACATGAAGTCCTTGCCCATGCCTATGTCCTGAATGGTATTGCCTAGGTTTTCTTCTAAGGTTTTTATGGGTTTAGGTCTAACATTTAAGTCTTTAGTCCATCTTGAATTAATTTTTGTATAAGGTGTGAGGAAGGGATCCAGTTTCAGCTTTCTACATATGGCTAGCCAGTTTTCCCAGCTATAATATTCTAAGGCAGAAACTGAAGTGCTTAGGGAAACTCGAAGGTTGCATCATAAAAGTCAGATGCTTACTTGATGAAAATCACTACCTTAAAAATATTTCCCAACTACTCATGGCAAGTAGGAGTCACCTCTGAAATACTTTGTCAGCAATTAAAGACATGGGGTAGAAAGGAAGAAGTCCAGAGGGAACAGCTAGACAGAATCAATGTGTCCCAGGGGTAAGGCAGAGACCAGAGACCGCTAAGTAGTAATCAAAACCTGCCCGTTCTCTTCCTTAGCACACAGCTAGACCTCATTCCGCTGCTTCCTCTGTAGTTAGGTGTGCCCATGGAGCTGAGATCTGGCCAATGAAATAGGAATAAAAGTGACAGGTCTAGCCTATAAAAAGCTCCCACAGGAAAGTCTGTTTCCTTCTTCCCTCCTTCCCTCCCCAGACCTGCTTTTGCCACTTGGATGATGACACCCAGGTATCCTGCCAGCCTGAGTTCCTGAATGACTGCAAGGAAGAGACGTACACAAACCACTACCACCATCATCACTCCTATTGTACTTGAAATGAATGAGAAATAACTTTGTATTAAGCCACTGATTTTTTTTCCCAGGTTCATTTGTTACAGCTGCAAGCATTCCTGTTCATTCTTGAAAGCTTGTTGCATACTTAGTTACAAAGAGAAGGAGCCATGCATAGTGATGGGAAGAGCAAGTGAATTTTCAAGTGGATACTTGATTCTAATCCTGCTTTTTGTGCTCTTTTATATGTCTCCCTTCCATTGAAATTTGAGAAGAATTGTTAAACAGTCTGAGCACAGAATTTTAAACTACTTGTCTATCAAAGAGGGCAAAAAGAATGATTTAAGGCTCTTTTTTACATTCCTCTGACAAAGCCTAGCATTAATACTAGGCAATAGAAAAGGCAAAATTTAAAAAATCGTAAGGCTGAAAGGGCTGAGGAAGTGAAGTGGGGTGGTGGGCAAGCACATTTGGGTAAACTGTCCCTAATTGGCAAAAGTGAATACAGTATTATCATCAACCTCTTAGAATCAAAAAACCAAAGCTTGAGATTTATTTTTGACTCTATTATATCCTTGTCTTCTAAATACTATACAAAAAGCTAAGTTAAAATATTTATCCTAAAGCACTATTTAGAATACAGGAACATTTTAATTAGATAATTTGATGAAAAATTTTAGAAATACTGTACACATTTTAAATATAACACATATATAAGATAATAGAATTTTAAAGGTAATTTTATTCAAGAATTTTATTTTACAAGTGAAGAATGAAGTCCAGAGAAGTTAAGCAAATTGTTCAAGATCATACCAGTTAGTGGCAAGTGGAGAAGTAAGACTCCTATGTTCTGTCTCCAGGCAATGTTCTTGCCACCACAGGACACTGTCTATTGCCCAGAAACTACTAGCCCATTATCTTTAGGCAAAAACAAACAAATAAATAAATAAACTGAAAAACCTTACCCTTGAAATGTAAACTCTTCAATTCTACTTCCTTTTGCCTTTCTGTCCAGTATTAAAGTATTTATGTCTTTACTAGCTGACTGAAATCCTTGCAATCTCCAAAACTGGGATAATATCTTAATAACTGCTTTATGGCATAACCTAATGCAATGCTTTGCATAGAGTAAGTACTCTAAAATGTTAATTAAGTTGAATTGTGGTGCCAAAAGAAGGTTTAGGCTGAGGGCAATGGCTCACGCCTATAATCCCAGCACTTTGGGATGCCGAGGCAGGCGGATCACCTGAGGTCAGAAGTTCGAGACCAGCCTGGCCAACATGGTGAAACCCTGTCTCTACTATAAAAACACACACACAAAAAATTAGCTAGGCGTGATGCTGCATGCTTGTAATCTCAGCTACACAGGAGGCTGAGGCAGGGGAATCACTTGAACCCAGGAGTTGGAGGTTGCAGTGAGCCGAGACCGCACCACTGCACTCCAGCCTGTGCAACAAGAATGAAACTCCTTCCCCACCCCCCCCAAAAAAAAGGTTTAATTGGGCCCTGTCTCATTACTTCTTGAGTGTATCAGTTTTTCTGGAGTATTCTCCTTCTTTCCATCCCCATTAATATTGCACTAGGTCAGACTAACAAACTGGACTTTATATCTCAGCTCATTCTCTCCACCTGATTCCATTATGGTTCTTTCTGCACATGGCCACATGCTTTTCTAAAACATAAATCCAATAGAGATTAAACCTTCTGCTTAAAATGCTTCACCTTCTTTATTACTTCATTCAATTTGCACACCTGTGCCAGGTACTCACTGAGAACTGGGGGTAAAATAGAACACAACTTAGACATGGAACCTTTCACCAGGTTCTTAAGGTATAATGGGAACAAGATGGATGGCACAGTATATAATCAGCAATCCCAGTACAATGCAGTACAATGCTTCAAACTAGGAAGTTTCAAACGGTACAATGTTTCAAAGTAGGAAGGCCAGGGACCTGTGGGAACACACAGGACAGTGCCTAGCCCAGAGTTTTTGTGGTAGTGATGGGTGGTAGGGTCAGACAATGTTTCTTGGAGGACAAAGCCCTTAGGCCAAGATCGGAAAAGAATGGGGGAGACAGTCAAGAGAAGACAGGGCAAGAATGTTCCATATAGGGAGAATGACATTTGCCAAGACAAAGAGATGGGTTCATGTCTTAGGTACCTGAATGGAAGGTTAGTGTGGTCAGAGGGTTCCTGGGTAAAGATGAGTCTGCAGAGAATAGGAGGACCAGGTCATGCAGGATCTTTCAAACAAGATTAAAATATTTGGACTTTATATAAGGATATTGGAGGGCATTGAAAGATTTTAAGCAAGGGCAATGCCGTTATTGGATTTGAGTTCTAGAGTTTCAGAGAGCTCATTCTGGATGAAATGTGGTAAATCATAGGATATACTGTAGTCAGAGTTCAGTTGTAGGTAAAATAAACCGTACAAACAGAAGCAGTCTAAAAATGATTGGAATTGCTGGAGGAGCAAAATCTGGGCTGAGCTTCCAGGAAAACCTTCCAGAATAGCACTACAGAACTTGACTGCCAGAGAGCTGATGCCTCTGCTGTGATCAGTGAGCTGGAATATTAAGCCACTGTTTCCATGTAACTGCTGGCTCCAGGACTATCACTTCACTGCCACGATCTGGAAATCAGAAATCTGCTGCCAGCAAAGAGGATGCCTTTTTTCACTGCTGCTTTTCACTTGTGTAGCTAGGGACTGGACACTGGACTCCCTCTACAACTGTCACTGAAAGCCAAATGCTTTCATAACCCTGCTTGCCCCAGAAATAGCAGAAGCAGGCCGCCTGTTCATGATATATCACTTCCACCTTCCAAATCTTTCATGGGTGCACCTGATTGTTGGAATCTACATCGCAACCAGAAGCCTAGCTAAGAAATGTAGTTTTTAATTTTCCAAAAGGAACACAAGGAGGTTGGAATGGATATTGAACAAGCAGATCCAAATGTCCATTGCAGAAGTCAAGACTGGCAGCCAGGAGAGAAATTGGGAGGCTGTTGAATAATTCACATGAGAGGTGAAGGTAGCCTGAACAGGGAATAAGCAGAGTTATTCTTATTTTCTCCTTTTCTTTATTAATCAAGAAAAGGAGGTACACTAGAGAAAGTTTAGGAGGTTGGATTGATTGGTATAGGTTGTTTTGATGTGGTGGCAGGGTGAGTGAGCATACAGTCAGAGATGACACTGGGGGATGATTCCCTGGGAGAGAACCCATGAAGAAGGCAGGCTGGTGGTGAAATGATGAACTCATTTTTCAGCCTCTAAAATCAAATATCTGTGGGGCATCCAAGTAAACAGTGGGAGTTGTTGATACAGGTCTAAAGGCTCAGGAGTGAGGTTGGAGCTGAAGTTAGAGATTTGTGAGTCATCAGCATAGAGCTGGTAAATAAAGTTGAGTAGGAGGATGAGATCACTCCAGGAGAATATATAGAATAATAATAATTTTTTAAAAAAACTGTGGAAAGCAGAATTATAAGATGGTTACCATGACGTTCCCCACCTGGTGTTATTCCCACAATTAAGTTACCTGACAAAAGGGAATTTGCAGATGTAATTAAACTTGCTAATCAATTGACCTTAAGATAAAGAGATTATCCAAGCGTGCCTAACCTCATCATATGGGCCCTTTAAAAGAAGAGAATTGTATCCAGCTGGCAGAAAAAGAAGTCAGAGAGATTGGAGCATAAGAGAGGTTCAACAAGGAGCTTCTCCATTGCTTAGATGGAGGGGCCACATGGGAGGACCTCAGAGTAGTCTCTAGGAGGTGAAAATGAACCCAGTCAACAACAACTACAACAAAAACAGAGACCGCAGAACTGAATTCTGCCAACAATCTGAATGCATTTGTAAGGGGACCCTGAGCTCCAGATGAGAATGCAGAGCCAGCTGACACCTTGATTTCAGCCTTGGGAAAGCAGAGCAGAGGACCTAGCTAACCTGTGCCTGGACTCCTGACCCACAGAAACTGAGAGATAAGAAGTGGATGGTGTTTTAAATTGCTAAGTTTGTGGTAATTTGTTATCTGTTAATAGATCACTTATACAAATATTCAGGTCACAACTCAGGAATACTCACTTTTAGGGGGCAGACAGCAGAAGAGTCACAAAAGAAGATACAGGAGGAGATCCAGAAATATGTAGAGTCATGAAGCTAAAGGAAGAGATCCTGATAAGAAGGAGAAAGTTGTCAAATATGCCGAATATTGGTGAGAATTCAAGTAGGAACCAAAGGGGGTCATAGGAATTTTTTTAGCCATTTGAGTGAAGTTATGTGTAGAAATACTGATTGTAACATATGGAGGAAAAAGTGGAAAGGAAGAAGTGAAGACAGCTCTTTTAGGAGGTTTAGATTTATTTATTTATTTTGAGATGGAGTCTCGCTCTGTCACCCAGGTTGGAGTGCAGTGGCGATCTCGGCTCACTGTAGCCTCCACCTGCCAGGTTCAAGCGATTCTCCTGCCTCAGCCTCCGAGTAGCTGGGACTACAGGCGTGCGCCACCACGCCTGGCTAATTTTGTATGTTTAGTAGAGATGAGGTTTCACCATGTTGCCCAGGCTGGACTCCTGGGCTTCAGCGATCTGCCTGCCTCAGCCTCCCAAAGTGCTGGGATTATAGGCATGAGCCACCGTGCTCGGGCTGGAGGTTTACATTTAAAGAGGAGGAAAAAAATAGAGAGGTAGCTGGATAAGGGGACGTGGCCTCAAGCTAGAGGCACTGTTGTTGCCTAAGAAGGGAGAGACATGCTAATGGGAAGGAGTCAGTAGAGAGGGAAAAGCTGAAGATGGGTGGGGGAGTGAATAATACTACAAAGACACTGAGTAGTGAAGAGGTGATGCAAGCCACAGCACAGGAAGAGAAGCTTTAAATAAGCAAAGGGGATTTCTGCCATTTTGCTCAGAACAATGAATGGTAGGGGAGGAAGAAAGGATGTATGTAGGCATGTAGTTTACTTATAGCATAGCATGTCCCCCAAATGTATTCAAATGCTGACCCTTTATTCTTATGCTAGCAGTCCTGTCTCTAGGGTCTAGATGACAGCCTTGCCTGAGTAAGGGGAAATGTCAACTAAACTTGCTGTAAATGTATATACAGGTCGGGCATGGTGGCTCACTCCTGTAATCTCAGCATTTTGGGAGGCCGAGGCAAGAGGATGGCTTGAGCCTAGCCTGGGCAACATAACAAGACCCCATCTGTATTTAAAAAATACAGTAATTAGCCGTTGTTGTGGTATGCACCCGTAGTCCCAGCTACTTGGGAAGCTGAAGTGGGAGGATCACCTAAGAATCACCTGAGTTCGAGGCTGCAGTCACACCACTGTACTCCAGCAGAGTGAAACCCCATCTCAAAAAAAAATAAAAATAAAAAATATCCGCTGGGCATGAAGAGGGAGGTGGAAGTACAGATGGGTTGAGAAGTATGGAGCAGGTTTCTACTAGAAACCTTGGAGAACTGGAGAGAGGCTTCTGGAGCAATATGGAAGGATAACTGAGAGTACAGTTGAGATGAAATCTGTGACAGAGTCACTGTATAATTAGTCTCATTGATAGAGTTGAGATTTGCCAGATGACTGAGATGGAAGCATGAGAGACTGAAGTGACGAACCATGGAATTCAAGCCAGGCAAGGAAAGCAGTAAAAATGAAATTGAGGAGTTTCAGCGCAGGGAAGGAGGTTGTGGATGCTGATGGAGCAGAAAGAGAGAATGTAATGGAGTTGAGGAAGAGGAAGACTGTGCCTTCAAAGTCCAGATTATAGTTAGAGCAATTCAGTGAGACATCTGGAAGTATTGGAGGCTGTGTTCTGAGAGAGAGATGAGAATGCATTGTTTCTGTTGTAGAGAGAGTGAGGGAGTCAGGTGAGGCTTGCAACAAACAAGGGTGGAGTGGGTGGCCAAGTGGAAAGGAGGTGAAAGTCACTGGAGAAGCAAAGACCAAGGAAAGGACTCACTGGGGCATTGAGTGGTGGCTCATCCATATGGATGTCAAAGTCATTTAGGATAGTAATAGGACCTGATAGAAAAGGCAACAGTGATCCAGTTTCTAAAGATTCCAAAGAAGGAGAATATATGATGGTAACAGGAAGAGTAGAGTTTGATTTTTAAAAACAGCTTTATATTGAGGTGTAATTCACACACCACACAATTCACCCATTTATAGCATACAATTCAATGGCTTTTAGTATACGCAGTTGTGTATTCATCACCACAATTAATTTCAGAACATTTTCATCGCCGCAAAAATAAATTCCATACCCCTTAGCCATCACCCCGCAATCTCCCTATTCCCCCTAATCCCTGGCAACCACTAATCTGTTTCCCATCTATGGATTTGCCTGTTCCAGCCATTCCACACAAATGGAATCATGCAATATGTGGTCCGTTGTGCCTGGCTTCTTCCACTTCATATAAGGTTTTTAAGGTTTATCCATGTTGTTGTAGCATGTATCAGTATTTCATTTCAAAGCATGATTTTAAAGGATGGAAAGAACCTCAAAGGAGCTTAGGGGAAGATACAAGGCCAAACATTTCCCTTGGACACCAAGTCAGCTCTGGTCATTAATATTCAGTGCCGAAATTGTTTTAAGTACTCCTTTCTCTTGCGAGTATCTAAAATATGTCAATATTAAATGCTAATTCTTGCTTATTTCCTCCCTTCCCCCAACAAATATAACTGAAAGCCTTGCTTAATTACAAAAACGGAGTCAGTCATTGTTGCTTCATGTTAACTACTTGCCCAAGAAACACATTCATCTTGTGGAGGAGATAATGAGCAAGACTGGCAGTGCCCTAATAAGCTCTAAATTAAGCATACATAATGTTGAACAAAATATAAGAATCAGCAAAAAAAAAAAAAAATTCTACTTATTGATCATTAGTGTTAATGAGAACAGCAGCAAGTGGCTTTGTTCCTGTTCACTTAGAAAGTATAAAAACAAGGTAAGCAAGCAATCAGGAAGGCTAATGTGAGGATTCCATTTTCATCCTGATAATGGAATAATTTATTTCCTAGCCTATTGGCCTTGGAAGCCCACAATGGCTTCATCTTCTCTGGTCTCTGACTAATTTTCAACCACGCTGGTAACAGAAACCGTGGAAATGGGATCAGGGCCTACTAAAAGCAACAAAACTGAATGAATACATTTACCTCCAGGAAATGTCAATTACAAACTAGCATAAGGGCATGTTGTCTATATGGAGGAATTGAAGCCTTTAAATAATAATAGTGGAGTTTCTTAGTCAGTTTGAATGGCTGTAATAGAATACCACCGACTGGGTGGCTTAAATAACAAATATTTATTTCTCACAGTTTTGGAGTCTGTGGATTTCAACATCAAGGTGCTGGTAGAGTCAGTGTCTGATGACGACTCTGTTAGTGGTTTGTAGACGGCCATCTTCTCACTGTGTCTTCATAAGATGGAGAGATAAAAGGAGGACAAGCTGGCTCTCTTGAGCCTCCTCTTATAAGAGAACTTATTTCATCATGAGGGCTCCACCCTCAGGACCTAATGACATCTAAAAGCCCCCATCTCCAAATATCATCACATTGGGGATTAAGGTTTCAACATCTGAATTTGGCGGGTGGGGACATGAATATTAAGTCCGTAGCATCGAGGAAGTAATCCAAGAGACTAAATTTGCTGCTAAGAGGGCCTGAGGCTCTCTGAGGAGCTCAGATTATAAAAGATACATAAGAACCTGGGAGGAGGAAGATAGCAATCAAAGACTTCAAACCACGAGAACAGCATAGACCTGTAACGGTAATGCAAGAAAGACTAGATAGAGAGAACCGAGCCTTGCTGAAGGGCATCTGAATTTGAAGGTTCACTGCTGCAATGGAATCTGTTTTGTTTACCTATTTTCCCTCACTCCTTTTGAAAACAGTACCCACATTCTTTGGAGAAACTGTTCTCTCCCCCTACTACCATCACTCCGATTCCAACAAAGCAAACTAAAAAGATGTGAGTCTTCCAGTTTGGACAAATAATATCTGAGAATACAAAAGCAATTTGCAAAAGATGTCTGTAAAATATTTACAATCTATGGGAAATAGAAGCACTTCCTGAAGACAGGAGATGGATAAGTGTCTTGGTTTTCAAAAAGGGAAAGAAGGCTAGCCATAGTAGCTCACGTCTGGAATCCCAGCACTTTGGGAGGCCAAGGTGGGAGGTTGAATTCCTTGAGGCCAGGAGTTCAACACCAGCTTGGGCAACATAGGGAGATCCCCATCTCTACAAAAATAAAAAATTAGCTAGGCATGTTGACACACACCTGTGGCCGCAGCTACTTGGGAGGCTCAGGCAGGAGGGCCACTTGCGCCTGGGAGGTCGAGGCTGCAGTGAGCCGTGATCATGCCACTGTACTCCAGCCTGGGCAACAGAGTGAGACCCTTTCTCTTAAAAAAAAAAAAAAAAAGAAAGAAGTGAGGTGAGGAGAAGGTCAATGATACAGATGTTAACTGTGAATTTCAATGTTAATTCTCTCTTAAGAATATCAAATGGGTGGTGTCTGAACTTCCAGAGAGAAAAGAGGTGATGCTTAAAAAGCAACAACATGAATTTACTAAGAAAAAACAGCATGACAGACAGGTCTTGGTTTATTTCGTGATATGTTTATTAGACTAGTATATCAAAGGAATCCTATGGACATAGAGTTTCTGTATTTCTGCAAGACATTTTTCATTCTTTCATGGCATCCTTGTGAAAAAGGTGGGGAAACTGGATGGATGATAAGATAGCTTGGCAGCATAACCACTCCATGACGAGAATGCCGATTAATGGATCTATCTTTGTCAAATCTAGCAAATTTTGTCAAAGGTCTGTATTGAACAGGGCTGTTTTCCTAGCGTGGTCTTTTTCAACACCTCTTTAAGCAATCTAGATATGGACTGAACAGCCCTGGTTATCAGTGTATGGAGAACAAGAAGCTGGGAGGGAGTGTGAATAAATCAGATGACAGAGCAAGATCCAACCTGGCATTGGCCCAGGAATGATGTATCAGTCACCTAGTATCTTTTGAAATAAGGCAGGAGATAAATGCATAAATACATGCATAAATGGCCATGTCTATTAAAATGAAATTTAAATAGGACACGTTTTAGTGTTCTACCCTTGGAACTAAAGTTAAGGCTGTAGGGAGAACTTGCTAAATAGCAGCATGTGGATAAAAAGACAAAGATTTTAGTGCCCTGAATCCAGTAAGAGCCAAGGGCATGATGAGACTGCAAAACCAAGTGTGTGTGTAGCGGCAGGGGGACCAAAGGATTTCTGGGCTGTTTAAATAGAAATATAGGCTGGGCACAGTGGTGCACACCTGAAATCCTAGCACTTTGGGAGGCCAAGGCGGGTGGATCGCTTGAGCTCAGGAGTTTGAGACCAGCCTGGGCAACATGGTGAAACACTGTTTCTACAAAAAATACAAAAATTAGCTGGGCATGGTGGCACATGCCCGTAGTCTCAGCTGCTTGGGGAATTGAGCTGGAGGTTGAGGCTGCAGTGAGCTGTGATCATGCTACTGCACTCCAGCCTGGATGACACAGCGAGACCTGGTATCAAAGAAAAAAAAAAGAAGAAATATAGTATTCTGACTGTTCTATGCTTTGATAATCAATCTTTACTATACTTTTATTTATTATGTTCAATTCTGGGGAACGTATTTCATGAAAGACATAGACCAATTTCAACTCCCTCATAGGAGTCATATCATATAGTGCTATAAATCATGATATATGAACAACAGCCAACATGAATGAGAATAGTTAGCTCAGGAAATAAAATATTTAGGGGCAAAAAGATGACTCTCTTACAGCATTTAAAGAGATGAGATATAAGAGAGAATTCTGCTTCGTTCCAAGAGGAAAACAAAGATCAATGGATGAAAGTTACAGGGTGATAGATTTCAGATAAAATATAAATAAGTACTATGTAAAAATAGGAGTCTGGAATTGAAGTAGGTGATCTCCTAGTTGTTGGAGATGTCCAAGGAAGGGCTGGACAGTCAGAAACTTAAGGATCCTTTCAGTTTGGTGATCCCCAAAAGCCCAATTCGGACCTGCTATTGCTTTGGTGTGTGTGTGTGTGTGTGTGTGTGTGTGTGTGTGTGCGCGCACATGTGTGTGCTTCCACTCTTAACAGAAATGAAGTGTTTCATGAGTTATGTCAGAAGTCTAGGAACAGTCAGGTACGATGGGCGAGACCAATGTCTAGAATTTCCCTTGAATTGCCCCAAAGCACCTAACACACAAGCACTCAATGAAGGGGCTCTTTTCTTGAGGCTTTTCTGTGTTTCTCATGAAGATGCCTTCTTATTTTATTTATTTACTTATTTATGAGACAGGGTCTCGCTCTGTCACCGAGGCTTGGGTGCAGTGGCATGATCATGGCTCACTGCAGCCTCCACGATCCTCCTGCTTCAGCCTCCCGAGTAGCTGGGACTACAGGCGCATGCCACCATGCCCTGCTAATTTGTGTATTTTTTGTAGAGATGAGGTCTTGCCATGTTGCCCAAGCTGGTCTTGAACTACTGGGCTTGAGTGATCTGCCTGCCTCAGCCTCCCAAAGTGCTAGGATTACAGATGTGAGCCACCGTGCCTGGCCGCTTTGCTATTTTATACCTATTTTCTATTCATGATTTAACCTTGAATTGAGGCAGTTTTCTTCCTCTTAAATAAAAGTCTTTCCTTCCACTGCTTCTTTTGTGCTTGTGGGTATCTCCCAATGTAAGAGTGGAGAATCATGTCTTTTCACAACTCCTTTAGAAACTGTAACTCCTCACTGTGATTTCCATCACTGCAAATTCACAGTAAGTAAATATACTTTTCTAATTTAATTTTTCAATTGTTCTTTCTGCAACAGGGCTTTGTTTAGGAAGGTACTTGGTATTTGTCACAAAAGCCAGAAAGAGCTTTTCAGGGCACCACACAAAACAGTATGCCCTC
The DNA here is from genome assembly GCF_000001405.40 of Homo sapiens. Taxonomy (NCBI): domain Eukaryota; kingdom Metazoa; phylum Chordata; class Mammalia; order Primates; family Hominidae; genus Homo; species Homo sapiens. The sequence continues at coordinate 15,872,492 of NC_000023.11, forward strand.
CAAGTCAGGCAGACCCAGGCTTAAAATCTTGGCTTTTTCTCATACCTTAGCTTGCTTAATCTCTCAGAACCTCAGTTTCCTCATCTATTAAATTAGGTCAATATTATCTATATGTTTGAGAAAGTTATTTTGAAGATGAAATAAAGTATGCCAAGGACCCATCATGATGCTTAGTACGTAGTAGGTATGCAGTGACACAGTGGAATGTGAATATTAGTATTAACACACAGTAACTTCCCAACAATTCTCGGCTCTCCTTAAAGTAACAGAAATTTAATTTCTTTTTTTTCGAGACGGAGTTTTGCTCTGTCACTCAGGCTGGAGTGCAGTGGCACAATCTCGGCTCACTGCAACCACCACCTCCCAGGTTCAAGTGATTCTCCTGCCTCAGCCTCCCAAGTAGCTGGGATTACAGACACGTGCCACCATGCCCAGCTAATTTTGTATCAGAAATTTAATTTCTTAAGACTGTAATATTTATATTTAAAATATTTAGTGCTCGGCTGGGTGCAGTGACTCACGCCTGTAATCCCAGCACTTTGAGAGACCAAGGTGGGCAGATTATGTGAGGCCAGGAGTTTGAGACCAGCCTGGCCAACACAGTGAAACCTGTCTCTACCAAAAAATACAAGAAATTAGCCAGGCCTAGTGGTGTACTCCTGTAATCCCAGCTACTAGGGAGGCTGAGGCAGGAGAATCGCTTGAACCCGAAAGGGAGAGGTTGCAGTGAGCTGAGATCACGTCACTGCACTCCAGCCTGGGCGACAGAGTGAGAGACCTCGTCTCAAAAATAAAATAAAATATTTAGCGTCAATTTTTCATTTCTTTCTCTAACCTAACCATTTAACTACAGCTAAAATGTCTTAACTTCATATTTATTTATAGGCTTGTTTAAAAAGTTTGTCACAATGGTAACCAAGTCCAAGGGATGTGTTTGTCAGTAGCCTAGACTTTTTTCTACTACCTATCCTCAGTGTAGGTCTGAAGCTATAGATTTTTTAAAACATGTTAACCAGAAAAAAGCAATTGCAGGGTTCCTGCTTCTGTAGCCTGCCCTAACTGAGCCGAAGGCACTGACTATTTCTTTCTCATACTTTGCAGAAATTGGCTTCCTCTGTTTGATTTGAAGTCATGAATCTGGATCGCAGTGAGCGGTACACTCTGTTTAATGAATCATTAGTAGAACAGAGAAAAGAACAGACTCAATTACATGCTGGGGTGGTTAGCCAGCCTTTCCCTGAACATTGCTCTACTCCAACCTACGCTGAAACAGGGAGGCCTTTGTATGGCAACAACTCTCTCACCAGTAGTTCTGTCTGTTGAACTTAAGACCCATATTCTACATTCTTGATTGATTTTAATCTGACTTGGCAGCTTTCTTAAGTACTGTGGCCATCTGCAAGCAGAAATAATGAAGGCTTTGTACAAACGGCATAGCTGCTGAGCTCCCTGCCTTGTTTTCCCCCTTTTTGTCTTCTTGACCACATACTCCATCACCTGTGGGTATCAAATTCCAATTAGTGGCCCTTCAGGGTCAGGCTTTTTAAAATTTTTATTTTTTTGACACGGGGACTTGTTCTGTCACCCAGGCTAGAGTGCAGTAGTGATATCACGGCTCACTGCAGCCTTGATCTCCTGGGCTCAAGTGATCCCTTCACCTCAGCCTCCTGAGTAGCTGCGGCTACAAGTGTGCGCCACCATGTCCAGCTAATTTTTTTATTTTTTGTAGAGACAGGGTCTACCTATGTTGTCCAGGCTGGCCTTGAACTCCTGGACTCAAGGATCCTCTAGCCTCAGCCTCCTGAAGTGCTGGGATTACAGGGGTGAGCCACTGTGCTCAGCTGAGGGTCAGGCTCTTGGGGCTTGCTCAGAGCATGATAAGTCAGAGAGGTAAGGGGAAAGAGAGTGGGGGATAGATAAACAGATAAACAAATAATCAAGTGATGATAAGTGCCACCCTTCTGTGCTGTGCATCTGGGTCTCCGGCCTCAGAATATTGAAGTTCCCTGAACAAGCTATGTTTTCTTACACCTCAGTGACTGTGAATGCCTGTGGAGCCCTTCCTTGGCCTTCAGAAACATCTCAGTCCTTTTCAACCCTTCAGTGAGGCCTCCTTGATATTCCCCACATCATAGCCCCTCCTATGACAAATGGTTGTCCATCCACTCCTACTAATCTGGAGGCTCTTTACAAACAGGGACCATGTATTTTTATTCTCTGCATCTCAGAAACCTAATGCAGTTCCTGGAAAATAAAGATTGCTCAATAATTCTTAGCTGATTGACTGCATGGGTAAGGGGAAAGTTGAAGCCCAACCTTGATTTATCGCATAAATAATTACTGAGCACCTGTGACATGGCAGGGGTGCCAGACAAACCAACAATAAACCCATAAATGTGTCAGGTAGTGAAAAGTGCCAAGAGGTAAGATGAAGGGAGTAACCGCAGAAGTCACACAATAAGTAGATAAATAAATAGGTCAGGAGGTGATAAATAAATCTCAAGCGAGAGAGATGCCAGAGAGGGGCTGTGGGGGTTGCTATTTTGAATAGAGTGGTCAGGGAAGGCCTCTCTGGCAAAGTGATATTTTAGCACAGATCTGAAGAAAGTGAGGAAATGAACCAGGTAAAATGTGGGGGATAAGGTTTCCGGGCAGAGTGAACAGAGTGCTTAGCAGGAGGAAGCATGGCATATTTGATGTAAGGAATCGGAAGGAAACTAGTATGGCTAGAGTAGAGCAAGCAAAGAGGAGGGTGGTGGGAAGTGAGATCAGAAACAAAGAAGAAAGGCTGGGTGTGGCAGGCTGAGGCAGGAGGGTTATTTGAGCCCAGGAGTTCAAGACCAGCTTGGGCAACATAGTAAGACATCATCTCTACAAAAAATAAAAATAAAAAAGAAACAAAGGAGAAAAAAACACAGATGAAAGATGCAGCACCTGTTGGCTGTTAGTATGGGTTTGGGCCCCAGTGAATATGATAAACAATCAGAGAAAACTTACAAATGAGACCCTTAATGCCTATAGTTGGAAAGTAGGAGAAACACCAGAGAAATGGAGGAGATGAGTCGTGATTCTGAAAAAGGAGACAATATCAGACATAACAGTCTAGCATACTTGATGTTATTCCCAGGTAATGGATTACAATATTCAAAGAATGATTTGCAAGCACCCACACAGGAAAGTAGTGAGCTGTGGAAGGAGGACAGAGGGGTCTCAAAGAACATCATGTCTGATCATCAGATTTGCTTTTACTTCTACCTTCACTGATGATGTTAGGCTTGTTGATCAAAGTAATGTGGTACAAACAGTGTGCAGTTTTCTCCAACGCATTTGGCAAGGACTTGGTATCCTTGTGGACAGGATGGACAGGCATGCTCTGCATGATCCCTGTTAGATGGCTTTGTTCTTTTTTCCCATTCTTATTTTTTATTGTGGTAAAATATGCATAACATTAAATTAACCATTTAAATTTTTTTTAAGATATACAGTGCAGTGGCATTAAGTACATTCACATCATTGTACAACCATCACCACTATCTAGTTCCAGAATTTTTCATCACCCCAAAAGGAAACTCTATACCTATTAATAGTACCTCCCCATTCCCCGCTTTCTCCAGCCCCTGGAAACCACCCATCTGCTTTCTTTCTCTATGAATTTGCTTATTCTGGACAAATATAAATTCTCTTTATATTCTTTTTATATAAATAGAATCATACATTATCTGACCTTTTTTGTCTGGCTTCTTCCACTGAGCAAATTATTTTCAAAATTCATCCATGATGTAGCCTATAGCAGTACTTTCTTCTTTTTTATGGATGAATAATTTTCCATTTTATGGATAGACCATATTTTGTTATCCATTCACTTGTTGATGGACATTTAGGTTGTTTCCACCTTTTGGCTGTTGTGAATGAATAGTACTGCTATGAACATCTGTATACACATTTTTATTTGAACATCTGTTTTTATATATTTTGGGTATATACCTAGGAGTGGAATTGCTGGGTCATATGGTAATTCTATGTTTAGCCTTTTGAAGAAATGACAAACTGTTTTCCAAAGCAGTGACACCATTTTACATTCCCACTAGCAGTGTATGAGGGCTCCAATTTCTCTGCATCTTCAACAACACTTGTTATTTTCTGTTTTTTGTTTTTTCGGGTTTTTTTTTTTTATAGCTATCCTAGTTGATGTGAAATGGTATCTCATAATGGATTTGATTTGCCTTTCCCTAATAACTGATGATGTTGAACATCTTTTTATATGCTTGTTGGTCATTTCTTTATCTTCTTTGGAGAAATATCTGTTCAAGTTTTTTTGTAAATTTTTAATTGGGTTGTTGGTCTTTTTGTTTTTAGATTGTAAGAGTTATTTTTATATTTTTGATATTAGAACTTTATCAGATATACAATTTGAAAATATTTTTCCCATTCTGTAGGTTTTTTCACTTTCTTCATAATGTCCTTTAATTCACAAAAGTTTTTAATTTTGATGAAGTCCAGTATATCTATTTTTTTTCTTATATTGCTTATGCTTTTGGTGTCATGTCTAAGAATCCACTGCCAAATCCAGAGTTATGAAGATTTACCCCTAGGTATTTTTTCTAAGAGTTTTATAGTTTTAGCATTCTTACTAAGCTGCTACTGTACATATTCATGGAGAAGTTGGAAGGGGCAGGGAGCACTCTATCTATCATGTAACACTGGGAATTGTGAAGGCCTTGGGCAGTCAGTCAGAGGAAGAAGGGCCTCTTGGTTAGAGGAACATCTTGCTGTCGGAAGCCTGCCAGGAGAGTTGGCTTCCCAGCATCCATTCGGCCTGAAGAGCTGGCAGACCTTCTTCCAGGGGCATTAAGCACAAGCTTCCTTTCAGGGGCAGAAGTTAACTGGACCTTAAGTGGGGTTTCTACAGTGAAATCAGAGATTAGAAAAGACACTGTATGAATAGGTAGGCTACAAAAAGTAACGCAGAACCAACTGTGCAGCTCTGCAGAGCTCCCTTGATGCATGTATGAGTAAGGAGTCCTGAAACAAAATCCCAAGAGGCGATCAGGAGCCACTTGGCTGCTTTCCCAGGAGCCTTGTAGGAACTGCTTGACTTGGTCTGGGGTGATGACCAGACAGAACACGAGGTGTTAGCCTCTGCACACACTCTTCCCTTGGCTATGTCTATGTGGTTTTCCTACACATTCTAACTCTTTGTCCTCCTTTCACTTAAAAAAAATTTTTTTTTAGAGACAGGATCTCACTCTTGCTCTGTCACCCAGGCTGAAGCGCAGTGGTATGACCACAGCTCACTGCAGCCTCAAAGTCCTGGACTCAAGCAATCATCCTGCCTCAGCCTCCCAAGTAGCTGGGACTACAGGCATGCCACCATGCCTGGTTAACTTTAAAAAGAAAAGTTTTTAAAAGAAATGAGGTCTCCCTATGTTGCTCATGCTAGTCTTGAACTCCTGGGCTCAAGTGATTCTCCAGCCTCAGCCTCCCAAGTAGCTGGAACTGCAGGCATGCAACACCATGCCTGGCCCTCTTTCTTCTATTTTAAAGAACCCTTGTGATGACATCAGGCTCACCCAGTAATTGGGGACAATCTCCCTGTCTTCAAGTCAGCTGATTAGCAGCTTTAACTCCTCTTTGCTGTGTAAGGTAACTGTATTAGTCAATTTTCATGCTGTTAATAAAGACATAACCACGACTGGGTAATTTACAAAGGAAAGAGGTTTAATTGACTCACAGTTCAGCATGGCTGGTGAGGCCTCAGGAAACTTACAATCATGGCAGAAGAGGAAGCAAACACATCCTTCTTTACATGGTGATATGGTTTGGCTGTGTCCCCAACCAAATCTCATCTTGAATTGTAGCTCCCATAATTCCCATGTGTTGTGGGAGGGACCCAGTGGGAGATAAATGAATCATGAGGCAGTTTTCCCCATACTGTTCTTGTGGTAGTGAATGAGTCTCATGACATCTGATGATTTTATAAGGGGAAACCCCTTTCACTTGGTTCTCATTCTCTCTCTTGTCTGCTGTCATCTAAGATGTGCCTTTCGCCTTCCACCATGATTGTGAGGCCTCCCCAGCCACATGGAACTGTGCGTCCTTTAAACCTCTTTTCTTAATAAATTACCCAATCTCAGGTATGTCTTTATCAGCAGCATGAAAATGGACTAATAGACGTGGTGGCAGCAAGGAGAAGTGCAGAGCAAAGGTGGGGTAGCCCCTTATAAAACCATCAGATCTTGTAAGAACTCACTCACTGCCATGAGAATAGCAGCATGGGGGTAACTGCCCACAAGATTCAATTACCTCTCACCAGGTCCCTCCCATGACACGTGGGCATTATGGGAACTACAATTCAAGATGAGATTTGGGTGGGGACATAGCCAAACCATATCATTCTGCCCTTGGCCCCTCCCAAATCTCATGTACTCACATTTCAAAACACAATCATGCCTTTCCACAATCCTCCAAAGTCTTAACTCATTCCAGTATTAACCCAAAAGTCCAAGTTCAAAGTCTCATCTGAGACAAGGCAAGTCCATTCTGCCTATGATCCTGTAAAATCAAAACAAGTTAGTTATTTCCTCAATACAATGGGGGTACAGGCATTGGGTAAATAACTCGTTCCAAATGGGAGAAATTGGCCAACATAAAGGGGTACAGGCCCCATGCAAGTCTGAAATCCAGCAGGGGAATCAAATCTTGAAGCTTTGAAATGATCTCCTTTGACTCCATGTCTCACATCCAGGTCATGCTGATGCAAGAGGTGGGTTCCCATGGTCTTGGGCACCTCCACCCTTCTGGCTTTGCAGGGTACAGTCTCCCTCCTGGCTTCTTTCACAGGCTGGCCTTGAGTGTCTGTGGCTTTTCCAGGCGCACAATGCAAGCTGTTGGTGGATCTACCATTCTGAGGTCTGGAGGATGGTGGCCCTCTTTTCACAGCTCCACTAGGCAATGTTCCAGTGGGGACTCTGTGTGGGGTCTCTCACCCTACATTTCCCTTTTGCACTGGCCTAACAGAGGTTCTCCATGAAGGCCCTGCCCTTGCAGAAAACTTCTGCCTGGACATCCAGGCATTTCCATACATCCTCTGAAATCTAGGTGGAAGTTCCCAAACCTCAATTCTTGACTTCCATGCACCCACAGGCCCAATACCACATGGAAGCTGCCAAGGCTCGGGGCTTGCACCCTCTGAAGCCATGGCCCAAGCTGTACCGTGGCCCTTTTTAGCCACAGCTGCAGAGGCTGGGACACAGAGCACCAAGTCCATAGGCTGCACACAGCAAGAAGGTCCTGGACCTGGCCCAGGAAACCAATTTTCCCTCCTAGGTCTCCAGGGCTGTCATGGGAGGGGCTGCTGTGAAGGTCTCTGACCTTGAAATGTTTTCAATTTTTCCTAATTGTCTTGGTGATTAACATTTGGCTCCTCATTCCTTATGCAAATTTATGCAGTCAGCTTGAATTTCTCATCAGAAAACAGATTTTTCTTTTCCATCACATCTTCAAGCTGCAGATTTTCTGAACTTTTATGCTCTGCTTCCCTTTTAAACATAAGTTTCAATTCCAAACCATATCTTGGTAAATGAATAAAACTGAATGCTTTTAAGAGCACCCAAGTCATATCTTAAACACTTTGCTGCTTCAAAATTTTTTCCACCAGATACCCTAAATCATCTCTCTTAAGGTTCCACAGATCTCTAGGGCAGGGGCAAAATGCTGCCAGTCTCTTTGTTAAAGCATAGCAAGAATCACCTTTGGTCCACTTCCCAATAAGTTCATCATCTCCATGTGAGACCACCTTGCCCTGGACCTTATTGTTCATATCACTGTCAGCATTTTGGTCAAAACCATTCAACAAGTCTCTAGGAACTTCCAAACTTTCCCATATTTTCCTATCTTCTTCTGAGCCTTCCAAACTGTTCCAACTTCTGCCGGTTACCCAGTTCCAAAGTCACTTCCACATTTTCAGGTATCTTTATAGCAGCACCCCAATACCCAGTACCAATTTACTGTATTAGTCTGTTCTCATGCTGCTAATAAAGACATACCCAAGACTGGGTTCTGTTCTCATGCTGCTAATAAAGACATACCCAAGGCTGGGTAATTTATAAAGGAAAGAGGTTTAATTGACTCACAGTTTGCAGGGCTAGGGAGGCCTCAGGAAACTTACGAATGTGGCGGAAGGGAAAGCAATCATGTCCTTCTTCACATGGCAGCAGCAAGAAGCAGAACGAAGTTGGGGGAGGGGGAAGCCCCTTATAAAACCATCAGCTCTTTCGAGAACTCACTCACTATCATGAGAACAGCAGCATGGGGGTAAGTGCCCCCAAGATTCAATTACCTCCCTCTGGGTACCTCCATGACATGTGGGGATTATGGGAACTACAATTCAAGATGAAATTTAGGTGGGGACACAGCCACATCATATCAGTAACATATTCACAGGTTCTAGGGATTAGGACAGACATAGGCATCTTTGGTGGGGGGCATTAATCTGCTTACCACATCTTTGTCATCTTTAGGACTTGAAAGGCTCTCCAAACTTCTGAGGAGTTGCTCAGCATTCTTACCTGGAAAGGAATGAAATTATGGACATCTTTATTGTCTGACATTTTTCTTTCATTGCAAATAGCTTGCTCCAGGGCTTCTGCAGTCTTTGGGCATAAGCCTTGTGACCACCTAGTCACTGGTCATTCCAACTCAGCCAGGTGACTTGTCAACAACAACCCCAGGGAAGACATATCCCACCCCCAAGTGAACCCTTCTGTCTTTGGAAAACACAGAAACACCTATAGCATTAGGTCAAGTGGTATTTGCCCCACATTGAGTGCCAGCTATTACATCCTGGGGCAAGGACAAATACTATACACAGCACATAATGCAGGGGTAAAGCAGATTGGCTGAGGAAGCTTAGAGGTATAGTGTCAATGAAATATATGGCAGACAATGTCATACATACTTGTGCCACCCCTCCCCCTACCTAAACTCTTCTCTTTCTATACATAAGTGTTTTGAGGCTGGGTATGGTTGGAAGCACCAAGGCTTGGCTCCAGGAGAAGGACTCTGCACCCCAGTACTGATACAGAAGTTGGGAGAGGGTAAAGGACACCTGACTGGGAATGTGTCATTAGGTATTAGAAGGACATGGGTTAATGGGTAATGGAATGGCCTTGCCTAGGTGAGGATCATCCTAATGCTGTATGTGAGCCATCTGAAATTTGCATATAGCAACCACGACTCTTGGCTGAAAATCTTGCAGTCATTTCTAGGAGACAGCCTGTTGCTAGGCTCCCTGAGGAGAGGCACAGGGTGGTCCAGCAGACCGCCCATTTTTTTTGAGATGGCAAACTGATCAAATTTTCAGATGACACTAGAATGAAAGGAATACCAATTTGAGAATCAGGATTTGAAAGATTGCAGCAAGCCAGAAAGATGAATAAAACCTAACCAGATGACATTTATTTGTGATTTCTTTCTTTTTTCTTTTCTCTTTTCTTTTGCAAGTGTGTCTGAATACCTCAACAGCATTAAGTTCAGAGTATGTAAGATGGGTCACCTGTGGAAAAAACTCTGAGGTTTTCTAGGCCAGTTGAAATACTAATATACGCATGAATTGGAGATTAATTTTAAGGATTTGGTTCTTCCTTCAAAGAGTAACAAAGAACTAGAAAAAATAAGCATCTGCTTAAGAAAAATCAACATGAAAATTGCTACTAATGCTCTTAACAAGAGCTCAGAGGCTACCCCACTAGTAATAAAGCACGGAATGCAATAAAAGTGCTTGGATTTATTTCCAACATCCTTAACAGATGAATGCTAAAATTTGAGCAATATGTCTTCTTCTAAATCAGCAAACTCAAAAGCCACTGGTTACCAAACATTTTGCTTGATGTACTGATATCTCTCCTCCACTCGTAGGAGCAGATTTTGCTAAGAACTCTACCTGCCAACCTGTCCCCCGACCCCCATGCCGTATGTAATTCAATTAATGATTGTAAGAAAGAGTTCGGGGTGAATCCATAGAGTCAAGTGAAAGCAACTTTATTAAGAAAGTAAAGGAATAAAAGAATGGCTACTCCATAGTCAGAGCAGCAGTATGGGCTGCTCTACTGAGTATACTTACAATTATTTCTTGATTATATGCTAAACAAGGGGTGAATTATTCATGAGTTTTCCAGGAAAGGGGTGGAGATTTCCCAGAACTGAGGGTCCTGTGGAGTCCTAATTAAGGAGAGGGAGTTGGGCTGGCAGGACCAAGGGAAAGCAAAAAGAGAAAGCAGATAAGCTATAAGTCTGCATTTCTTCATGGTCCCAGACATGTAGCCCTCCTGTGCCCAACTTGTCACCAGACACCTGCAAGTTAGCTCACTGCAACCTTGGTGTTATCAGTAGTGCACAAAGCCCTCTTCAGTACACAGCACAGTACCATTCTGTAAAATCCCCAGCAAGCCTTAGTCTCTTTGTAGTCAGCTCCTCTCTTGCTGTCTTCCTGTTGCCACCTTGCAACGTATTTTCCTACTTTCTTTAACAAATCTGCCTTTCTTTACGTACAACTGTCTTGGTAAATTCTTCTTACCCCAGCACCACCAGCTCCAGGTAGTTGCTGCTCACTTGCAACAGATACCTCCCCTTTTTAGACCATAGAGGGTAATTTTGAATGTTGCCATGGCATTTGTAAACTGTCATGGTACCCGTGGGAGTGTCTTTTAGCATGCTAACGTATTACTATTGGCATACAATGAACAGTGAGGATGACTAGAGGTCACTTTCATCACCATTTTAGTTTTTGTGGGTTTTGGCCAGCTTCTTTACCACATCCTGTTTTATCAGCGGGGTCTTTATGACCTGTGTCTTGTGATACCAGTCCTGCCCACTTCCTACTTCATCCTGTGACTAAGAAGGTCTGACCTCCAGAGAATGCAGCCCAGTAGGTCACAGCCTTATTTTACCCAGCCCCTATTCAAGATGGAGTTGCTCTGGTTTGATTGCCTCTGACAGTATCATGAGTATTTTGAATTAAAGGTCCTTAAAGGTCAACAGACACTGGAAGACTTTCCCCTAAAACCAGACAGACTCTCCAAGGAGAACAATTGTTTTTTCTTCCCCTACCTGTTATCTCATTATCTATTGCAAAAAATAAGACTGAAGATTTAACTACACCTGAACTAACCCTTTCGCAAGATATCCGAAGAGAATCATTTACAAGTTAATCTCCGATCCCCATCCATTCATTCTTCCTAGTAATCATTTATTGCCCCTCAACAGAATTACCTATACTCCCCATCTCCCTCCTCCCCTCTGAAAAAAAAAAAAAAAACACAACTAAATAAGTATCAGGGCCCAATGGGGATATTTGGTGTAATCACTCTGTGATTCTCCCCTGTACCTGTTAATGCATTTGTATGCCTTCTCTCCTATTAAATAAATTTGTATGCCTTCTCTGCCTTTTGTGAGTAGATTTTTCAGTGAACCTTCAGAGGGCAAAGGGGAAGTTTTCCCTTTGCCCCTATAACTGTTCCAACCAAGTCAGAAACTACATTATTTTAGAGTCACAAATTTTTTAAAACTTCAAAATCTATCAAAATGCTAATATAATATTTTTCATCTTCAATATCATGAGAGCACCAAAGAACAAGCCAATTTCTTTTTAAAATATTTATGAAAAAGTAAATTATAGAATTCTATTCAATTTTTAACTATGTATAATATTTATGAGTCCACAAATTGCAAATGAAAAATATGAAAAAGGTAATAAAAGTGATTTGTTTCCAACAGGGAAACATGCATTCGAAAATTTGAATCTGCTCTTGCAAAGTCTTATTCATCACATTTCCCCTGGGTGCCTAAATTGTTAGCATCATATTGATAGATTTTCAGTTAAAGAATGCCTCCTAAGGATTGAATTTTCACAACTGAGTTTAATTTTGACAGTTTTAGCTGATATCCAAGAATCTAATTCTTAGCCAGACACAGAAAAAAATCTGCTTAAAATGACCCAGGAATATTTGTACAACCTGTCCAGTTCCAATATCCACCATTTATATCATTTGCATGACTTCAACTTAAATCTTTTGGCTTGTACTGTTCCTTCAACATGCAAACAGCAGGAGGAGAAAGGGAGCTGATAAATAATACATCCAAACATATTATAATTTCCAAGTGTTGAAAGGAAATTCATCTAAACGTTACAGCAGGTATAATTTAAAAGTAATATTTTGTGTTTGAAAACACAAACAAGTATTCTGTGTAATGTGGTAGTGTTTGAATGTAAGTTCTGAATATTTAAAACTTTTCAAAAACACAAATTCATATTTCAAAAACCTATTTCTATCCTAGCAAAGAGGAAAACAGGGTTCTTTCTAAAATCCAGGGTAAAATTATTTAAGTGCTATATCTGGAGAATATGACATTTTCATGAGCGACACACATAACATTTAAGTCAGTATGAGGCTATTGGATGATTCTAAAATAAGTAAGCTGAGTCTCAGACAGTACTCAGGTAGGAAACACCAAAGTTGCCTTCTCAATTAATCTCAGTCCTATTCATTTCAAACCTGTTTTTTCTCTTCAAGTTTCTTGCAGACTAGAATGTTGGTATTTTGTTTTGTTTTAATTTTTGTAGGGACAGAGTCTCCCTATGTTGCTCAGGCTGGTCTTGAACTCCTGGCTTCAAGTGATCCTCCCACCTTAGCCTCTGGAGTAGCTGAGATTACACCTTGCCAGGCCAGAATGTTGGTGTTTGATAAGTTACCAAAAGTAAGCATAGATGAGGGCAATACTCCTAATAAAAATAGATTTTTGGAGTGCTGAATAACAAATAATCACCTCTTTTAGTTATAAACCTGCCTCGAAAAAGATATGAATGTATTTGAAGTTTTGTCCCAAATATATATATATAATTACATGTAAATTTATTTATAGATACATTTACATTCTACCCTTTTGCAATCTATTTTTAAGCCTGCAGTAGTAATTCGTATCATGACCTGGAACACTACTACAGTTTTAACTAACATGAACATCCCCATAGCATTATTATTATCAGGAATGAAAAAATGGCAGATTATAGACCAAGCCCAACTCACTAATCTCCCCATCCCTACACAGGATGTCCTGGTATAAGTGGACTGATGGCTAAAACAGGAATTGTTAGTGTTTTCTAGAAATGAGGAATATATTGAGAACATCAAATATGCATTCACTGGCAAATCCATCCTCTTTTTGAGGGGGGAGTCCACTGATTTCCAGTGTCTTTTATTCTACATACTTGCTTTCTTCTCTCTCTCTGTTTTTTTAAAGAGATGGGGTCTTGCTATGTTGCGCAGGCTGAAGTGCAGTGGCTATTCACAGGCACAACCATAGTGCACTACAGCTTCGAACTCCTGGGCTCAAGCTGAGAGTACAGGCATGGGCCACTGTCCTTGACTCTGCTTCCTTCTCCTCAAATTTCTTCAAGTGGCCCCAAATTACCACCTCTTCAGTTTGCAGGCCCTTCTGTTAAGTGAGTCTAGAAGGGGTGGCCACAAGGAATGTTTCAGATGTTGCTTCTGTATCTGGCCTGTCTCCTCCCTCAGTCATGAATTAGGATCAGCACTATTTCCTGTTTTTCCCTCAGAAGCAATTTGTCCCTTTTCACTGTCACACCCTACCAGGAAACATCCAGCTTTGCACCCCACTTCGTCAGAGAAATGAAATTGTGTGGTTTAATTAAGGCCAGGGCCAATGGATTAAGAGAAAAAAATTCTGGAAGATCAAGGCTCATTATGCAGCCTTGATATACACACACACATATATATACACACACATATATATAATTATGTAGCTCATTATATATAGTTATATATACACACACATATATATACACACATATATATAATTATGTAGCTCATTATATATAGTTATAGTGCAGACATTTTATTTTCTTGAAAAGTAAATATAAAAGTAAAAAAATCTATATATTATTATATATGTTTATTATATATATTTATAGCTTTTCTCTTCTTTTCCTTTTTTTAAAAATTTTTATTTATTTATTTATTTATTTTTTTGAGACGGAGTCTCGCTCTGTCGCCCAGGCTGGAGTGCATTGGCACGATCTCAGCTCACTGCAACCTCTGCCTCCCAGGTTCAAGCGATTCTCCTGCCTCAGCCTCCTGAGTAGCTGGGGCTATAGGCACGTGCCACTACTGCCTGTCTAATTTTTGTATTTTTAGTAGAGACAAGGTTTCACCATGTTGGCCAGGCTGGTCTGGAACTCCTGACCTCAGGTGATCCACCCGCCTCAGCCTCCCAAAGTGCTGGGATTATAGGTGTGAGCCACTGCACCCGTCCAGCTTTTATTTTCCTGAAAGGTAAATACAAAAGTATAAGTACAATTAAATTAAATATAAAACTAAAAGAACCCTAACTACATGGTTAATATAGTACCCTCCTATGTAAACGTAAAACTTCTAATCTTATTTTTAAAGAGGTGCTTTTAAATTCCTTAAAATATGAGTAATAGAAATCCAACCAGCAGTAAAAGGTTTCAAACCGTAGAGAAAAAAGATTGCAATTGTACTAAGAAGGAGACCTACTTCCTGTGAAGGAACGTGCAAGGTGGCCAGCCCTGACTCTCAGATGGGACAATAATAGCTTCAATCAAATTCTTCTACTGCAGGATTATCCATTTCGTTAGGGATTTGGATTCCGAGAGAACCGTGCATTTTTGCTCATTCTTATTCTCAAAATAATAATATCCTTTCCTTGAGCCAGTCAATTTTATTTAAAGTTCCCTATAGCTAAGACTGCTATAAGCTATAATATCTAGCAGAGTCTTTTGTATGTTGCAAAGAAATGTCAAAGTATATTACTTTTTATGGTGCAACTCCCATAATCTCCCCCTTTCTATCTCACTTTTATTTAAATTGTAGCAGGACAGAAAAAAAATGTTGAATTTCTCTATTACCCCTAGCCTATGACCCATGTCAAATTATTTTTATCTCAGTGAAAAATGTTTCCACAACACATATTTTTAATATATAATTTTACATAATGAAGTACGAATGACTATTCACGGTAAAACTTGAAAAAAAAAAGCATTGATGTTGCATTAATTGCTTAAGCATCCTCCGTATAAACAATAGAATTATTTCTAATATTTGCTTGAATACACCATTTTTCTTGTGAAGAACCCACTAATGGAGTCAGCCAAGTACATGCATACAGGGAAAAATTAATCTATGCCTGTCTTTATTATGATAATGGTATGCTTTTCTCTCAAGAAATTAAAGCCCATTGCATCCATCCTGAAACCCCCTTGTAATGGTGTTAGAAGATGTTATCCTTCATTAGTTATCAAAATGATAGTGTTTGTGAAAGTAAGCGATAAAGTACTATTCATATTTAAATTGGTGTCTTTGTTAGCTTAATGCTTATTTATATCTGAAGTCAAAATGAGACACCTGGAGGTTGTCCTAGTTTGGTTCCCCTCAGTATCCTTAGATACTGAGACTAGGATTTGGATACAGGGAGTAACCAGGGGAGGTGATCTCAGGCAGCCTAGTGAGGGACTGGGGAGCATTACACAGGCGAGGGAAGAAGTCACCAAAAAAGGGTGAATTACTGAGTAACTGTAACTGTAGAGAAAGGCAGCTCAGGAGAACCAGCCTGCTAATTGTCTCACTGAGGACAACGAAGCTGAGGTATTTAGCCACTGACTTCGGTCCTTCATTTGGTTAAGGGCTGCCCCTGGCGTTGATAAATCCCTGGCACTTCCTGGACACCCAGAGCACAGGCTAAGCCAGCTCTGAAGGTGCTAGAGAAAGCTGTTGGGCAGAGATGCAGAGAGACAAGGTCGGCTGCTTGAGGTGAGGAGCATCTGCAGGGCTCCCACGGTAGCTGCAAGTGGAATCCAGGGTCAAGGGCATGTAGGGCAGGGCATTTGTGGTGGGTGCTAAGAAGTCAGCCACCATGTACAGCTCAGAAGCAAAGCCAAGAGCAGACTTCTGGGATCTGATTTGTGCAGTCTATCTCGGGCCCAGGTCTAACATAAGCAGTTTGCACGAGTGCAAACTGTTTGCCCAGGATGCTGGGTGAAATTACCTTGAGTTCCTCTAATACTGTGTGTTGGTGCCACAATTTGCTATTTTTAGATGTCAGGATTGAAGTGCTGTTCAGCCTCTGCTATGTTTTATGAAATTTATTGATACGGCTTGAGAGGCAGCACATCCTAGTATGATTTGTTCTAACCTTGGGTTTTCATTAGAATCATCCAAAAGTCTTTGAAGGAAAATTCTAATGCCTGGGTCACATTCATTTAAAGTAGGATCTCTAGGAGTGGGGCCAAAGTCTTGGTTGTGTGTGTTTTAACCCTTCAGATGGTTCTTATGTGCAGCCATTACTGAAATGGCTGCACATAAGAATGAAGATAACAAAGAAAGCATAGCTTTGGAACAACCTTGAAATCAGATGGCCTTGAGTGTAGATTTCCAACTTTCTATGAGTAGCATACGTTCTCTGGGGCTCAGTTTCCTTATTTGTAAAGCAGGGATACTATATCTAGGTCACAGACTTATTTGAGAATTAAATGAATGCCAAAAAAAGTTACTCTCGTGCCAGGCACACAGCTGGTGCCTAATAAATGTCAGCTCTCACCTTCCCAGCATCGGCCAACTTGCTCAGAAAAGTGCTACTGTGTCTCTGTATTTTGGAAAATGAAAATTAAGTTTTCACATGTAGATGGAAAGGATGGAGCTGTAAGAACAAATGGAGGAGGGCAGGATAGGATTGTTACTCTGGTAGGAGTTAATGAAAGAGAACAAGAGAAAAAACAACTAGTTGAAAATGAAAACAAGAAAACCACTAACTGGATGAAATACAATTGGGCAAAGGCTTCATCTGGAATGAATTTAGGTTGGCATGACAGTCAGTCACCGTCAGGGATTAGTGGATACTGTGAAGTCAGGCTTTACCCTCATGGAGTATCTATATGGAGTTTAGGTCCCAATGGAAATACCTTCAAGTGCAGGTAAAATATTTACAGGGAGCTTTTACAACACTCTGTGTTAGGCTAAGTACCCTCCTCTGGGTTTATTAGACTACCTTTCAATTAGCATTTAATATTATATTTAAAGTAACTATGTATTGACTAGTAGATCGTGAGTTTCTTTTGGGAAGAACTGTGTTTATTCATCAACAATATGTCTGGTACACAAGTAGAAGTTCATCAATTATCAACCTAAGCCAAAACAGAGGCTGGGTCATTGTGGTAGACCTTGAGGTTGCCTCTGCCAGCAAGTGGTGGCCTTAATCCCTTCCTCTTCATTTTATGAATGCTAAATTTGTCCAATTAGAGGAGATTTCAGGGGAAACAAAATTCTACACCCATTTTGCTTCCATAAAGAATGTGAGTCCTACTGTTAGGGTGGCTTTTGTCAAAAAGATAAGAGATAGCAAGTGTTGGTGAGGGTGTGGAGAAAAAGAGACCCTTGTACACTGTTGGTGGGAATGTAGATTGGTACAGCCACTGTGGAAAACAGTATGGAGATTCCTAAAGAAATTAAAACTATAACTACCATATGACCCAGTGAACTCTCTTCTGGGCATATGCTCAAAGGAAATGAAATCAGCACCTTGTAAAGATATCTGCACTCCCATGTTTATTCCAGCATTATTCCCAATAGCCAAGATATGGAAACAACCTCAGTGTCCATCAACAGATGACTGGATAAAGAAAATGTGGTATATATATACAATGGAGTATTATTCAGCCTTATAAAAGGAGATTCTGCCATTTTCCACAACACGGATGAACCCAGAGGACATTATGCTAAGTGCAGTAAGCTATGCTCAGAAAGAAAAATATCACACGATCTCACTTATATGTAGAATCTTTTTTTTTTTTTTAAAAAGAGGAATTCATAGAAACAGAGTAGAAGAGTGGTTACCACATGTGGGGGAAATGAGAAGATGTAGGTTAAAAAGTACACAGTTACAGTTATGTAGGATAAATAGGTCTAGAGATTTAATGTACAACATGAGGACTATAGTTAATAACCTTGTATTGTGTACTGGAAATTTGCCAAAAGGGTAGATTTTAGGTGCTCTTGCCATCAAAAAAGAAAAGAGAAAATGAAAGGAAGAAAAGTAACTATATGACAATTTACTTGACTGTAGTAATCACTTCACTATATATATCAAAACATCATGTTGTAACAGTTAGATGAAGAAATAAGATCTAGTGTTAGGCAGCACAGTAGGGTGCCTATAGTTAACAATAATGTATTGTATATTTCAAAATAACTAGAAGAATAGATTTGGAATGTTACCAACACAAAGAAATGATAAAGGCTTAAGGTGATGGATACCCCAATTACCCAGATTCGATCGTTACCCATTGTATGCTTGTATCAAAATGTCACGTGTACCCCATAAATATGTACAACTATTACGTATCTGAAAAAATTAAAAATAGAAAATCATGTTGTACAACTTAAACGTATAAAATAAAAAAATTTAAAGCATGCTAGTCTTTAGTAGACAGTATTACATGGGAAGGCAGAGAAAAGAGTCACAGATAAATGGAGGCAGGGCCCCTACTACTGGACTTTATCAGTTATGTGAGCCAATTTTGGTTAAGTTTTCTGTACCTCACAATCCAAAGTTCCCACGTGGATATGGTTATATATAGTCATATGTTACACAAAAGTATAGTGAATGCATTCACTTTAGATAAGCAGGATGATGATTAAATTTCTGAGCATCAATAGTTGCATTAGTTGGAATTTTCTGAAGCAGATGACAAAGCAAAGAAAAAGGACATTAAGTAAAAAGGGATTTATTGGAAGGATCTTGGGATAACTTATGTGTCTGTCTCAGCAGGACAGTGATGTGGAAAGATGCCCATAGACACAATTAAAGGAATATGTTTTCTGTGATAGCAAAAGATACAGAAATTTAACTGTACCCAACAGCCTCACAAAGCAGGAGATGATGCAGCTTGCATCCTGGATTATTCAGAGATCTCTTTAAGGAAGGTGAGCACAGATTGAGAATTTTGCTGCCTGGGATAAGCTCTCACCTTCCTCTTCTCTTGGGATCTTTCTACTCTCTTAGCTCCTTCAATGATACCAAAGAGCCTGGCTACCCGCTTGCCTACTCACCAGGTTTAAAAAATAGAAGCAAAACAATGCCTAGCACATTTTTCCTGTTTACCACAAGACTGATGACATCAAAGGTTAATTTAAGATCAGTACACTTGCTTTTGCCTGTAGTATCAGCTACTCGGGAGGCAGAGGTGGAAGGACTGTTTGAGCCCAGGACGTTGAGATTGCGGTGAACTATTGTATTAGTTTGTTCTTGCATTGCTATAAAGAAATACCTGAGACTGGGCCATTTGTAAAGAAAGGAGGTTTAATTGGCTCATGGTTCCGCAGGCTGTACAGGAAGCATGATTCTGGCATCTGTTTGGCTTCTGGGGAGGTCTCAGGAAACTTATAATCATGGCAGAAGGAGAAGGGGAGCTGACACTTCACATGGCTGGGAGCAGGAGGAAAAGAGAGATGGGGGAGGTGCCACACACTTGTAAACAACCAGATCTGACAAGAACTCACTATTGCCAAGACAGCACCAAGGGGGATGGTGTTAAACCATGAGAAACCACCCCCATGATCCAATCAC
This sequence comes from Homo sapiens, assembly GCF_000001405.40. Classification (NCBI taxonomy): domain Eukaryota; kingdom Metazoa; phylum Chordata; class Mammalia; order Primates; family Hominidae; genus Homo; species Homo sapiens. Next base: position 15,892,148 of record NC_000023.11, read on the forward strand.
CACCCACCAGGCCCCACCTCCAACACTGGGGATTACAATTCAACATGAGATTTGGATAGGGACAAACACACATCCAAACCATTTCAGCTATCATTGCACCACTGCACTACAGCCCAGGCAACAGAATGAGACCCCGTGTATTAGTCTGTTCTCGAATTGCTATAAAGAAATATTTGAGAATGGGTAATTTGTAAAGAAAAGAGGTTTAATTGGCTCATGGTTCTGTAGGCTGTGCAGGAAGCATAGCGGCTTCCACTTTTAGGGGGGCCTCAGGAAGCTTCCAATCATGGTGAAAGGCAAAGGGGGAGTGAGCCATCTTGCATGGTGGCAGCAGGAAGGAGAGCGAGAGGGGGAGGCGCCACACACTTTTAAACAAGCAGATTTCATCAGAACTCTACCACAAGACAGCACCAAGGGGATGGTACTAAACGATTCATGAAGGATTCACCCCCATGATCCAGTCACCTCCCACCAGGCCCCGCCTCCAACACTGGGGTTTACAATTTGACATGAAATTTGGGTTGGGACACAGATCCAAACCATATCACCCTGCCTCTTAAAAAAAAGGTTAATTTACCACCAGTTTCTGGGTCTGAGCCTTCAGGCCTGCCTGAAGTCCATTCCAGGCTCCCAGAATAAAGGATAGGCTCAACAAACTGAGTCTTGAGGAAGCAAGAAACAAGGCCACCTTGGGAACCTCAGGGACAAGATGGGGATCCTCCTGTCATCAAGAGTCTGCTTGTCTCCTGTCTCTGCTTCTCTTTGCAGGTTTCAACTAAAATGTTGAAACCTTGGTTGTTATGCAGCACCAAGGGCTCACATTCTCCCAGCATAAACACCTGAAAAGAAATGATTCTCTTAACATCCGGGGCAGGCCTCTGACAGAGCAGGCTTGGGTCATGCATTGTCTCTTATGAATTGGGTTAAAGTGGGGGTGGGAAGTGGAGGAGTGGTAATGAGGGTTGGGGAACGGGTATTATGATTAGCTGCCATTAAAACCACACAGTTGGAGCAGTGAGGACACGTCCTCCAAAAGAAAGAGTGAGTCCTTCTCAGAAAATGGGGTAGTAGCTATGTAAAATAAGTAGTACCACAACAGTAAGTAGTAAACCTTCAAAATCCAAATAACCTTCACCACTGACACCACTCACCCTGTTCAGGAAGAGATGTCATCCCTCAGCAACTCATTTATTTAAAAATGGTGGCTGACAGGGTTGTTTTTCTAATCATGTTCATGACAAATATTGCTCTGCTCCTGTCCCTTCAGGAAAACATTAAAGGTTGGGCATGGTGGCTTATTCCTGTAATGTCAGCATTTTGGGAGGCCAAGGAGGGCGGATCGCTTGAGCCCAGGAGTTTGAGACCAGCATGGGCAACATGGTGAAACCCCATCTCTACAAAAAAATACAAAAATTAGCTAGGTGTGGTGGTGTGCACCTGTAGTCCCAGCAACTCAGGAGGCTGAGGTGAGAGGATGGATTGAGCCCAGGAGGCTGAGGCTGCAGTGATCTGTGACTGTGCCACTGCACTCCAGCATGGGTGACAGAGTGAGACTGTGTCTCAAAAAATGAAAGAAAGATAGAAAGAAAGAAAGAAAGAAAGAGCGAGCAAGAGAAAGAAAGAGCAAGACAAAGAAAGAAAGAGCAAGAGAAAGAAAGAAAGAGCAAGAGAAAGAAAGAAGGAAAGAGCAAGAGAAAGAAAGAGAAACAAACGAACAGAAGGTGATTGTATGATTATATTCCTATGAAATGTCTAGAAAAGGCAAGTTCACAGAGACAGGAGGTAGATTCATGGTTGCCAGAAGTTGGGGATCTAGGAGACCAGGGGGCAGGGGTGTGATAGCTAAAGGATATGGTGTTTCTTTTTGAGGAGATGAAAATATTCTAAAATTGTGGTGATGCTTGCTTAGTCTGTTTGTGTTGCTATAACAGAATACCACAGACTGGCTAAGTTATAAATAACATAAATTAATTTTCTCACAGTTCTGGAGGTGGGGAAGTCCAAGATCAAGGTGCCAGCAGGTTCAGTTGTCTGGTGAGAGCTTCATCCTCCAGAGGAGAGGATCGCTGTGTCTTCATATGGGGGAAGGCAGAAGGGCAAGAGAGCCAAAGGCTCCATGAAGCCTGTTTTACAAGGGTCTTAATCCCATTCATGAAGGAGGACCCCTCAGGGCCTAATCACCACTTAGAGGTCCCACCAGGTAATCCTATCACATTGCCCATTAAGTTTCAACACCTGAATTTTGGAGGGGATACAATCAAACCATAGCAACTGTACAACTTAGTGGATATACTAAAAACCATTGAACTGTACACTTTACATGGATGAATTGCAGGATATGTGAATTATCTCTCAAAAAAGCTGTTAAAAAAAGGATAGCGGGCTGAATGGTTTCCTTGAAAAGAAGCTTAGAAACTGGAAAAAATAAGAAAGGCAGACAAATATCCGTTCAGCAAACCAGACATAAAACTGAAGACAGTGGGAACAGGGTCATTTTTTTTGACTCAGAGCTATTCCAAGTGTGAGCCCCTCATCAGCAGCTGTGTCTCCTGGGAGCCTGTTAGAAAAGCAAATTCTTGAGTCTTACCCCAAACTGCTAAATCAGGATCTCCGGGTATCAATAAAGTTTAGGAAGCACTAATTTAACTCATTGTTGTTTTTAATAAACAATAACTCCTTCCCTAACATTGTGCAAGGGATTGTTGGAAGTGCTCTTCAGCAGCTTAACCAGACTGCTTAACTTAATCAGTTAACTGGTTAACCACTTAACCAGTTAATCGGTTAACCAGTTAACCAGTTAATCAGTTAACCAGACTGATGTACCTTGAAGCTGCAAGTATTTCCTACATGACCTGCAGGAAAGATCCTGCTATCATTTTTCTCCAACGAAGATGCTGAAATTGGTGTGAATGCAATGAAAAGCTGAGATGCAGGTGGAAATTCATAGATAGTTTTGTCATCTTGAAAGCCAATTATTTGCTCCAATGCCACATTTCCAGATCCAAGGTTTGGGGACACATTTATCTCTAGTGATCATGTAAAGCATTGTAACTGTAGCACACATTTTAGAAATAAAAAGAAAGAACAAGAAAAACAATCTTAAGGTTGCTGTATTCAGAAATTATCTTCCTCGAGCCCTGTACACAGCTTGGTTGGTTAGTCGTCTTCACTGAAATTGCACTGTCACCATCAACTTAACCTTTTAGTTGGGAAAATAAATGTTGACCTTGGTAAGTGACTATTAGGAAGGAAACTTAATAAATCTGTGGCAACATCACTAGCAGCACAATCTATGCTGGCAGTGCTGGCCAAAACCATTATGCAGTTTTTCTAATTTCAATTGAAAGAGAATGTTTCGTTTGGTACGGAATTGCAAATGTGTGGTTCGGTGGATGAAAGAGCCACCCAGCAGTGACTCAAGCTGATATTCTTGTAGCTACAGTAAAATGGCATACTTTAAAAAATGATGATGATAACTGTTAATAAAATTGTAATATTTTACGATGAAGCTTTATGTACAGATGTTCATTCTAGGATGAATATTTGGTTCTGGCCTTGGCTTGGGCCATTGGGCATGTAGCTAAAATGTGCATTTTTTGCACTCCTGGTTTACAATGGACAAAACTTAAAATTAACATTGGATACGCAGGTTCTTAAAACAATTCTTTGGCCCCTTCTGCAACTCAGCAGCAGCTTCTTGTTTCCTTGTTCAGGTCTCTCTCTTTGCTGCTGCTTCTCTGGTTTGTCTCTCTCAGGAGCCAAACACAAATTCCTTCCCTTTTCTTAAGGAGCAATTTGTCCCTCTGTCACCTCAGCTAGGGCCTTTCCCCGACCCCGGCAACCGCCCCATAACTAAGGCCTATACTAAGTACTGAATCCTAGAGGAACACCTTCCTCAGACACTTTCAGAAACAAAAGTTTATATTGGCAAATGTGTATAGTATACGTAATATACATGCAAACAATATAAGATACTGATATTAAACTAAATAAAAATTTCCAATGGGCGGAAATGAGGGATGTATAGGAACTCTCCATACTATGTTTTACATATATAAATAAATATACTAGCATTTTTATTTTTTATTTTTTATTTTTTTTTTATTATACTTTAAGTTCTAGGGTACATGTGCACAACGTGCAGGTTTGTTACATATGTATACATGTGTCATGTTGGTGTGCTGCACCCATTAACTCGTCATTTACATTAGGTATATCTCCTAATGCTATCCCTCCTCACTTTCCCCACCCCACAACAGGCCCCCGTGTGTGATGTTCCCCTTCTTGTGTCCAAGTGTTCTCATTGTTCAATTCCCACCTATGAGTGAGAACATGCAGTGTTTGGTTTTTTGTTCTTGCGATAGTTTGCTGAGAATGATGGTTTTCAGCTTCATCCATGTCCCTACAAAGGACATGACCTCATCCTTTTTTATGGCTGCGTAGTATTCCATGGTGTATATGTACCACATTTTCTTAATCCAGTCTATCATTGATGGACATTTGGGTTTGGCTATTACTGTCATTATAATTTTTGATATTCAAGTTGTCCCATATTTTTGCCAGTGAGAACACTTCCAGATTGGCTTCTGTGTTTTTTTTTTAACCCATTTATGCTGGAGGCTGCACATTTTTTTTGTGAAAAATCAGACCTTGGCAATGACCTTGAGCAGTAGGATATACATAACTCCCACAGGTTTAGCGTTCCAACAATGGAACACTGGGAATAAATGGGTTAAACATTGTGGTAAAGCCGGGTGCGGTAGCTCACACCTGTAATCCTAGCACTTTGGGAGGCCAAGGTGGGAGGATTGCTTGAGCTGAGAAGTTTGAAACCAGCCTGGGCAACATAGTTAGACCTCGTCTCTACAAAAAATTAGTTGGGCTTGGTGGCACAGCTGCTTGGGAGGCTGAGGCAGGAGGATTTCTTAAGCCTGGGAGATCAAGGCTGCAGTGAGTTGTGATTGCACCATTGCACTCCAGCCTGGGCAACAGAGCAAGACCCTGTCTAAAAAAATTGTGGTAAAAAACACATAGCACTAAATTTACCATCTCTTACCATTTTTAAGTGTATGATTCGGTAGTATTAAGTATATTCACATAGTTGTGCAACAGATCTCTGGAACTTTTATTTTTTATTTTTTTTATTTTTGAGATGGAGTCTTGCTCTGTCACCAGGCTAGAGTGCAGCAGTGCAATCTCAGCTTGCTGCAACCTCCGCCTCCTGGGTTCAAGTGATTCTCCTGCCTCAGCCTCCCTAGTAGGTGGAACTACAGGCACGTGCCACTACACCCAGCTAAGTTTTGTATTTTTAGTGGAAATGGGGTTTCACCATGTTGGCCAGGATGGTCTCGATCTCCTGACCTTGTGATCTGCCCACCTCGGCCTCCCAAAGTACTGGGATTACAGGCGTGAGCCACCGTGCCCGGCCTAGAACTTTTCTATTTGGAAAAACTGAATCTATATCCCCGTTAAACACTATTTCCCCATCCCTGTCCCTGCTTCCTCAGCCCTTGGCAGCCGCCTTTCTGTTTTCTGTTCTATGATTTTGATGACTTTAGCTATTTCATATCAGTGGAATCATACAGTATTTGTCCTTTTGTTGCTGGCTTATTTTGCTTAGCATAATGTCCTTGAGGTTCATCCATGTTGTAACACGTGTCAATATTTCCTTTCTTTTTAAGGCTGCATAGTATTCCACTGCATGGATATACTACTTTTTTTTTTAATCCATTCTTCCATCAATCTGTTGCTTCCACCTCTTGGCTATTGTGAATAATGCTGTAATGAACATGGGTGTGCTAATATGTCTTGGAGATCCTGCTTTGAATTCTTTTTGATATATACTCAGAAATGGAATTACTAGATCATATGGTAATTCTGTTTTTTAATTTTCTTGAGAAACCTGCATAGTGTTTTCCATAGCGACTACACCATTCTCTCTATACTATCTTTACAATTTTATCACAAATCTAAAATTATTCCAAAATATTTTTTAAAGTTTATTTAAAAAATAGAAGAGGCTGGGCATGGTGGCTCATGCCTGTAATCCCAGTGCTTTGGGAGGCTGAGGTGGGAGGATTTCTTGAGCCCGGTAGTTCGAGGCTGCAGTGAGCTATAATCTCACCACTGTAGAGACTGCACTGCTGCAGAGAGGTATGATCCCACTCTGTGCCTAGGTGACAGAGTGAGACCCTGTCTTTAAAAAAAAAAAAACAAAAAAATTACAACACATTGTTATTAACTTCAGTCACCATGTTGTACAATAGATCTCTTGAACTTATTCCTCTTGTCTAGCTGAAACTTTGTACCCCTTGACAAACATCGCCCCAATATCCCTCTCCCTCTGCCCCTCATAACCACCATTCTACTCTCTGTTTCTATGAGTTCAACTTTTTTAGATTCTATATATAAGTGAAATCATGAAGTATTTGTCTTTCTGTGCCTGGCTTATTTCACTTAACATAATGTCCTCCAGTTGTAATGTCAGTATAATGTCACATTGTTGAAAATGACAGAATTTCATTTTTTTTTAAGGCTGAATATTATTCCATTTTGTATATATACCACGTTTTCTTTATCTATTCATCCTAAGTTGATGGATATTTTGTTGATTCCTTATCTTGCCTATTGTGAATAAAACTGCATTGAATAAAATCATTTTAATGTATCCTCACAATATCCAGTGTGGAAGACATGCAGCAAAGAGGACTCTGATATTCTGCTGGCAAGGATGTGAATTTCTAAACCCATTTGGAAAACAATTTGGCATCATCTAGAGAAGTGAAAATGCACGTAACCCATGGCCTTACTTCTACACTCTAAAGAAACTCTGATCTCTGTGCACTAGGAAACATAAAAAATGTCCACCATGGCATTATTCAAAATAGCAGTAAACTAGAGACAACCCAACAGTCCACTGACAGAATAAATGAATAAATAAATGGTGATATATTTACACAGTGGAATACTGTAAAAAAGTGATCATGATTGAATTAGAGTTTCACCCATCAACATGGATGAGTGTCACAAATATACTCTTGAATAAAGAGTCACAGAATGTATAATTTGAAAACATACACAATATATATACAACATTTAAATGCAAGCAAATTTTCAAGTATTCTTTATAGTCTTTTTAAAAAATTATATTTATTTGTTTGTTTATTTATTTTTCAGACAGAGTCTCTCACTCCGTTGCCCAGGCTGGAGTGCAGTGGCATCATCACAGCTCACTGCAGCCTCAACCTCCTGGGCTCAAGCAATCCTCCCACCTCAGCCTCCCGAGTAGCTGGGACTACAGGGGAGTGCCACCATGTCCAGCTAATTTTAGTATTTTTTTGTAGAGACAGGGTTTTGCCACATTGCCCAGGCTGGTCTTTAACTCCTGAGCTCAAGTGATCTGCCAGCTTTGGCCTCCCAAAATGTTGTGATTATAGGCATGAGTCAACACGCCCGGCCTAAATAAGTATTCTTTAGGAATACGTATATATGTTCTAAAGCTATTAAGAAAATGAATAGACTGGGCATGGTGGCTCATGCCTATAATCCCAGCACTTTGGGAGGCCAAGGCAGGAGAACCCCTTGAGCACAGGAGTTTGAGACCAGCTTGGGCAACATATGGAGATCCTATCTTGTAAAAAAAGAAAAAGGAAAAGAAAAGGAAATGAGTAATAAAAAGAGAATAACACAAAATTCAAGATTTTCAAGATAGTAGTTACTGCTGGAGTGGGATGCATGAGTACCCTAAAACCATTGGTAACATATTGTTTCTTGGATTGAGTGGTGGACACAGATATTTGTTTTATTAATTTGTATACCTTATGTATTAGTTTGTTCTCATGCTGCTGATGAAGACATACCTGAGACTGGGCAATTTATAAAAGAAAGAGGTTTAATGGACTTACGGTTCCATGTGGCTGGGGAGGCCTAGTAATCATGGTGGAAGGCAAGCAGGAGCAAGTCACGTCTTACATCAATGGTGGCAGGCAAAGGGAGAGCTTGTGCAGGAAATCTCCCCCTTATAAAACCATCAGATCTCGTGAGACTTATTCACTACCACAAGAACAGCATGGGAAAGACCTGCCCCCATGATTCAGTTACCTCCCACCAGTTCCATCCCACAACATGTAGGAATTCAGATTGAGATTTGGGTCAGGATACAGCCAAACCATATCATTCTGCCCCTGGCCTCTCCCAAATCTCATGTCCTCACATTTCAAAACCAATCATGCCTTCCCAACAGTACCCCAAACTCTTAACTCATTTCAGAATAAACTCAAAAGTCCACAGTCCAAAGTCTCATCTGAGACAAGGCAAATCCCTTCTGCCTACGAGCCTGTAAAATCAAAAGCAAGTTAGTTACTTCCTAGATACAATGGGGGTACAGGCATTGGATAAATACAGCCATTCCAAGTGGGAGAAATTGACCAAAATAAAGGGGCTACAGGCCCCATGCAAGTCTGAAATCCAGTGAGGCAGTCAAATCTTAAAGCTCCAAAATGATCTTCTTTGACTCCATGTCTCACATCTAGGTCACGCTGATGCTAGAGGTAGGTTCCCATGGTCTTGGGCAGCTCCACCTCTGTGGCTTTGCAGGGTACGCCCTCCCTCCTGGCTGATTTCATGGGCTGGCATTGAGTGTCTGTGGCTTTTCCAGGCACATGGTGCAAGCTGGCAGTGGATCTACCATCCTGGAGTCTGGAGGACAGTAGCCCTCATCTTACAGCTCCACTTGGCAGTGCCCCAGTAGGGACTCTGTGTGGGGGCTCTGGCCCCACATTTTCCTTCTGCACTGCCCTGGCAGAAGTTCTCCATGAGGGTCCTGCCCCTGCAGCAAACTTCTGCCTGGACATCCAGGCATTTCCATACATCCTCTAAAATCTAGGTGGAGGTTCCCAAACCCCAATTCTTGACTTCTGTGCACTCACAGGCTCAACACCATGTGGAAGCTGCCAAGGCTTGGGGCTTCCACCCTCTGAAGCCACAGCCCAAGCTCTACATTAGCTCCTTTCAGCCATGGCTGGACTGGCTGGGATGCAGGGCACCAAGTCTTTAGGCTACACACAGCAGGGAGTGCTGGGCTGGGCCCATGAAACCACTTTGCCTCATAGGCCTCCAGGCCTGTGATGGGAGGGGCTGTCATGAAGACCTCTGACATGCCCTGGAGACATTTTTCCATTGTCTTGGGGATTAACATTCAGCTCCTCGTTATTTATGCAAATTTCTGCAGCCAGCTTGAATCTCTCCTCAGAAAATGGGATTTTCTTTTCTATAGCATTGACAGGCTGCAAATTTTCTGAACTTTTATGCTTTGCTTCTCTTATAAAACTGAATGCCTTTAACAGCATCCAAGTCACCTCTTGAATGCTTTGCTGCTTGGAAATTTCTTCCACCAGATACCCTAAATCATCTCTCTCAAGTCCACAGTTCCACAAATCTCTAGGGCAGGAGCAAAATGCCAGCAGTCTCTTTGCTAAAACATAACAAGAGTCACCTTTGCTCCAGTTCCCAACACATTCCTCATTTTCATCTGAGACCACTTCAGCCTGGACTTTATTGTCCATATCACTGTTATCACTGTTAGCATTTTGGGCAAAGCCATTCAACAAGTCTCTAGGAAGTTCCAAAGTTTTCCACATTTTCCTGTCTTCTTCTGAGCCCTCCAAACTGTTCCAACCCCTGCCTGTTACCCAGTTCCAAAGTCATTTCCACATTTTCAGATATCTACAGCAGTGCCTTACTCTACTGCTACCAATTTACTATATTAGTCTGTTCTCATGCTGCTGATAAAGACATACCCGAGACTGGGCAATTTAAAAAAGAAAGAGGTTTAATGGACTTACAGTTCCACGTGGCTGGGGAGGCCTCACAGTCATGGCAGAAGGCAAGGAGGAGCAAATCACATCTTATATGGATGGCAGCAGGCAAAGAGAGAGCTTGTGCAGGGAATTTCCCCCTGATAAAACCATCAGATCTCATGAGACTTATTCACTACCATGAGAACAGCACAGGAAAGACCTGCCTCCATGGTTCAATTACCTCCCGCCAGGTCCCTCCCACAACACGTGAGAATTCAAGTTGAGATTTGGATGGGGACACAGCCAAACCATATCACCTTATATGTGTAATATAATCTTTTAATTGTATGAAGTAATTCGTGGTAGTTTGGGTTTTTGTTTCATTTATTCATTTGAGACAGGCTCTTGCTCTATCATTCAGGCTGGAGTGCAGTGGTGTGATCACTGCATACTGCAGCCTGGACCTCCTAGGCTCAAGCGATCCTCCCACCTCAGCCTCCCAAGTAGCTGGGACTACAAGTGCACACCATCATGCCCAGCTAATTTTTGTATTTTTTGTAGAGATGGGGTCTTGCCATGTTGCCCAGGTTGGTCTTGAACTCCCAGGCTCAAGCCATCTACCCGTCTCAGCCTCCCAAAGTACTGGGATTACAGGTGTGAGCCACTGCACATGGCTCATTTTGTTTTTATAATTATTATTATCATCATTATTATTATTTTTGAGATGGAGTCCTGCTCTGTCACCTCCGCTGGAGTGCAGTGGTGCAATCTCGGCTCACTGCAACCTCCACCTCCTGGGTTCAAGCAATTCTCTTGGCTCAGCCTCCCCAGTAACTGGGATTACAGGCACACACCACCATGCCCAGCTAATTTTTTTGTATTTTTAGTAGAGACGGGGTTTCGCCATGTTGGCCAGGCTGGTCTTGAACCCCTGACCTCAGGTGATCTACCTGCCTCAGCCTCCCAAAGTGCTGGGATTACAGGCGTGAGCCACTGTGCCCTGCCATAAATATTATCTTTAATTCAGTTTTGTTCACTATTTACTGGCTGTTGATGTACCCTTGTAAATTACTCTGATTTACTGCATAACAAAGTGAGCTTTTTTATTTAGTCATTCTAACATAAAATTTTTTATCATGCTGTGCTTTTTCACAAATATGTAATTGACAAATGCAAGTTGTATATATTCAAAGTGTGTTTTACTTTTCTTTAATGGATGGTAAAGACAGTAAAAGCTAAGAGAGAGATTAGCATTGGCAGGATTTCCATAGCAGAGCCCTTCAGGAGGAAGTGAGACTTTTGTTGGGTCTTCAAAGGGAGAAGTCACATAATCTTTGAAAGTGGAAATGGACGTTAGAGTTCATCTGCCCCACCTCTTCCTTTAGCAGATGAAGAAATAGAAATCTAGGGAAGTACCGTTTTCAAAAAAGGCTTTAATAAAGTTTCAACATTATCAGACCAACCGCAAGGTAATTGTAAGAGGAGAACCCCATGGCCCTACAATTGCAGGTTGTTTCTTTTTCTAGGTCTTTGCCTCTCTGCTCAGTGTATGCTCCCAGTACTATTCAAAGGGCCCTGAGTGGGTGGTTCAGATGCTGTTAGTCACTGACAGGGATGAGCGGACAGGAACCTCAGATCTCTCCTCTTCCCCTCTTGACCCCAGCAGGTGTTGCCTGTAGCCTATTAGATTACATCTGGGGCAGTGCGGTGCCAGCTGATGTACTGTCTGTTGTGGTTTATGCCTGGGGCTATGGTCCACCATATCCAAAGAGTACCAAGTGCTTAGAAATGGTACATACTATTCACTTCATCCTTAAAGAGCTGCTTCTCTTTATCATACAATTCGCATTTAGGAGGCAATTTGTTTGATAATAATAATAATACTAGTAAGTAACTCTCTTACTAGTCTTAACAGTGACTAGTAAGAGAATTATAATTCCCTCTCCCACCCCCAATCCCCACCATTTGTTAAAAAATAAAAGATGAAAGGGAGACTCAGATAAGTTAGCTTGCCCAAGGTCACGTCTTCCAAAATGGCAGAGTCAGGTTCTACCTCAGACACCTGGCTCCAAAATATGTGCTGTTTTCACTATAACTCACTAACTGTGAACTGTTATCTTTGTCATTTTGTTTAATCCTGTTTTCCTCTGTCATGAATTGGCAATTAATTTATAGTAATTTTTTTATGGTATTAGCAGTTCACTGAAAATAAGGTTGCCAGATTAAACACTAAGCAATATTTGGAACATTTTTTTTTGTTTGTTTGTTTGGCAGAGTCTCACTCTATCTCCCAGGCCAGAGTGCAGTGGAGCAATCGTAGGTCACTATAACTTCAAACTCCTGGGCTCAAGTGGTTCTCCCACTTCAGCCTCCTGAGTAGCTGGGACTACAGGTGTGCACCACCACACCTGCCTAATTTTCATTTTATTTTTTTGTTGAGACAGGGTCTTGCTATGTTACCCAGGCTGGTCTCAAACTCCTGGGCTCAAACGATCCTCCTGCCTTGGCCTCCCAAAGTGCTGGGATTACAGGCATGAGTCACAGTGCCCAGCCTGGAACATGTTTATACTAAAAAATTATTTGTTGTTTATCTGAAATTCAAATTTAACTGGGCAACCTCTATTTTTAATTTGCTAAACCTGGCAAACCAAACCAAAAATCTTTGAAAAAATATTATTTCTAGTGAGGTTATCCCCCTCATAAGGTAGAGAAACACATGGAATAGGTTGGTTACTGAGTGAAGACCTTAAATAAGTCTTCTCAAGTCTTAACGAGGGTTAAGGATTTGCCCCCTCCACCCACCAAGGGAATTTGGCAATGTGTGAAGATGTTTTTGGCATCCTGACTGGAGAGGGGTGGTGCTACTGGCATCTAATGGGTAGAGGCCAGGGATGCTGCCAAACATCCTACAATGCACAGGACAACTCCACAACAAAGAATGATCTGATCCAAAATGACAATCGTACCAAAGTTAAGTGACCTTGCCTTAAAATTTTCGCTGGTCAACCAGTAAAGAGAATTCTAACTTAAATTTTCCTTAAAAATCACTTAGTATAAAAAAAGTCACTTATTTATACTAACATAGTATACATCCAGAAGTACTATATATATAACATTAAATATATAATATTAAATATACATATACATATTTAATCCCTTTGAGGCTAGCAATACATTTCCATATAAAGATTTGTCTTTTTCTATTTCCCAGTAATATAATGCTAAAGCTGTTTATTTATCTGGACTAGTTAATTCACAATTATGGATGCTGGTAGCAGCAAAAGTTGACTCAATTTTTAAAAAATACCTTAGCATTTATGACCATAGACTATTGATTTCAGATTTGAGTCTTTACTTGTCTTTAATTATGTTCATTGAATAATGTTCTTGTACTAAGGGCAGGCTTAGAAATAGTGGTCTTGGGAAGCAACCTAGATATCAGGTTGAGCCATATGGTGGTCAAAACTGGTTGAATACTGGCAATTTAATGTGGTTTGACCTGATGTATGCTGTGCAGTTAGATGGCACAAAATGAAAATGAGCTTTAATCCAATCCATGCTTCGAATCACAGTTAGAGCCTTCGTTGGTCCCCAGAGCTGCTGTAGCTTTTGGTCCTGGGTTAGAACTTTTGCTGAGCAGTTGGAGAGGCCGTTTTAATTTTTTGTTTTAATTATTAATGGAATTTGGGAAACTGTCTTTCAGCTCTTTGCAGCGCCAGCCTTTTTCTCCTTTATCTGCATCCACGCATTTCACTGAAGTTGGTCATATAGAACTTGGGCCCCCAGGTGCACAAAATGTGCCCAAGCCTTTAATAGCAAGTAAGTCAACCAGTAAAGAGAATTTTAACTTCAATTTGTGGCCTTTAAAAAGTTGTATCCAGATTTATCTCAGGGTCCTGAAGTAAGAAAAGGAATAGTATATTATAAATGTATTTCTTTTAAGGAGCCCCTAGAGGTAGGGGACACAAGAGAAATGCCAACTGCCCCTTGTTCAACACTCTTGAAGATAAATATTTGCTACATTTTAGTGTAATAGATTTATAAAAAGAAACTTCTGTTTTTTTTAAAAAAAAGACTAAAGACAACATATACTAAAATGATTTGAATTTTACAGATGATACCCTGCTAATATTTTTAGTTCAGCACCATCTGTTTATCTGAAATTAAATTTCTAGCAAATGGTCATGCCAGGAGATGCTGTTTTTATTTTTATGTGCAGCTGAAACAGAGAATAATAAAAATCTGCTTGAGTTGAAGAAATATGTTCATAAAATGTTTCTTTTTTAATCTGAGTTGGCTGAGAAAATGACTTTTTAATCTAGTGGCAGCTGCTTTCATTTGGCTGGTTTTCAGTCTAAATAGTTTATGTTGGAGACAGATCATTTGTTTTATATTTGGATGTAGTATAATAAACAGTGTCTTTTGAGCTATGAGGAAGACCCAGATATCACAAATATCTTATTATCCCTATTAGCCTATCTTTCTAATTATTTCTTGTTTCTTTAACCAACACAAGTGGCATGCAATAGGTCTGTAAATTGAAAGTACAAGTGGCAAATTGCATATCACCCGATTGCTGTGTTATTTTTATTCAACTCTAAGAAAGTTACATCTTGCACATTAATTGGTGTTTGTTTACAGGAGGGAAAAACGATGCTTTTGAAAATATGACTCAGTGGAAACACTTCTCATCACACTGGCTTGCAAATAGAATCACTGCACTCCCTTTGGGTACTACGGGTGATTCCACTGGGCGTGCGGAATTCTTCCCAACAGAGTGTTAATTAAAGAGAGCCACCTCTTGGCACCTCTCTCACTCCAGCTACACTTCACAATCCTCCAGGCACCTCTTTAATCAACAACATGTGTTGAATATCTACATTTAGTGTGAGGCACTGCAGCTACCACCCTGATTTCAAAGGCAGTGGCAAGGACAGGTTTTATTGCATTACTTCAAAGTCAGGGCACCTAAACCTACATTAGAAATGCCATTAATACCTGTCATTGATGTGGAATAATGGAAACTTTCCAAGTAAAGCATGAATTTCATAGAAGAGGGAGATCTTGCCTTTGCACCCCAGCACTTTGCTCATAGGTCTCATTATGTTTATCTAATAAAACCACTTTTCTTACTGGACAGTATTAAGTTAATTTTGTGTCCCGACTTCTCTTAATACTGACAAAAACCAATGTGTTATTTTGAAATGCAGAGGCTGGTCTTTGGTGATAAACTTTACTCGAAAGTTTTTACTCAAAAAAGTGAAATACAGTTACTCAGGAGGCTGAGGCAGGAGGATTGCTGGAGCCCAGGGGTTTGAGGCTGCAGTGAGCAATGACCATGCCACTGCATTCCAGACTCTGTCTCTAAAAAGAATGAAAATGTTAAAAAATAAAATTAATTTAGAAAATAAAATACATTTTTAAAAAAATAGGTGCTACAGAGTGGGTGCCTTAAACAACAGAAATATTATTTCTCACAGTTCTGGAGGCTGGGATGTCCAAGATCAAGGCCCTTGCAGATTTGGTTGCTGGTGAGGGCTCCCTTCCTGGCTTACAGATGGCCAACTTCTCCCAGTGTCTTCACTTGGGTGGGGGTGGGGGTTGGAGGATAGGAATCTCATTCTCTTATTCTCTTCTTACAAGGTCACAATCTTATCTCATTAGGGCTCCACACTTATGACCTCATTTAACCTTAATTTCCTCTTTAAGTCCCTAACCCCAAATACAGTCACACTGGGGGGTTGAGGCTTCAGCATATAAATTTGGGGGGGACATGATTCTGTCCATGGCAATTGGACTGGCCTAAAAAAAAAGACTTTAATATTAAGATCCTTAAGTTATTATTTAAAAAAAAAACCCTGACTTAAAAAAATTGTTGTTAATAATTTAAAGTTTGAAAATACACTAATCTGTGGAGTGTTGAAAGTCAGGATAGTCATTCTCCTGGGGAATAGTGACTGAAAACACGCACAAAAGGGGCTTCCGGGATGCTGTAGTGCTCCATTTCCTGTTTGAGTGCTGATTGAAAGAATATAATTGGTTTGTGAGTATTCATTGAGCTGTTCATACATAATTTGCACACTTTCCTGTATGTGTGTTGTAGATCAATCAAAAGTTAAAGCATAGGCCAGGTGCGGTGGCTCACGCCTGTGATTCCAGCACTTTGGGAGGCCGAGACGGGAGGATCACTTGAGCCCATGAATTCCAGACCAGTCTGGGCAATGTAGTGAGACCTCATCTCTACAAAAAAATAAAAAGTTAGCCAAGTGTGGTGGCACGTGCCTGTAGTCCCAGCTACTCAGGAGGCTGAGGTGGGAGGATGGCTTGAGCCTGTGAGGCAGAGTTTGCAGTGAGCTGAGATCAAGTCACTGCACTCCAGCCTGGGTGACAAAGTGAGACCCTATCTCAAATACGTAAATAAATAAAAATTTAAAATGAAGCATAAATAAACCTGAGCGACACATTTAATACCAGAGATAAACTACACAGTTGTCCCATTGTCTCAGCCTAGACGATAAACAAGCTGCTTCTCCTTTGTCCTTTCTACTTTAAAAAGTCACAAGAGGTTAAAATCTAATGAGTTGGAGTATATGAAGAAGATTAGCCTTCTAGTTGAGTATAATATTGTCTTCCCAAAGGTACGGGCAGAACCGCAGACACAGTTAACGTTTCTGCCTGACATTGCTTGATGCTGTTTTGCTCAGACTGGTAGCTTAGCAGCTGGAGGCTAAAAAGTCAAGTTTCCAGGGAGAGGAGGAAGGCTTTCTGGACAAAGGGCAAGTGGACTCCGGGCCAGGGGCATAGCCGGTGTCCTCTCAAGAGTGGTGGCAGTTTTAAATGGGTTATAAACAAACACTGCCATGTTGTTCTGAGAGGTTCCAGCTGCCTTAGGCAGAGGCTTTGGATCTGTGCAAGCGCCAAAGCTGGCTTTCATAGGTGATGGGTGGAACTGAAGGATCACTTAAGACATTTGTGACCCTGAATATCCATGTCCCTTGAAGCTTTACACACACACATCCAAGGTAGAGTTGGTTTTCCCAAAGACAATTGCTGCTAAGGAGTTTGAACTGTGTAACAGTTTAGACCAGCCAGTGGCTTTGTAGAGACCTTTGAGAGTTACAATTAGGTTGCTGCTCAGATTGCATAATGCCAGGACTGTGCTCCATTGTTCCCAGCTCTTGCATTCAGTATTTTATTGTTTCACATTGTGCTTTAACTTGCTACAGAACATTAACAGCAGTAGCCAGTAGTTGAATGTTTTCCAAACCTTTCAAATTTGTAGAGCTGACTGTGCCACACTGGCTAATGAAAATTTCATGGTTCCAGGAGTGCTGGCTTTATCAACAATTATCTTGGTGATCTTGTATGGTCTATCATGTGTAAAACAGCATTATGTGCTTTTGCTTAACTTTTATAATTGTTGCTAAACAATTGTTTAAAATTACTGCATAAATGCTTTTAAAATAAATTTTGAAGCTCTTTGACATCAGTGCCCTCTGCCTGGTGGAAAGTAATGATTTTTAACGTTCTGATTTGGTGTTTGTTGGTGGAGTGTGTGTGTGTGTGTGTGTGTTTACTGGGAACAGGCTCTATCTGTTGGTGCTTTACTAAATTAATGGATTCTAGACATTAAAGCAAACCAAAAATATTTCACCTGCAAATATACTTTTCTGACATATTTCGAGATGGGTATTCAGAGGGCCTGCAGACAGGAATAGCCCAGCAAAACTGCCTTTTGTGGAGGAGATTTGCATCTGCAGAGAAAATCTGCATAGGTGAAATAAACAGCCAGGCTTTCTCTGAGGCTCCTCCCTTGTCTACATCTAGGAAAGATTGACTGAGAGCCTGACGCCTTTAAAGGTCTGACAGAAACATTCACCACAGGCTACCATCTATTCTTTCTGAGGGCTGCTCCCTGGGAAGTTTCATCTACATAAAAAGATGGCCTTTGCTCCATGCCTTTCTTCCTCTTCTCTACCTCCCATGACTTGCATGCTCTAAACCCCTATTCTTTCTGTAACCTTAAGACGGTACAAAAGCATCAACCATCTGGCCATTTTTTTGCATTTTCATATTTTGTGTGACTCCCAGCATGTAATAAATATTTATGGCATTTTTTTCTGTTAATCTTTGTATCATCAATTTGTTTTATAGGCTCAAATGAGTGAACCTTCAGGGGAAAAATGTAAACTTTTCTACAGCATTCATGATCACTTTAGGCTGTAGGTGTTGGTAAGTTTCTAAGCATTTGGGGATGTAGCTCTCTTTGCTTCACCATTAACCATCCTTTGACATTCAAAATGTCGTTGGACCACCAGCATGGCATTACTCAGGAGCTTATTAGAAATGCCGTCTCAGAGGCTCACCTTAAATATGGTATATAGTGGCAGAATCTGCATTTCAGCAAGATCTCCATGTGATTCCTATGCACATGCAAGTGAATCAGCAAGTAGGCCATGGAAGGAATTAAGAGATCTCTTTTCTCAAAACATCTCCCACTGAGCCAGGATTGTCATTATTTAGAATGAATTTCTCTAGTTTATGCCCCTTTTTATGAAATATCCCTGGTCTGCATACATAACTCAGCAAGTCATTTTCAGTTCAAAGCCTTCATGTGATCCATCCACTTGAGACAAATGGCAAAGAGCAGGTTGATTGGAAGGTGAGGGTTGGGGGAGGGAAGTAGAGTAGAAAAATGCAGTGCCGGCCAGGCGCGGTGGCTCACGCCTGTAATCCCAGCACTTTGGGAGGCCGAGGCGGGCAGATCACGAGGTCAGGAGATTGAGACCATCCTGGCTAACACGGTGAAAGCCCATCTCTACTAAAAATACAAAAAAATTTAGCCGGGTCTGGTGGCAGGCGCTTGTAGTCCCAGCTACTCGGGAGGCTGAGGCAGGAGAATGGTATGAACCCGGGAGGCGGAGCTTGCAGTGAGCCGAGATCCTGCCACTGCACTCCAGCCTGGACGACAGAGCAAGACTCCGTCTCAAAAAAAAAAAAAAGGAAAGAAAAATGCAGTCCTTTTGGTGGAAGAAAGTGGGCCAGCTCTATGACCATGGTTCCCTGGGACCGGGAAGCTGTGCCACAGTGGTGGGCAGGAAGTAACAAAAATACCAATCAATAATGCTCACAATAATGGTAAATAACTGTTGGTTCGGGGGTTCCTAAACTTGTTTCACAATCAGAATCACCTGGGTGGTAGAAGGGGACTTCTGTTTTTAAAATTATTTTTAAGGAATGGGGTCTCACTCTATCACCCAGGCTGGAGTGCAGTTGCACGATCCTAGTTTGCTGCAGCCTGGAACTCCTGGGCTCAAGCCATCCTCCTGCCTCCACCTCCCAAGTTGCTGGGACTACAGGTGTATGCCACCATGCTCGGCTAATTTTTTAATTTTTATCTTTATTTTTGTAGAGATGGAGTCTCAATATGTTGCCCAGGCTTGCCTCAAATTCCTGGTCTCAAGTGATCCTCCCGTCTTGGCCTCCCAAAGTGCTGAGATTACTGGTGTGAGCCACCTCACCCTGCCGAGGCTTCTTAAAAAATATAGATTCCCCAGAGGCAGGGACCCACCCTGCGTTTACGCCATCAGGAGAAACCTGACAATCTGTGTTTTAAACTAGTGCCTCAGGTATTAAAATTTATGCAGGACCAAGCAGAAGGTGAGCCTGGATCCTGTGGCTGATGATCCAAAAATATTATATCCAGGGCTCACAATAAGCCTAAAATATATTATGACATTTTCCTAACTGCATTTTATAATGGAGAAGTTGGGTTGCTTGCCCAGTGTCACACAGGCAGCGGGCAACAGATGGAGGATTCCATCGTAGATCTGTCTGACTCCAAAGTCTTTGTTCTGTCTATTCTTATACCACTTTCCATAAAGCCACTAGGGCTGAAGTGCTATCTTACTCAGGGCACATTCTGGTTGCCTCATCTCCCTTCTGTGGGGGTGATGGTTTCTGCAGAAGTTCCCTAATCTGACCTCAAATTATGACATCAGTATCTAGGCTTGAGTAGAATTGTGCAAGGAGACCAGACTGGTGAATTAACAAGGATGGTCCCCTCCTTCTTCCCCTTCTGTTGTGGTTAATAACTAGTAACTCAGACCCTATGATACTGATCCCCATAGGGATGAGAAACAGGGCTCTCTTGGGTAATTGAAAATTTCTGGTTGCCTGGGTATTGAGGCAGTTTCCAAAAGTGATGGAAGCAAGCACATATTGCTCCTGCCCTCTGAGACCTTATTTTGTTCCAATAAATCCCTAGAAAGAAAATACAGCAATTTAGTACAGCAATGTTAAATAGTGATAGTAGAGGGAACAGGGCACCATCTGGGACATTTGAATAATTGTCAAGGTTGGCTTTTCTTTAAATGCTGCTTATTGCTCAGTCCACCCATATTAAATCACTAGAGCTACAAGTCATCTGGTGGTGATTTTTTGGCATTACAAGATTGCGCTTGCATATTAAATTCCTCAACTTAGGCTCAGTTTGGGAATTCAAAATGCAGCATTTGATCCTCATCTGTATTTAATCTTCTGTTGTTGGTTACAGCTCCTTTTACAGGTTTATTTAAAAAACTTTTGATTCTGATACGGTCATGTTGAATAGTGGTTTCCCATGCAGGGTGTGCAAACCACCCAAAAATTATCTTTTTCATGGCAACATTAAAAAATTTTAATTTATGTGTATGTTATAATGTATATAATATTGGACTATAGTGGTAGAACATGTATATAATTTGTAAATAAATACAGATAAACATGGGGGGATACATGATTCAAAAGTTTTCTCCCTTTGAAATGTTGGCTCAAAGTTTACAAACTTTTCATCCAATATATTACCTCTTCCTAGCAGCATCATGTTATCTTCTCATTTAATAAGAGAGCCTTCATCTTTGTCAATTCATGTTTACTGAACTATGTAGGATTATGTGAATGTTCCAGCATATATAAGAGGATAAGACATTTGCTGTTCTTAGGACGTTTAACTATCTGGATGGAGATGATGATGATAATAGTGGTAATTTTGGAGGAGGTGACAATGTTAATGGTGGTGATGATGCTGATGTTGCTGGTGATGATGATGGCCAAGAAAGAGATAAAGAAGAAAGTCTTATTTATGGTTGAGATTAAAGCAAAATGGGAATTGAAGGCTTCTCCTCCCTGCGATCTGGTAATGCAACATCTTTACCTAGCAGTGATGCTCTTCCCTGCTTGTTCATCTTCCTTCCAATATAGCTTAAAAATACTTTTTAGTCATCCTCAGCATGTACTATAAATCTCAGCTTCCTAGGATTTGAGCCTTGTGCAGGAGGTTTTTTCTAAGCCCCTTCCACTCTTCTGTATGTATTTTGGTCCTCAGTGCTCCACAAGCTGTGAAAGCTGTGAGTCATGATTCCCATATGGTGGGATTCCCTCCCCTCCCCTCCATCCACATGCTTGCCCTGCCATCTGCTGCCACTCTCAAGGTTATAGAGCAAGAGATAATGCAGGGAAGGGAAAGGAAAACACCAGGAAAACCAACACTGTTTTATAAGTAAAATAGAAAAAAAAAGATGTATTTTTCTTACTACGAAAACAACTGTATTCACTACAGAGAAATAAAAAACGGAAGCACAAAACCAAACCAAACCAAACCAAACCAAACCTAACCAAACCCAACCCAACCAACCCAACCCAATCCAAACAAAACAGTCTCCCTCTGAGCATCATTCATCACTTTAACCATCTCCATGTATGTTTTTCCAAATCTGTATTCTGTATCTATCTATGAAGCCAGCTATCAAATAAAATAAGATCATTACCACATATTTTTGTGACCTGTTTCTTGTTTAACTGAATCATGAACATCTTTTCATGTCAGTAAATGTACCCCTAAACTACCTTTTTTTTTTTTTTTAAGACAGAGTCTCACTCTGTCGTCCAGGCTGGAGTACAGTGGTGCAATCACAGCTCACTTCAGCTTTGACCCCCCGGGCTTAAGCAATCCTCCCACCTCAGCCTCCTGGATAGCTGAGTAGCTGGGACTACAGGCATGTGCCTCCATGCCTGGGCTCAAGCGATCCACCCACCTCAGCCTCTCAAATTTCTGGGATTACAGGTGTGAGCCACCATGCTCGGCCCACACTAGCATTTTAATATTTAATGAATATTTTCTATGCAAAGCATTATTCCAATTGCTGCAGTTTATACAGAAAAATAGGTAAGATAGTCTCTGCCCTCATGTGGGTATGGCATCATTTTTTTCTCCCTATCTAACATTTAGGTTATTTCCATATATTTGCTTTTACAAATAATGCTGTGATGAATATCCTTGTAGCTAAGTCCATGCATATGCTCATAATTTTAGAATGATTGTGCTGGCTACTCTCTGTTTGCCCCTCTGGTCTACTCTTCATTCTTGTCTGCCTTGGTCCATGGACCACATCAGGGCTCATTTGCCCTCTGGCAATGTGCAGCTCATGCAGGGCTTTGGGGAGGGCGGTAGAGAAGGGTGGGTGATATATTGTGACTCCTATCCTGCCTCCCTGTAGGCTGTCATTAGCTGCATTCTTGTATTGATGGTTGTGGTGCCTGGGTAGCCCTCTCCCAGAGCTTAGTTCTCAGGATGTTGCAAACCCCAAGGTAATGCACCATTCCTTGTTAGTTTCCTTTAACCTTGCCCTTGCCTTTATAGAGAGTTCTTTATTAAACCTTTCTCACTTACCCCATGTGAGTTTGCCATCTGTTTCCTGGCAGGACCCTGGATGATAAATGCATGCTCCTATTCCTAGCATATTCTGCATCCCTAATTGCTCACCTGCATTGGGAACTTGGGATGGATTGTGTAGGAAGGTCAAGAGCTCCCTTTTTGTTGACTGAAGGACTGGATACCCGTGATCATTGAGCAGCCATCTTCCATTTCTTTCTCCTGGACCCCTCCAGGCTCTGATGGGGATTTCTCAACCTATGCCTGTGGCACTCTGCTGGGGCCCAGAGGAAAGAATCAAGAGAGCCCTTAGTCCTCCTGCTCAGAGCTTTGACCTCAAGTATGTGAGAATTTCACCTTGTTCAGGATGCTCGAAACCTTCCCTAGAGTCCAAGTGAGGTGGGAAAGGTTGTTGTGGTCATTTCTTATCCTTTTAAACACCTGAGCTCACAGCAAAATTTGTTTATTAAATTATTTCTCTAGTTTTAAACAGTATTACAATTTTTTTTTTTTTTTGAGACAGGGTCTCGCTCTGTGGCCCAGGCTGGAGTGCAGTGGCATGATCACGGCTCAATGCAGCCTCAACCTCCTGGGCTCAAGCGATCCTTCCACCTCAGCCTCCCAAGTGGCTGGGACCACAGGTATGCACCACCGTGCCCAGCTAACTTTTGTATTTTTCGTGGAAGTAGGGTCTCCCTGTGTTGCCCAGGCTGGTCTTGAACACCTGGGCTCAAGCCATCTGCCCACCTCAGCCTCTCAAAGTGCTGGAATTACAGGCGTGAGCCACCATGCCTGGCCTATGGTATTCTTATTAAATAGCCAGAAGTATATTTTCAGAGCTTCTAGCTTGGATTAGAGTCCCCTGATACTATTTCTTCTGTGATTCTATCTTTTCTGTGCATCAGTAGAAATGTGTTTTCCTAAAGTCTACAACCAGTTTTACCTTCCTTGCCTTTGGATTTTCAGATAACACAATCAATCCCTTTATTCAAAGGTTCTTCACACTTCTGTTTAATCAATTGTTCTTGACTGTTCAGAATGAAGTGTCTGTCGCATTTCTTTTGTTACCTTCTGTTCAATGAAATTGTTAGCAAGCCTAGTCAAAAATGATCAAATACTCTTCTTTTTGGTGGCAAATGAGAGTTTTCCATGGAGGAGCTTTGGAGGAGGGTTGTAGACAAGGGTGGGTGATATATTGTGACCCCTACCCTGCCTCCCTGTAGGCTGTCATTAGTGCATTCTTGTATTGACGGTTGTGGTGCCTGGGTAGCCCTCTCCCAGAGCTTAGTTCTCAGGAAGTTGCTAACGCCAAGGTAATGCACCATTCCTTGTTAGTTTCCTTTAATCTTGCCCTTGCATACCCTGCATATTTGGGGTCCCCATCGTATTGCCCCGGACCCCGCTCCTTAATAAATTACTGCCTTTGGGAATTCCAGTTCCCAGAGGTGGGCACTAGGAGAAAGTTGGTTTCAGAGTCAGAAAGATCTGGAGTTTAATCTAATCATTATTTATTTATTTATTTATTTATTTATTTATTTATTATTATTTACTTGGCCCTGCCTAAGCAGGACCTCAAAAATTTGGTTATTAATTAATAATTGTTCCTCTCCATGGAAATCTTTAGTAAAAGGCCAAATATTTATTTGTTCTGAAGAGAAACCAGAGCATCCAATATTATTGGCTGTGTGAATCTAAGGCTTCTGCCTTACTGAGTTGCAAGCTTCCTGACTCAGCTCACAGATTATAAGAAGTAAATGGATTGACCTCTACGGAAATAATCAAGCACAGTGTGAGGAACTGTGGTTGCTCAGTCTGTGACTTATCCTCCCCAACTCCCTTTCCCACTTCCTCTTGCCATGCCTCTTCCCTCCTCCCTCTCCCCATCTCCCTCCCCCTTCCCTCTCTTCTACATTTCCCCTTTTCTTGCTACTTTCCATTTCCTGTCCCCACCTCTTCTCCTCCCTACTCCTCATCTCTCCTCTACACTTTCTATATGAGACTAACACGAGGACAAGAGGAATTAAAAACCAAGTCAGAAATATGTCAGATAGTTCCATTTCTCTTTGAAAACAAATCTTAGATGTGCAGGGCATTGTACTCAGAAGGAAAACTCCCAATCATAAATCCAGGCTCCAAAAGGCTTTTCCAATACGCCCCATTTAGTTCATGAACTCTCACCGTGGAGCATCAAGGACACAAAGAATGGCAGGAAACTGCTGATAATGTTCATTATTTTCCCAGTCTTTGAAAAATGCCCGTTTAATGTTTTGGACTGAAGATTTTTCCTGGTGAATCAAAAGATAAACTCTTAAAGTGGTTACATGATATATCAAATGGTCTTATCTGGTGGAAGCCAGCCGGCTAGCTAACATGAGCCAGTTCAGTAATTCTGAGGTGTTTGGAGTCAAGCTGGGAAAGGGATCCTGGGTTTCAGGAAACTGCTGTATCAGCTGATGGGGGCTGCTCTAAATGTTGGCTGGAGAAATGCACTTTGGGCCCTTTGCACCAAAATTTAGATTTACCTGGTTTCTCTTCTCAATTCTTACAAATCCTTAGCTTATCAAGGAAAATCAATGATCTTAAGATCTTTTAAGACTTTGCCCCACAATATGATGACAGAAAATATATTTTATCTTAAAATTTTATTACACTATATTATATATATAAAATAAATAATAAATATAATGTATAATATATATGTAAGTTGTGAAGACTATTGACATATAAACACACAGAGGCTGGAACATTAATATCTGGGTTGTTCTCCATGATGTCTGCCTCTCCCACCAAAATACCTGCTCTCCTGAATTTTGCATTCCCCTTCTTTAAAAACAAACTACTGAGTTTTCTGAGCTTCTTCCTAAGGAGTCAGGAGACTCGTGGTCTGGTTCCTGGATTTTCCTCACAACACAGCTCCCATATGCCTTTCTCCACTCATGCCTCAAAAGGAGAAACCAAGACCACTTTCTCCTCTGAGACAGGCAGAGACATCAGCCTTTCTGGGCTTGCTGAAGAAGGGAGAAAAAAAACTACAAGAAGCTATTGAACATATTGATGAAGTAAAAAATGAAATAGATTTAATGAACTAGCCAGTGAGAAGATTTTGACAGTAGAACAGAAATATAACAAACTCTGCCAACCATTTTTTCAGAAGAGGTCAGAATTGATCCCCCAAATCCCAAATTTTGGGGTAACAGCATTTGTCAGTCATCTGTAATCACCCAACGGATTCTTCCTGCCTGCTGCACAGATAAAATCAATTCACTGAGACCATGGTATTGTAGTAGAGGAAGAGTTTAATTGACACGAGTCCGGCCACGCAGGAGATGGAGTTATTACTCAAATCAGTCTCCCTAAAGGCTTGGAGGTTAGGGGTTTTCAAGGATAGTTTGGTGGGCAGGGGACTAGGGAATGGGAAATGTTGATTGGTTGGGGATGAAATCATAGAGGTGTGGAAAATGGTCTTTGTGCACTGAGTCAGCCTCTAAGTGGGGGCTGTAGGACCAGTTGGGTCATGAGCTGCAGTCACAGTCCAGGTAGAGTCATCTGAGTAGAGTCATCCCATCATCAGAAATGCAGAAGTCTGAAAAAATATCTCGAAAGGCCAACCTTAGGTTCTACAGTAAGGATGTTACCTACAGAAGTAATTAGGGAAGTTACAAATCTTGTGAACCCTGGAACAGTTGTTTATGCTTACAATTTAACAGAATTTTGGCCCCTCTCATAATCCTAAACTTGTGGGCTTTGATTCATTTTACAAAGGTGGTGGTGGTTTAGTTTTGGGAAGGGCTATTATCATCCTTGCTTTGGTTAAACTCTAAACTAAATTATTCCTCAAATTAGCTTAGCCTATACCCAGGAATGACAAAGGACAGCTTGGAGGTTAGAAGCAAGATGGAGTCAACTATGTCAGATTTATCTTACTCTCATAATTTTGCAAAAGTAATTTCACATCTGTAAGTGTCTGCACTGCTTGGGGAAGAGGAAGAAGAGGCACCTTGAGCAATATACAATGGGAAAAGAGTCTCTACCCCTTTCTGTTTCAATTCATTTTTATCCCTTTCTGTCTCAACGAAAACTGTATGGAATCAACACCACTGAGCTCTGCGGGAAAAAAGAAAAATCTGCTTCCTTTGCTCTGCTGGAAGCAGAAGGGTGTTAGGCCCCTGTGTGGTAGAGCATAGAATTCTAGCTTTTTTCCTTCTCAGAAAGAACACTGTGTCTCTTTGTGAATAAGGACAATTAGCATTTACCAACATGCATCCGTCTACTTTCTCTTGTTTAAAAACATAAAAAAGAATTTTTTAAAATGGGGTTCTAGGAAGTCAGTAAAGGTTAGGTTTGAGATGTTTGGATGGGTGAAGTGGGCATTTTGACAACATGGTTTCTCCTTTGGTATGTTTAATTGTGGTTTTTTTTTTTAAGCATCAGTTTGGTGAAAAATAATTTTGATGTTTACCAGGCATCCTTGCAGTTTAAGATGACACTAAAAATGAATTCTCTCCTACTGATGACTTGAGCCCTGCCACTTGCTAGAAGAATCAGCAGAACCTGTAGGATCTCATTTGGAATTGGCATGCTCTATTGTAATTTTGTCCGTGTTTATTTTTAAATTTTGATTTACTGGAAAGGAAAGATGATGCTCAGTTTTAAATGTTAAACGTGTACAAGTTGCTTTTGTTACAAAAGACTAAATGTGTACACAAAAACAAAAAAAAATTACTCTTACCAGATGCATTTCTGAACAATTTGTTTAGTTTTGCTTGTTTTTGAGCTTTATGCAAATGTCATAATAATGTATGTAGTGTTTTTTTCCTTCAAGTTTCTAACATTTATCAGTTCATCCGTATCATCGTTTGTAGTTGGTATTCATTTCTTTTTACTAGTGCCTTTGGCCAGGCACGGTGGCTCACGCCTGTAATCCCAGCAATTTGGGAGGCCAAGGTGGGTGAGGTCAGGAGTTTGAGACCAGCCTGGCCAACATGGTGAAACCCCGTCTCTACTAAAAATACAAAAAATTAGCTGGGCTTGGTGGCAGACGCCTGTAATCCCAGCTACTTGGGAGGCTGAGGCAGGAGAATCGCTTGAACCCGGGGGGTGGAGGTTGCAGTGAGCCCATATCACGCCACTGCACTCCATCCTGGGCAACAAGAGTGAAACTCTGTCTCAAAAAACAAACAAACAAACAAACAAAACACCACAACTAGTGCCCTTACATTTCATTTGGTGAATGTACACAATTCATTTATCCATACCACTGTCTATAAATATTTTGGTTGTTTATTGTTTCTGGGTGTTTGCATAATAGTCTTGCTAATGTAGATGAGACATATATTAATAAGAGAGCTGGTCACGGTGGCACATGCCTGCAGTCTCAGCTACTCAGGAAGCTGAGGCAGGAGGACCATTTGAGACCAGGAGTTCAAGGATGTAGTGCACTATGATTGTTCCTGTGAATAGCCATTGCACTCCAGCCTGCGCAATATGGCAAGACCCCATCTCTAAAAACAAAAAAGAATTATAAGAATTTTTATTATTCCTTTGTCGAATTGTCATAAACACTAGGTTAATTTTTCTAGTGTCCCTTTGCTCTTTTTCTCATTTCATCATTGCGATTCATCACCTAAAGAAACTTAGATGCAGGAAAAAAATAAATGATTTGCCCATGCTCTGTTATCACTGCTGTTATTTTCACTGCTGTCAACTCCAAGAATGAGTTAAGTCCTCTCTTGATTCTTCTTGTCCAAACAAAGAAGAGTGCCTTCCATTCTGATACCAGAATTTGAAAGATATTTATTATGATCTCATAAATTTATGACCCAAGAGGCAGTGTGTTATAGAGAAAATAATGTAAGCTCCGGAAGCAGGAAGATTTGGGTTTTAAAATGCTGGCATCAGCACTGGTGCTAGGGGAAGTGTTGTGCAAATTACTTTATTCTAAACCTCATTTTCTCATCTGCAAAATGGAGATAGCAATGTCTTCCTCTAAGGATGGCACACTAATTATATCAGGGAAGATGTGTGAAAGGTCCAGTCATCACATTATAAAATAAGGAACAGAGGGGGCTCACAGCCTGACCAGTGGAACTCATGATCCTACCCTAAAACCGACTCAGGTGGAATAAAAAGAGATCAGTTCTGGCTTGTTCAATTTCTGACATTTCCATGGATGGGTCTGGCCCAGAACACAGATTAGTGAGGTCTTTTGTTCACTGGATGGTAATATAATGTCTTGATTTTCTTCAGGATATCAGATTTTTCTTCCAAAACCTATCTTATGGGTTTTTTTTTTTTTTTTTTTTTTTTTTTTTTGAGACAGAGTCTAGCTCTGTTGCCCAGGCTGGAGTGCAGTGGCCTGATCTCAGCTCACTGCAACCTGCGCCTCCCGGGTTCAAGCAATTCTCCTGCCTCAGCCTCCCAATTAGCTGAGACTACAGGTGCACACCGCCATGCCCGGCTAATTTTTTGGATTTTTAGTAGAGACGGAGTTTCATTGTGTTAGCCAGGATGGTCTCGATCTCCTGACCTCGTGTCCGCCTGCCTCGGCCTCCCAAAGAGTTGGGATTACAGGCGTGAGCCACCGCGCCCAGCCTTTTGTGGGTTTTTTTTTTCTTTTTCTTTCTTTTTTTTTTTTGCTATGAGGAGGGGTTTTAATGAAGAGACTCTTTACAAAGAGTCACCCTCATCCCCTCATCTTGTGGGTTGTTTTTAACAGTTCTTTCGGCTGGTCGCCGTGGCTCATGCCTGTAATCCCAGCACTTTGGGAGGTGGAAGCAGGTGGATTACCAGAGGTCAGGAGTTTCAGACCAGCCTGGCCAACATGGTGAAACCCCATCTCCACTAAAAATACAAAAGTTAGCTGGGCGTGGTGGTGGGCGCCTGTAATCCCAGCTACTCTGGAGGCTGACGCAGGAGAATCTCTTGAAGCCGGGAGGTGGATGTTGCAGTGAGCCGAGATTGTCTGCACTCCAGCCTGGGCGACAGAGCGAGACTCTGTTTAAAAAAAAAAAAAAACCAACCAACCAAACAAACAACCCCGTCCCCCCGACCCCCCACCCCCGTCAGTTCTTTCATGCTGAGATAATAGCATAAAATTTCTTTGTACTTTCTGTTTGGCTGTGAAGGAAACCAGAATGTGTCACCTCAAAATATGCCTCTTTGACATAAATATTTTTGAGCTAAAGGCAAATAAGAATCAGCAATCAGAGGAAGAGCTCTTTCTATTCCCCACCCCTTCACTTTTTGCCTAAAGAGAGGACATAAATTCTCCTTTACTGGAGACAACTCTTATCAGCTCAGAGATGGCACCAGAGGAATCTACTAACAAAACTTGCTCCATTAGGTTACTCCCATGTATTGACCTTTCCATGGTTTCCCACCTTTGGAAGCCTAAAACTGCTTTTCTTTGTGTGTTACTTCCCTAAAATTCATGGTTCTTTGTTAAAGATGCTATATAAACCAGAGTTCTAAGCCACTGCTTTGAGTTACCTGTCACTGAGATTTCTTTTATGTGATGTGCACTGCATGGTTAATAAAATTGCTTGTTTTTCTGTTGTTAATCTGTCTTTTGTTACAGGGGTCAGTCCTAACTATGAACTTATGAGGGTTGAGGAGAAGTTATACTTCCTCCCTGACCCAGAACACAGATTAGTGGAAATCTGGCCAGGCGCGGTGGCTCACGCCTGTAAATCCCAGCTCTTTGGGAGGCCGAGGCAGGCGGACACGAGGTCAGGAGATCGAGACCATCCTGGCTAACACAATGAAACTCCGTCTCTACTAAAAATCCAAAAAATTAGCCGGGCATGGCGGTGTGCACCTGTAGTCTCAGCTAATTGGGAGGCTGACACAGGAGAATTGCTTGAACCCGGGAGGCGCAGGTTGCAGTGAGCTGAGATCACGCCACTGCACTCCAGCCTGGGCAACAGAGATAGACTCTGTCTCAAAAAAAAAAAAAAAAAAAAAACCCATAAGATAGGTTTTGGAAGAAAAATCTGATATCCTAAAGAAAATCAAGACATTATATTACCATCCAGTGAACAAAAGACCTCACTAATCTGTGTTCCGGGCCCAAATCTGTGTTCTGGAAAGAAAGAAAAATAAATGATCAGTGTATAAAAATTAAGGAGAGCATGCTGGATTCTATTGGATAGAAATTTAAGTTAATTAATGCGAATTCATGTTAAGGCTATCACATCACATAAAGCATTTAAACCCAGATATTGAACCAGAGCTCATAAGAATTGTGATCCTGTCTGTCTTGTTTTCTGCTCTAGCCCCAATGCCTAGCCCAGTGTCTGCACATAGTACTTGCTCAATAAATATTTAATAAATGAATGAATAAGTAAAAGGGTTACCTCTTTTTATCTTTTCTTATTGTTAAAATCATATTCTTGTTCTGTTCCAAATCTTGAATAACTGAGGCTTGGAATATCATGAGAGTTTGTTAACAAGTAAGCATTTCCCTTTTGGAGCATTTATTTTTGAAATGCAAATATTCCTAGGAATAACAGTTTAAAATTATATATACTTAATGTATACAACTTGATAATTTGATATACGTATACATTGTGAAATGATTACCACAATCAAGATAATTAACATACATACTACCTCGCATAGTTCCGTGTGTGTGTGTGTGTGTGTGTGTGTGTGTGTGTGTGTGGTGAGAACACTCCGGATCTACCCTGCTAGCAAATTTTAAGTGTACAATACAGTATTGTTACCTATAGTCACCATGCTATACATTAGATCTCCAGAACTTATTCATCTTGCACAACTGAAACTTTGTACCCCTCGTCCAACATCTCCACATATCCCTGTCCTCCCAGCTCCTGGTAATCACCATTCTCTGCTTCTATGAGTTTATGAGTTTGACTACTTTATATTCCACATATAAGTAAGATCATACAGTATTTGTCTTTCTGTGTCTGGCTTATTTCACTTAGCATAATACTCTCCAGGTCCATCCATCTTGTGGCAAATGCAGGGTTTTCTTCTTTTTAAAGGCTGAATAATGTTCTATTGAATGTGTATGCCACATTTTCTTTATCCATTCATCTACTAATGGACAGTTAGGTTAATTCCATATCTTGGCTTTTTATGAATAATGCTGTAAGGAACATAGGAGTACAGGTATCTCTTTGAGATCCTGATTTCAATTTTTTTGGATAAATACCCAGAAGTGGGATTGCTAGGTCATACGGCAGTTCTATTTTTAATTTTTTGAGGATTCTGTCTTCATACTATTTTCCATAATAGGTGTACCAATTTAACTTCCCACCAACAATGTGCCAGCATTTCCTTTTCTCCACATTCTCACCAGCATTTGTTATCCATTTTTTTAAAAATAAAAACCATCCTAACAGGTATGGGTGACATCTCATTGTGGTTTTGATATGCATTTTCCTGATTAGTGATGTTGAGCACTTTTTCATATACCTGTTGGCCATTTGCGTGTCTTCTTTGGAAAAATATCTATTTAGATCCTCTACCCATTTTTAAATTGGGTTCTATTTTTTGCTATTGAATTTTAAGAGTTCCTTATATATTTTAGATATTAACCCCTTATCAAATATGTGGCTTGCTAATATTTTCTCCTATTCCATAGGTTGCCTTTTCATTTTCATGATTATTTCTTTGCTGTGAAGAACCTTTTTAGTTTGATATAGTCCCAACTTGTTTATTTTTGCTTTTGTTTCCTGTGCTTTTTGTGTCATATCCAAAAAATTGCTGCCAAGATCAGTGTCAAGGAGCTTTTTATCCATGTTTTCTTCTAGAAGCTTTATGGTTTTAGGTCTTGCATTTAAGTCTTTAATCATTTTGAGTTGATTTTTGTGTATGGTATAAGATGAGGGTCCAATCTTATTCTTTTGCATGTGGGTATCCAGTTTTCCCAGCACCACTGATTGAAGAGACTATTTTCCCCCATTGTGTATTCTCGGCACTTTTGTCCAAGATTAGTTGACCATATATCCGTGAGTTTATTTCTGGGCTTTCTATTCTTTTCCACTGGTCTATGCCCGTACCACACTGGGCTTTTCTTTGCTTTTGATTACTGATTCAATCTCCTTACTCACAATCTGTTTTTGACATGATTTACTGAATATTTTAAACCCACTGTTGAGACTTACTGCTCAGAAAAAAAAAATCCTTTCAAAATATTACTTCCCATTTACAATGTACCTGATCACCCAAAAGTTCTGATAGAGATGCACAGCTCTGATAGAGATGTTGTTTTCATGCCTGCTAATACAACATCCATTCTGCAGCCCATGGATCAAGGAGTCATTTTGACTTTCAAGCCTTATTATTTAAGAAATACATTTCATAAGGCTATAGCTGCCATAGATAGTGAGTCCTCCGATGGATCTGGGCAAAGTCAATTGAAAATCTTCTGGAAAGGATTCATCATTCTAGATGCCATTAAGAACATTTGTGATTCATGGGAGAAGGTCAAAATATCAACATTAACAGGAATTGGAAGAAGTTGATTCCAATCCTTATAGATGACTTTGAGGGTTCAAGATTTCAGTGGAAGAAGTATTTGCAGATGTGGTAAAAATATCAAAAAAAACAAAACAACAACAACAACAAAAAGCTAGAATTAGAAGTGGAGTCTGAAGATATGACTGAATTGCTACAATCTCATGACAAAGCTTGAATGAGGAGTTGCTTCTTATGGATTAGCAAAGCAAGTGGTTTCTTGAGATAGAATCTACTCCTGGTGAAGGCACTGTGTGCATTGTTGAAATGACAATAAAAGATATAGAATATTCCATATTCTTAGATGATAAGGCAGTGGCAGGGTTTGAGAGGATTGACTCCAGTTGTGAAAGAAGTTCTACTGTGGGTAAAATGCTATCAAACAGCATCACAGGCTACAGAGAAATATTTTGTGAAAGGAAGAGTCAATCAATATGGCAAAGTTCATTGTTGTCTTATTTTAAGAAATTATCACAGCCATCTCTACCTTCAGCAACCACCATCCTGATCAGTCAGCAGCCATCAATGTGGAGGCAAGACCTTCCACCAGCAAAAATATTATAACTCGCTGGAGGCTCAGATGATTGCATTTTTAGCAATAAAGTATTTTATATTAAGGTATGTACTTATTTTTAGACATAATGCCATTGTACACTTAATAGACTATAGTATAGTATGAATGTAACTTTTATATGCACTGGAAAACCAAAACATTCCTGTGACTTGCTTTATTGTGATATTTGCTTTATTACAGTGGTCTGAAATCAAACCCTCAATATCTCTGAGGTATGCTTGTATTTCTTTCCTTCTGCTGACTTTGGGCTTAGTTTGTTCTTTTTTATTTATTTATTTATTTTTTAAAAAACATTCCTTGAGGTGATCTTTTTCTTCTTATTTTGGAAATCTTTCTTTTTTCTTTTTCTTTCTTTCTTTTTTTTTTTTTGAGTTGGAGTCTCGCTCTGTCACCCAGGCTGGAGTGCAGTGGCACAATCTCGGCTCACTGCAAGCTCCACTTCCCGGGTTCACGCCATTTTCCTGCCTCAGCCTCCCGAGTAGCTGGGACTACAGGCACCCACCACCACGCCTGGCTAATTTTTTTTTGTATTTTTAGTAGAGACGGGGTTTCACTCTGTTAGCCAGGATGGTCTCGATCTCCTGACCTCGTGATCTGCCCATCTCGGCCTCCCAAAGTGCTGGGATTGCAGGCATGAGCCACCGTGCCTGGTGTTTTTTTTTGTTTTTTGTTTTCTTTTTTCTTATGTAGATGTTGATCACTATAAACTTAGAACTGTTTTTGCTGCATCCCATAAATTTGTATGTTGTATTTCCATTTTTGTTTGTGTCAAGATATTTTTTGATTTGCCTTCTGATTTCTTCTCTGACCCATTGGTTGTTCGGGAATGTGTTGTTTAATTTCTCCTTATTTGCAAATTTTTCAGTTTTCTTCCAGCCATTGATTTCTAGTTTCATACCATTGTGGTTGAAAAGATATTTGACATGATTTTGACCTTTTTAAACTTATTGAGACTTCTTTTGTGGCCCAATATATAATCTCTTCTGGAGAATATTCCATGTGTGCTGGAGAAGATTGTGTATTCTGCTGCTGTTGGATAGGATGTTCTGTCTATGTCTGTCAGGTCCATTTGGTCTATAGTGTTGTTCAAGTCTGCCGTTTCTTTATTGATTTTCTGTCTGGATGATCTATCCAATGCAGAGTGGTGCTGAAGTCACCTGGGAGTAAAGTTGTGATGCTAAAGGGCTAATGGATAAGGTGAATGTGGCTAATGCTAAGGCTTGTCTCTCAACCTTGATTCTCATGGAGGGGACATGAAGAAGGGAACAGGACATCACAAAGACCTTTTAAAAATGGAATTAGGTTAACCTAAAGCTTTTCTGCTGATAGCTTGCTGATATTCATGGGAAGAAGGAAGGAGACTGGCTGAATGGGAGCAGAAAAGGAGGAAGGCTTAATCTCAAAGCCCAGACCACTGTGAAAGAAGGGAGGTTTGAGTGGAGGGGCCCTGAGCAACCTGAAGGGAAACTACAGGATAGTACACCCTACATGAAGAAGGGAAGGCCCGGCAGACAAACCTTGTCTACATGCCCTTTCTGTAGGGGGTATATGAATAGAGTTATGGTATCCTTCCAAAAAGGTCACAGAGGTTTCAAGGTGAAGAGTAATAGCATTCATTCATTCATTCAGCAAACATACAGTGACTGCCTTTATTATGTCAGGCACTCTTCTAGGTTCTTGAGATACAGGAGGGAAGAAAGCAGACAGAGATTCCTGCCCACCTGGAGGTTATATTCTGGTGGGGAAAGACAGACAATAAACAGAAGACACAATATAATGTGTTAAGAAGTGAAACTAGGCTGGGACATGGTAGTGTGCATGTCTGTAGTCCCAGCTATTCAGGAGGCTGAGCTGGGAGGATCGCTTGAACCCAGGAGTTCAAGGCCAGCAGCCTAGGCAATCTAGCAAAAGCTTGTCTTCTTGTCTCCAAAAAAAAAAAAAAAAAAAAAAACAGTGATACTAGCAGTAGAAAAACAAAACCAAACAAAACCATGCAACAGGATAAGGGGCACTGGATGTGGGAGGAAAAGGGGAGCCATTGGAGAATTTTGAGCAGAGAAAGCAACATAATCTTAGGTCATAGAAGGGTCTATGCCTCTTGCTGCTAGTGTGTATGTGTGGCAGGGACAGGTGTAGGCGGGAAGACATGCTGGGGGGCTATTATAGTTATTCAGGCAGGAGGTAAGGTGCTTGCACCAGGACGGTACCAGTGAAGTGGTGAAAGTTCAGATTCTGGATATATTTTGAAGATAAAGCTATCAGGGTTTCTTGATGATTGGATATGGGGTGACAGAAGACGAGAGGACTTGAGAAAGTGTCAAGATTTTTTGCCTGAGCAATTGGAAGCCAGGTGTTATCATTCCCTGAGATAGGGTAGACTGCTGATAGAGAAGGTTAGGGGGAAAAAGATTTGGGAATGTTAATTTGAGATGTCTGTTGCATGGAATTGTTGAAAGTAAGAGCCTGGAGTCTGGAGAGAAGTCTGAGCTGGATATATAATTGGGAGGGAGTTAAGAGCATGTAGGTAGAATTTAAAGCTTTGAGACAGAATGAGATCATTCAGGGTGTGACAGAGAAGAAGAGACAGCCAGCATTGATTCCAGGGAACGAAGAGGAACCATCCAAAGAGCACTGAGAAGATCCAACCAGTGAGATGGGAAAACCAATAGAGGGTAGGGTTCTGGAAACCGAGTGAAGACCATGTAGCAGGGAGAAGAGTTTATGGGTTGTGCCAAATGCTGCTGTTTGCTCACGGGAAGAGGAGATTTGGCCATAGATTCAGCAATGTAAAGATCACTAGTGCACTGTAGAGAGTGGGGTCAGTGGAATGAGGGGGTCAAGGGCATAAGTGAAGTGGATGTAAGGGAGAATGAGAGGAGAGGAATTGAAAATGGCAAGAATAGAGAACTATTTTGAGGAAAGACTTACCTTCCTAGAAAGCTATTTGGCAATACATTTAGAATAAATAAAGAAATAATTTTTATTTATTAAATGCAAATTATTAACATGGGAAAATTAAATACTATAATTTTTAATCAATATTCTTTAAACAGGATTTTCCCTGACACAGTAGTTCTAAGAAGTTGTTGTTGTTGTTGTTTTGAGACAGGGTCTCACTTTCTCGTCCAGGCTGGGGTGCAGTGGTGCCATCATGGCTCACTGCAGCCTTGACCTCCTGGGCTCAAGCGATCCTCCCACCTTGGCCTCCCAAAGTGTTGGGATTACAGGTGTGAGACCCCACATCCAGCCTGTTGTTGTTTTTAAGAAAAAAATCAGAGATTTGCATCAAAGTCTATATCTTTTGACACAAGGATGCACATCATGGCATCATTTATGATATGAAAAAAAATGGAGACAACCTGAATGTCCAATAGGAGTGAGGTTAAAATTAATCATGGTACTTCCAGTTTATAAAATAAGCCATTAAAATATTTTTTTTCAAAAACTATTGGTGAAATAGGTTAATGGTTACTAGGGATTTTAAGTGAAAAATAAAACAGGCTATAAAACTAAGTAACAAGGTTATCTTAATTACATGGACAATGTTGACAAAGAAATAATGTATGTGCCAGCTGTGTTTCTCCAGGCTTTTCCATTCTGCTTATACAAATAGAGTTAGAAGAACAAAACCAATGCACATACCATTGGCTATTCTTCCCACCCATGTCTGGGACGTCAGGTCACTGTAAAGGGCCTCTTGAGAGATTCCAGGAGTTCCTCAGGAACTGTCATTCCTGCTGGGTGCTGTCATATTCACTGTGCATTTTAAACAACTGGACCTGTAAGGTCCTGGAGCAGCAGGGTGGTCTGTGGTAGAGGGAGGTCTTTGGTCTCCTCTTGCTCTTGCGTTGCTCTGAGTTTGAGGGTGCTGAGCAGAGCTCTTTATTTGCAGAGTCCTACACAGTTTCAGGTTTTACAGTCCCCTGCTCTCAGTTGGGGGCTGAGCCAGGGGAAGAATCTGAGTGGTGGAGCCTGGGCCCTGGAACAAGACTATTCTGACCCTGCCAGTTACCGTCTGCCTGGACTTGGGCAAGTTATTTCCCCCACCCTTGCTGCCTTCATTTCCTCATCTAAAAATGGGAATAAATTGTTCCAGTTATCTGTTGCTGTGTAACAGACCACCACCTCGTGGCTTAAAACATTAATTTTGCTCATAAATCTGCCATTTGGGCCAGGGTCAGTGGGGACAGTTTGTCTTTGCTCTGCTTCACGTCAGCTGGGGTGGCTGGAAGGCTGGGGCTTGAATCATTCAAAGGCCCACTCACTCAGTTAACTGGCGGTTGATTCTGGGTGTCGGCTGGGATCTGAGCTGGGACAGTGACTGGATCTCCCACTCATGCCTTTCCATGTGGCTTGAGCTTCCTCAGAGCACGGTGGCTGGGTTTCCAAGGCAAGAGAGCTGGGTGAAAGCTGCATGCCAGGACCACCTGGGGGCTTTTAAAAAATGTCTGGCTTCCAACCCCAGAAATTCTGACTTCATTGGTCTGGGATGGATGCAGATATTGCTCCCCAGGTGGTTTTGTGTGGCCAACATTAAGAACCACTGCTCTCATGGAGAGCACATGAAACAGATTTGGCCTCCCAGCCGACTACTACAAGCAGTGAATTTTATTCATCATCTTTTGGGCTCAAGAGGTTCCAGTCATGTGATGTGATGTTCAAAGTGCTGCCAAAGAAATAAGATCAGGGAAATGCTCAAAACAGTAGGATAAATAAGTACAATTACTAGAGCTCCACAGCTACCCTCTGGCTGCTTCAGATTGATAAGTGGATGAACCTGGAGCCTGTGTATTTTGCCAGGGATATTCTGGCAAAGTGGAAAGGCTGAGCTGAAGAACTAGACTGAGACTCCTAGGTGGCCTGTACTTGAGGTGGCAGTTTGATGAGTCAGGTGCCAAGTAGAGTTTTCCCTGTCATTCCTGCAAATTGATTAATCTCTACATCTGAGAAAACCTCTGTGTTATTATTTTATCAATAGCTAAAAGGAGCAGATGAAGATGAATTTTAGCCAGGGCACATCCGAGGGGCTCTTAGTAGATACCACAAGGAATTAAGATCCTGTTACGTTTTAACCTGACACAAGATGTCACCATTGCTCCTGTGCTTTTAGCAATAACAGTATGAAGTCAAACAGCTGTAAGCGTTTGACTCCCCAGTTATACAAGTTGTTTGTTTTTCCACCTCACAGGGAGAAGAGTGAATAACGCTGTCAATGAGGCTTGTTAATCTGTAGCCCATTCCATCCATTCAAGTTAAAGTATTTATTGCATAAACACGTATTTGATTTTTCCCCCTTGTTCCAGCTATGGATCAAGATTAACATCTCTTTGTGAACACTTCACGTGGAGACTTTGGTGAAGGTGACTAAAACAAGATAAGCTGAAATTTTTACAGGATAACTGGAAAATTGCATATTGTGTTTTTGTTTGGCTTCACCGCTGCTGACAATGTTGAAATGATCTCCAGGTACCATGCTTAGTTTGGTGCCACAGTGGAAAAAAGGCATGGACATTAGTCCAGGTTACCAATGGTTAAAAAGCAGAGTGGGTAAAAACTCTTTGGAGGCCTAAAACATCATTGGCAATGTTGCCAAGATGGAGAAAACTGCGCTTACAGAATTTTTTTCACACACAGCACTGCACATGGTTGGAAGGAATACTTTGCAAAGTTGGTTGGAGGTGAGGAAGGCGTGAACTCAAAGTACAGCTGAGTGAAGTGTGGGATTTTAGGGTGGTGTTGCTTTACTGGGAACGTTAAGAGAGGCTGGGAGTACCAAGCACCCTTAGACTCTGTTGTTCCCCTACACTACCCCTACTCTTCTCTCTAGAAACACTGAACATCATCTACAGAATATCTGTTTGAGGAAGTTCCAAATTATTACTCTGCTGTGTGTGTGTGTGTTTTTCTTCTGTCACCCAGGCTGGAGTGCAGTGGCATGGTCATAGCTCACTGCAGCTTCCACCTCCCGGGCTCAATAGATTCCCCCACCTCAGCTTCCTGAGTAGCTGGGACTAAAGGCACATGCCACCACACCCAGCTAATTTTTGTATTTTTTGTAGAGACAGGGTTTTGCCATGCTGCCCAGGCTGGTCTCAAACTTCTGGGCTCAAGTGATACATCTGCCTCATCCTCTCAAACTGCTGGAATTACAGGCGTGCACTGTGGCTGGCTGTTGTATTTTTTTTTCTTTCTTTTTTTTCACCAAAGTATTAATATCAATTGACTGAAGCCTGTGGAATTACAGTGATAAATTTCTTTGTTTTCCAATTTTTCTATAATGAGTATATAACTAGAAAAAAACCCTTCAAAACCATATGATTCCAGAGATTTATAGTAAAGAGAGATGTTGCATGTTATTAGTTAAAAATATATTATTGTCATCTACTTCCTAGTCAACCCAGATTAAGATGTATCTAAAGCTCTGAATCAATCAGGGTCCTGGGAGGAGGTACATGACACATTCAAATTAGGTGGTTTGAAGAGAATTTAATAAAAGGACTGTTTCCAAAGGTGCGGGCAGAGTGTAGGGAAACTGTAAGGGAGAATGCAGTACCTGAGGGTAGAACAGTGGAGCTGTTACCACCATTAAGTCTGGAGAACAAGAGGAGAGAGAGCTTTGTGGACCACCCAATGGGTGTCGTAATCTGCATTGGAGAATTGTAGACAGCCTATGCTGCCAACACATGGAGGGAGCTGGCACATTAATGACCTGATCTAAATCAATCTTCTCTCTCACTCCAATCCCACCTATTAGCCAATTCAAGTAGGAGTATTAATGCCGTCCATAGGATTCGACTTCCCAGGACACTGAACAGAGAGGAGCTGGGGAAAGAGTAAATCTGAGAAGGAAATGGAAGATGTACAGCAATGCTTTTTTTTTTTTAGAAGCGCTACATTTTATTCAACTCTTACTTGAGTCAGAGATAAAATTGACCCCCATTACACATTCTTTTTGTAAGTAAGTAGGAATATAGTTTAAAGATATAGTTAAGGATATAGTTAAGGAGGCTGGTGGATACTCCAGAGCGGGGCCATGAGGTGTTGTGGTTCAAATAGTTCAAATTCCCACTCTGTTACTTACAGGCTAGGTGACCTTGAAAACATATTTAATTTACTTGAGGCTTTGTTTCTTTATCTGCAACTGGAGATAATAATACACATTCGATGGATTTATTTTGAGGATTAAATGTATATAATGTGTTTAACACACACCTCACACTTAGCAAGGGCTCAATAAATACATTTGTTAGTAAAGACTCAATATAAGCTTAGTTTAGTGGAAACAGTGCATACATAAATGGGGCTTGTCAATTGGTGGATCTCATTGTAAGGCGATTAAGAGGGCACCTGGATGTTCTTTGGGGATCCCCATATGTTAGTATCTTAGGTGTTTTCTCAGGGATCATTCTCTTATCTGGACAGTAAATGAGTGGCTGTTGATGTTCTCAGAGCCAAGTTGGGGAAGGAGCTGGGAGGATATCACTATTTGGGATGTAATAACTTCGAGTAAATTCCTCCATTTTCAGTTTAGCACCCCTGCCCTCAGCTACGGCTTTTGTTTTTAAAGCTTTCTGCCACTCAACCTTCAGAGGTACCTGGTGACTCCAATTCCTGAGCATCCCTGAGATCTTGCAGCCTGAACTGGCTTTTTCTTGCCACTGCTACCTGACTCCGAATCCTTGCAGAAACTTAGGTTTTAGCTTTCTTCTAAATCAGCTGCCACTTAGCCATCTGCTTCCCAGCTTTCAAAGTTTTATGGCCATTTCTCATTTGCTGCCATCTACTCTCTCATTCTTTTTGACCTTATGGCCTTCCTTTAAAAAAAATCCTCTTTCCTGCTACAATTAACCCAAGATCTTCTAATCCTCATTTTGTTTTGTATCTAAAACTGAATGGGTGCTCAGGAGAAACTACAAGTAGCTTAAGGTTATTCAGCTTCTCAGGGTCACTTTTCCCCAAGCACTCACCTGCCAGATATCTTAGGAAGCCCCATTTCCACCTTATAAACTTACTTTTCTTTGCTGTGTTGATTCTTCCTGAGACATTTGGCCCATTAAACCCAGTGCATTACATATTCCCCCATTTCACTTTAGAGTCCAGTTTTTTTTTTCTTTTATTTCTGAGAAGACTGGAGGTGTGCACATGATTAGGATTGAAATGAATGAATTTATACTCTATTTATAGAAATTTGGTGACATGTCTCCCAAGGTATAAATAGAACAATGGGTGTTGACAAGATTTTCTGTAACCGTGGATACCCTGCAATTATTCTTGAATCATACTCATTGTTTATCTGTATCTGAAATTTAACAAACAGGGCTCTTGCTACTAACTCAGAATTTTTCCAATGAAAACATGTCTCCCATAATTATTCTCTTCTCATGAGTCAGGCTGCATCTTTCAAGTTTAAATTCAGCTAATACATTTCAGTGGGTTGAATCAATCATTGTTCTTGGATAATGACTGAAAATTCATGATAAAAATAATAACAATGGTGATAACAATGATGACAGTGTTGTAATAAAAGCAAAATATTCCAACAGAGTAGTTTGAAAAGCACCTGGCACTAGATCATCTACAATGACATCTGCAATCCTTCCAGTTCATCCACTTGGATGCAACACTTGGGAGAATATCTGCAGAATGCATTGGTCCACCTAGCTTTACATGCTTCAGGATTGTTTTCAGTTTTTGTATTCCACAAAAGCTCTCTCCAGAGTAAGTAACACTATGTAACCAGTTCAGTGAATATTCCATTTGATATACTTAAACTGGTTGACCATTCAGCAATTCACTTTGTTTTACACTCCATTTCCTCATTTGTAATATAGTATGCCATAGACATTTCAAGTATAACTTAAAATTGTTTTTAAGCTTCTGAGTTTGTAGCAAAGCATATATTTTTCTTGGATGTTTTCTTTCTTCTGGGGTTCTGGCATTCTCTGAGTTAGCCATACTCCATTTATAATGATCCACTTTATTATAGCTAAAACCTGTCATATCATTACATCTCAAATAACCAAAATACATCTCTGAAAAATATTCTAGAAAGTTTTTCTGATGCCAGGAGCAGATTTGAATTATTCTTATTGTTCTAATACATGTTAAAGCAACTTGTTTTTATCCAGCTCTCTCTCTTCTTTTTATTAATCACATAGTTTTATAGAATATATGCATAATATTTAATATAAGTCAATATTCTAATAAAAATGAAGTCTTCAAAATGCTTAGGTTTCATTAAAAAATTAGTGTAAAACTACAGCCTTGGGGAGGTATTCCCTAAACTCCCTTCTGGATGCAGAATTACATTGGATTTGATTTCCATATGGTTTTATGGTTTCCCTGGAGAAAGTCAAATGCTTTGGGAACTGTGACAACAATGCAAGGAGTGAAGGGGAAGTTACCTCATTTCAAGGAATAGAAGGGAACAGTATTCACTGAGGAGGATTTCCATTGGGAATAGGGAGTGTTGGACCAATAGTTAAAGTACTTATGGGAAAAGGAAGTATAAAAATTAAATCTGGCACCACAAACTCTCTTGAAAACCAACCTCTAGGTTGGGATGGAACTCCGGGCATCTGTAAACGAGGGCATGTCTCTTGTCCTGTCCCACTTGGGAGTTCATATCTAGTTCTGACTAACACCTGCCATGAAGAAGCATTGCTCGGGTGAATGCTCCTATAATTCCTTGTACAACGTAGCATTGGCTTTCTTTGATAATCTTACCCCTAAAACATTTGCCTTTTCCATCAAAGAATAAAAGATAATGTTTCTGATCTTGGGTATTCTGTGTTCTGTATTAAAAAAATATCACTCTGGAAGATATCTAGCTTTAAATCATAGGCTAATGTGAAATTCATAAGAATTTTGTTATGATAGAAAAATATTAAATTGGACATAAACATTTAGAATAGCTACTTTATTCTCACTGGTATTCTCATGGCAGAAGATATACATTTTTATTCCTCCAAGGAAAATATGTAGTAACTTTACCCCAGAAGCCAGTCTCCATTCTAATTGTATTAGGCGTACTCTATCTGTAGCATTGTCATTCCATCAGACAATTTGCAATAAATTTTAATGATACATGCAAATACACCAATCTAATAGTCCATTATAAAAGATATGACTGACTGTTATCACTTTTTTCCAGCAATTTCTATGATTTCTCACGTCCTGCTGGTAAACAGTTCCAGAAGGCAGGGAACGCAATGTTTTCTTGTTCTTTGTTTTTTAACAGCAAGGCATATCAGAGTGAAAAGGGAAGACTAAAAAAAAAGTAGTATTGCTCTTTTCTTGTATCTGCATTAAAATTTTTATAGACTTTCATAACCTGGCATAATTCTGAGTTTTGATTTAAAAACCACCCACAAGTAGTTATGTGTAGATGTTTTTCTTGTTTCCCTTGCTTTGGCATTCTTTTTGATCCATTCCTCAGTGGTGCTATCTCTATACACCAAGTGCAGGAAAACATAGGGGAGTAGATAAAAACTAGGTAAAAAAAAATTTGAATGGGGTTTCTTCTTCTAAGAAATTCTAAGAAATCAATGGCTTCCCCCCCTTCCCTTCTGCCTCTATGCTATTGAGTCATCTTCCAACTGAGAAATCTTAGCTCTTTCTT
Organism: Homo sapiens; assembly: GCF_000001405.40. Classification (NCBI taxonomy): domain Eukaryota; kingdom Metazoa; phylum Chordata; class Mammalia; order Primates; family Hominidae; genus Homo; species Homo sapiens. Next base: position 15,936,313 of record NC_000023.11, read on the forward strand.
GCTAGATATGGCTTGTGGTGCATAAATAACACTGTAGTTTGCGAGTCACTTATGATATCAAATTATAAGTTCCTGGGCAGGGTCCATGTCTCATTCATCTGTGCAGTCTCCAGACCTGGCCCAGTGTAGAACTCCGATTGAGCTCAATTTCTCAAATTGAATTCAATGAGCCAAACCAAAATTGCCCAAACTCTTATCACTACCTTTATCTCTTAATACCTGTTTTAACATATGGCAGGCCGGATGGCTCTATTGGCAGGAAGTAACAGATATCCACTCAAAGACATATGCACTGGGTGGAGGCTGGAGAACACATACAACAATCACCAAATTTCATACTGGTTCTGGTGTATCACACAGAAAGATCACACAGGGAAAAGTTCGGGATTGTATTGGTTAGGTCATAATAATAAAGGTAGTTTGGAAAGCACCTAACACTAGCTATACCACCTATTTATGGTCCTTTCAGTTCACCTAATTGAATGCAGCATTTGGGAAAATATCTGTGGAAAGCATTGATCCACATAACTACAGCAAAACAAGGGCTGTGTCATGTCTGCTTCCCTCTCCTCTGTCCAAAAACTGGCTCTTTTAGTAGTTCCATAAACATGGCAGAAGATAGTTGTTCCTAACATTTCTGAATTTACATCTCCTTTGTTTAAATGACCAGTGGAGGCTGATTTGTGATTTCGATCCCAGTTCCAAATTCTCAGAAGAGAGAAACGGTTCTGCTCAGCTTGGGTTACTTTCTATCCCTGGCCCAATATTTGAGGGCTAGGGAAGTGGATTAGGGAGTTATAAATATAACGCTCAGTGAGAGACCACTCTTGGCTTGGAGAGCAGTTCGAAGAGCAGGGTGCTAGTGGGCTGGGAAGATAGCCTAGAAGGGTACTAATAGAATGGAAAAAAAAAAAAAGAAAAGGAAAGGAAAATTTACTTTTGCTCACAGAGGAAAGAAAGTACAAAATGGGTAGGTATATGGATAAGGCAACCAATAAACAATATGTGCAAATTTATGGACAGCAATTAAACTGGATGAATGGCTCTCATAAATATTCATTCATCTGGCAACACAGGAAAAAATCTCATAAGTCTTTTAAAATTAAAACTTTTTAAGAAACAAGCCCAAAAAATGGCTGTGACAAAGAATACCTGTCCAGTATTTATTCTCCCCTTCCTCTATGAAAACAGTTGGGGTAGTTTCATGCACTGCTAAAATAATACGCTTCTGAGCCTCCCGTGTAGCAAGGTGTTGCCAAAGAGTTGTGTGCTTAAATCGTCTGCAAACAGTGGGACTTCCCAGGAAACTTTTTTTTTTTTAAAGGGACACATAACTAGCAATTTTTTTTTTTTGGTGCTTTCCACTCCTTATCCTTCATTCTGGTTGGAATACAGACATGATGGCTAGATTCTCAGCAGCCATTTTGGAACATGAGATATCCTTGAGGATGGTAGTCATACTCTAAGAATGAAGGAATATAAATATAGGAGGTGCCTGGGTCCAGGATGATACCACAGAGCTATCATACTATCACTTCACTGCTTAACTACAGACTTCTATGAGAGGAGAGTAAATCTCCATTTTGGTTAAACCATTTTAATTTCCAGTCTCCATGACTAGCAGCTGAATGTAAATCCTGACTACTTAAGAAGTCTCTGTTCAATAAGGAGCATTAGGTGATTGACTGATGGTGACTGATAAAAACGAGGTTCTTGACAAGACCCATCACTGAAACTAGTTTGTTCAGATCCTGACTAAGTTTCCATACTGGCTATTAAAACAAAATGATGCACAGATAAGATAAACAAATGCATGTCGCCTTTAAAAAAAACAATCTGTAGAGGTTATGAGAATGTGTCTTGGAGAACTGCGGGGAGCAAAATGGACTGATGGCCTCAGCTGCTGGGCTCTGGAATTCATCTCCATGTTTTAACTGAGACTTTGCCTCCCAAGGGCTGCTCCCAGCCAGTGTTGGAAGAATGTGGCAGGGACACGAAGGCAGGTTTGTTTTGGAGGGACCTGGGATTCCTCCGATGCCTGATTTTGGCTTGAGGACTCTCTGATGGCCTTGCCAAACCTTTGTTAGACTACATGGCACCCTGGGACACTCCACCCAGCCTTCTTTCCCTCTCTTCTTCACTCGGGGTCGGGCTTGTTGCATTGTGCTCTAATGACTCCTTAGCACTCCTGGCTTCACTTTCCATTTTCTCTCACAGGCATTTTGCTCAGTAAAATCATCACATGATGAATCCTATATTAGCATCTGCTTCTACAAGGACCTGGACTAACACAGTCATTTGAAGCAGGGTTTGTTGTAATTTTTTTGTTTGTTTGTTTGTTTGGTTTTTTGAAGACAGAGTCTCGCTCTGTCGCCCAGGCTGGAGTGCAGCGGCGCGATCTCGGCTCACTGCAAGCTCCGCCTCCCGGGTTGACGTCATTCTCCTGCCTCAGCCTCCCGAGTAGCTGGGACTACCGGCGCCCGCCACCTCGCCCGGCTAATTTTTTTGTATTTTTAGTAGAGACGGGGTTTCACCGTGTTAGCCAGGATGGTCTGGATTTCCTGACCTCGTGATCCACCTGCCTCCCAAAGTGCTGGGATTACAGGCGTGAGCCACCACGCCCGGCCAGTTGTAAGTAATAAGGCTGCAAGTAAAAAGACTATTGCAGCTAAACATTTTCTCCATTCCTGAAGCTGATCTATTTTCTGGGTCCAAGTTACACAAGGATAGACAGATTCTTGGGCAAAAAAGTCATGGAATGTTAGGCTTTTACTTCTTCTTTTCTCATCTCTTTTTAAAATGAGGAAAAACTGGGAAAAGGAAATAATCTTTTACAGCCAATTTTTAGTAGAAGTGTTTGGTAGTATGTTGTGCCTGAGATACTAAGAAGAATGAGGGATTAGATAATGTAGTCTCTCTTCTGCTAGGTCATAATGTGGTTAGGAATATGAGCAAGTGGAGAGGGGCTCAACCCTACACAGTGTTCAGGAAACAAGGCAGACCCACCTTTGCCATCTTTAACATGTGGAAAGAAAGAGGATGGAGAATTACATGGGCGGTTTTTTCTTTTCTTTTTTTTTAATTCTACTTTAATTTCTGGGGTACATGTGCAGAACGTGCAGTTTTGTTACACAGGTATACACGTGCCATGGTGGTTTGCTGCACCTGTCAACCCGCCACCTACATTAGGTATTTCTCCTAATGTTATCCCTCCCCTAGCCCCCCACCCCCTGACAGGCCCCAGTGTGTGATGTTCCCCTCCCTATCTCCATGTGTTCTCAATGTTCAACTCCCACTTATGAGTGAGAACACGCAGTGTTTGGTTTTCTGTCCTTGTGATAGTTTGCTGAGAATGATGGTTTCCAGCTTCATCCATGTCCCTAAAAAGGACATGAGCTCATCCTTTTTTATGGCTGCATAATATTCCATGGTGTATTCCATGTGCCACATTTTCTTTATCCAGTCTATTATTGATGGGCATTTGGGTTGGTTCCAAGTCTTTGCTATTGTGAATAGTGTACATGGGCGGTTTCTAATGGGCCAGGCTTCAAAGTGGAATACATCACTTCCTGCCTATATTCTACCAGTCAGAAATCTGTCACATAGGAGGTTGGGAAATGTAGTCTAACTGTGAGCCAAAGAGAAAGTGGAAATGGGTTTGGGGAACAGTTAGCCAGTTTCTGCCCCAGCCACTTAGAAGAGGAAATGTGAGAAATAATGAGCCTTTGGTTTCCTAAATAAGCGTTGTTTCTTTTTACAAGGACAGTTCCATATAATGCTTTCTTTTTATCAATACTCTGGCTGAATCACTTCATTAAAAAGTATCAATTTTTTAAGTGGACATGGAATAAAATAAAATATTTTATGGTAGTTAAACTGTCTTAACATCACTTAATTTACTTAGAGATTTGTTATACTGTCAAGTATTCCCAGGCTACTTTGAACAGATTGCAAAGCTGCCTGATCAAAATTCTTATTTATTTATAGGCAGATTATAGTTCAGATCCAGATGTTGAATGAGGGAGCAGGTAGGGAATTTTATCTTGTGTTTCATAGGCATGTCAAGTGAAAACATGAATTGTATTCTCTTTTTAAATGCACAAATAGATGGCAAGCCTTGGCTATGAATAGGACCTTGAATAAAAATATATTTAGGGTCTAATCAAATTGCCATGAATTTGAATGCAACAAGGCTGTTTTGTAAATTCAAAATAGCTATTTCAATATGATAATAATCCTCTGTATTAAACATCACCCAAAGATGTAAATTTTATTTTTAGCTGCATGTTGAACCAAATCAAGCCTTTACTTTGAATATTGCCAGTTTGGGGTTGGGTAGGATGGGGGGCTGGGGGCAGGAACATGTGTAAAATTTTCTTCATAACATTTCATTGAACATCTTCCTAGACTGTCAGCATATATTTTTCTAACTTGTATTAGCTCTTCGGCAATTCCAGCTGCTTGGTAACAGTTGTAGCATCCCAATTTCTCCAGATTGTTAACTACTGCATGAGAGCACACAAAGTTGGAATGTAATTAAAAATGACATTTGCAAAAGGGTAGCAGAGTAATCCAAAACATCACTTTTTACTTTACTTCCCTAATATTGCAGTTAAAGAAATTCTCTTGCCAGTAACACTTTACGAATTCGACACTTTCAGTTCAGAAAGGAACTTACAGGTCAACTAGTCCAACCTTTTCATTTCACAGTTGAGAGAACTGAATCACAAAAAAGCTGGAGGTAGCTAATTAGTTACATGGCAAGGTTTAAAAGTCAAGTTCATCCATCCATCCATTTATTCCTCCATTCATTCATCCATCCATCCATCCACCTATGCAACCAACAAATATTTATTGAATACCCACCATGCAGACACTTGCTTAATGTTGAGGATATAATGATGAACAAAACAAGACATGGTTTATCTTCTTCTGGAAGAGACAAATATTAATTGAATGGCTATGTTAATTTATGGCCATGAAGGAGAACTACATTATGTTTTGAGAGAATATAGCAGGGGCTGACTTTGCCTGGTAGGTGAGAATGGCAAGGAAGGCTTGCCTTAGGTCATGAAGTTCAAGAGCTGAGATAATGAGTGTGTTAACCAGCAGAGTGGAAGAAGAATGCACCATGAAAACCTGTGTGCTGTGAGAAAGGTAAGAATAGCACATTTGATGAACTTGAAATAGGCCAATGGAGCTGGGTGCAAAGAGCAAGTGAGAACATGATTCAAGATGGGGCTGAAAGATAGACAGGGGCTGTAGAAAGAGACATCTCTTGTCCTAGTGAGTTGGTGTGAAGATGTAAGGCTTGGACCTGAGCTACCATTTTGCTACAATGAAGGGCCAGTCAAGGGACCAGTATGAAAGCACATGGTGCCAACACCATGGAATGCTGAGAAGATACCAGTGGAAACCAGGTCTGTGGTGGCACTGCATGAGCTGCAAGGTCAAATTTCATTATTTAATTACCAAGAAATAATATGGGGCCACTCAGTTGTGGTTTTTATCTGAATGAGTTTAAATTGGATTTTTTTGTCATTTGTAGTTAAAAATGTCTCCCTCAGATAGGGAGTCAGCCAAATTAAAATGGCAACCACTGTGTGCTTGATATGAGGTTTGTCATTTGGTTAGTAATTAATGAACATTTACTGAATCAAATGCTCATCTCCATCAGTGTGTGGATGTGTGGAATGCCTTCTATGTCTATTTCAATCCTACTCATCCTCAAAGTTCAGGTTAGCATCCCTACCTCCCAGGAGGTATCATTCTTTTTCAACTGCTTCTGCCCTTCTCGTTGGTCCATTAATAGTGTGACTCAATCTATGTGATCTTGCAATTTAATGATAGTGCTTCAACTTTTCTCCTTTGCATCTTTTCACATATTATTTCTTAAATTTTGGGATGCACATCAATCAACTGTGTACATGTTCAAAGGGCAGGTTTTCTCATATGCCACAGGTGCACATGTGCAGAAACACTGTATATAATGTACCACATAATATAGGTGCTCAGTGTATATTGATGGAGTTGAATTGAATTAAAAGCCCAGAAGGGATTTGGTGATTATCAGAAAAGCTTCCCCTATAAGGCTCTAAAAATGGGCACCTCCTTCAACTTGTCACCAGTGATCTCATAACTATGCTGAGTATCCAAGGTCAAGGGAACTGTATGCTTAAAAGGTAGCTAAAATTTTTGATGACCTTAGCTAAAACTAGTGAGAAACCCAATCTCGGTCCTCAAATTCTGCATAAATAAGAATCACAGTGTTAGGATTCCTTGAAGAATAATGAGATTTAACTCGCTCTTTATTCATTTTTCATTTCTGTGCAAGTGCTTTCATTTCCTTCACCTTTGAGCTCTGATCTTTTCCCACTGATTTTTGTTTTTTGTTCCAATGGGAAGCACCCTTGTCTAAAGGTAAGCAGTGATGCTTCTACCGAGGCCACACCTTTGTCTCAGCAACATGATGTTGATTTATTCCTCTCTCTCTCTCTGGTCCAAGCTGAACCCTGCCTTATTCACTCCTAACTCTTATACAGAGCTTTTCTCCTGTGCCTGCTACATAGAAAGACAGTCTTCCAGCTTCTTTACTAATCTTGTTTCTTTCATGCACACACGCGTGCATGCACGTGTGCATACAAACACAGTTGGCTTTTCTCAGTTCCATATGTGAAAATAGGCAAGTTTAACGAAATAAAGGAAAAGTTAAAAAATTTTAAGAACTCTTACAAGCCCTGGTAATAATGATTTATTTATTTATTTATTTATTTTTTTCAGAATGAGTCTCGCTCTGTCGCTGAGGCTGGGGTGCAGTGGTGCGATCTCGGCTCACTGCAACCTCCGCCTCCTGGGGTCAAGCGATTCTTCTACCTCAGCCTCCTGAGTAGCTGGGATTACAGGCACATGACACCATGCCCGGCTAATTTTTGTATTTTTAGTGGAGATGGGGTTTCACCATGCTGGCCAGGCTTGTCTCGACCTCCTGACCTCATGATCTACCTGCCTTGGCCACCCAAAGTGCTGGGATTACAGGCATGAGTCACCGCGCCCAGCCTAATAATGATCTTTTAAAAAAATAATAATAGTCTGTTTGATTGTCCCCTCTTTACCCTGTTGGTGATGATGGGATTCCTGCCCTAGGGTTAAGTGAATGACTGAACACACAACACCAAACACTGGACAGCTGAGATGGACAACAGTTTATCAGTTACACATACTCCCAGTCTGGGGGAGGAAGCTACCACATGTCATGTAGGGCTACATGAGTTATTCACAGAGTGAACAACCAGGTGCTGTGGGAGGCAGGGTTTGTAGTATCAAGAGGGTGAGGTGGTCCCTGGTTCCTGTGGGAGGATGTGATTGGTTCACTTGAATAGTTCTGCAGTCTGGCAGGGAGCTGAAACCCGTTACTCAGGGATAAGCAGCGACTGTGCTTAGTCTCTGTGATAAGGAGGGTTTTGGGCTAGGGGACCTTGTCTCTGGTAGCCTTTACACCACAGGATCTCTATTCTTGCTTAAAAGTCTAAGTGGGGCTAATCTAGTTCTTTCTGGCTCCTGGCTCATCTCATTGTTACTTTGGGAATAAGTCACCAAAATAATTTTGTTTCTTTTCACGTTTTGCATCTCCACTTTACCTCTGTCAACCTTCTGGGTTGGATTAGAGTATGTCAAAGGTTTTTTGATTTTGTGCTTGCCCTAAATTTGACTGATTAAGTAATAATTAAAATGGGTTCACTGTTTATACTCTTAATTTTGAAGCTCTTTACCTACTCTCTTAGGTCAGACTCCTTTGAAGCAGAGCCTGGAACAGGAAGTCAGGTGTTTAGGATGTATTGCAGAAAGAACTTGTAAAGGAGGGAGGAAGCAGGATAGGATAGGGCTGGTGGAAGCTGAACAAAGGAGTGTTTTCACTTCTTCAGAGAGAGGCTCTGGACTACAAACCACACCTTGGAGGTATCCCTGCCTTGAAGGGAGGGGTCTCCTTTGTGCCCCTGTATTAGTCAGTCATTGACTGTGGGCCATGGGGTGGGGTAACTTCCTGGGGGAGCTGGCTACCATCAGCCCAGGACAATTCTGCAGAGGAAGGCAGCTAGGAGACTGGTGCCCTTGCCTGGTAAATGGGATCTGGGCAGGGTGCCAGTTACATCTACTACCTATACTTCACCTTGTTTAACTTCTTCAACAACCCTAAAAGGCAGATATTCTTATTTTTCCCATTTTTCAGATGACAAAAGTGTGGCATAGAAAAAGCATGGCAAAAGTGAAGTCAGCATTCCAGCCCAGAGACACCTGTGCCTGTTTTAAAAGCATTACAGGGAAGCACACCTGATCATTCCAAAGTCTCTTCTAGCTCTTTATTTTATGCTTTTACTCTAATTCAATTCATGAAATATACATTGAACACTGAAACTGTGTAGAGTTGTCTTACAGGAGTGTTTTACAGACTAGCCTGTGTTACATTGTGTGCCTCTCCACCAGAGGCTTTGATGTTGAAAGACCCTTGGGCCCATTTCGTCCAACACTTCATATTACATAATTAACTATGCATACCTTTTCGGATTCAGTCTCAAACTATCTGATGAGTTTGTTCTTCTTAAATCATCCGTGAGAAGTATCTGCTCATAAAATATGTCTTTTAATGAGGAAATATGACAATGGATCTTCATTTAAGTCAGTAATTAAGGAATATCATGGATAGGATCATTATCTCAGCTTTCAGCATTTTTTTTTCCTCATGAGCATTTTTATCCTCAAGCAAATAGCTTGAATGAAAGGGGCAGATGATTAAAGATTTTCGGGATAAGACCAGACATTTTGCCTTCCCAAGTTTTTGGTGCAAAAGAGAAATGGCTGTGAACCATGGACCCTCTGTAAAAGATGGGAGATCCATCTTCTTACAATTTTACCTTCTTGCTTACAAAAATGGGATGGACATCCGTCACTGGTGATCCCTGGGGAGAAAGGGGAGATTGCTAGGTAGGTTGAGTTTTTGCCTAAGATTTTCTAAATTTCGATTTTATTTATTCATACATTACATAGTTTAAATTCAAAGTAGTATTATAGCAAAAAGTCTCCCTCTCTCATTCTGCAGGTACCCAGTTCCATTTCCCAAAGGCAACAATGTTCAGTTTCTTGATTATTTTATTTTTCAGAAATGTTTTATGAATATTCAAGCAAGTACATATAAATATTTCCCAAGGTTTTTGAAAATTCAGTGGTTAGGGTAGAAGCAGGAAAATTCATGATTAGTTTTCTAGGGCTGCTATAACAAACTAGATAGCTTAAAACAACAGAAATTTACTCCCTCCACAGTTCCGGAGGCCAGAAGTCCAAAATCAAGGTATCCACAGGGCCATGCTGTCTCTCAAGGCTCTAGAGAAGAAGCATTCCCTGCCACGTCCCAATTTCTGGTGATTGCCAGCAATCCTTAGCATTCTTTGGCTTGTAGGTGCATCACTCCAATCTCTGCCTCTGTTGTCGTATGGCATTCACCCTGGGTGTCTCTTGTTTCCAAATTTTCCTCTTACTATAAGGATATCGGTCCCTGCTCCAATCCAGTGTGACCTCATTTTAACTTGATTACGCCTGCAAAGACCCTATTTCCAAATAAGGTCACATTCACAGGTACTGGTGGTTAGGATTTGCACATATCTTTTTAGGGGACACAGTTCTACCCACTTCATTTCATAGTGTTATAATTTCAAAGCTTTAGGCTGGCTTCTTAGATAAGTAGAGTTCAGTTCGCCTTTGGAATACAGAATGGGGTTGAAGGTTCATTTGTTTTGGATAAAACAAATACCCAAACAGGTTTTTCCCTTTCCTAGACATGAAGCAAAGATCTACAGCAGAACATAGAGATTTCTGAGCCTCCAGTGACATCAAGTAACCAAACTGTGCTGGATGTATATGAAAGCAGTTATCCATGTAGTCAAAAGTGTTTAAATCAGTGGGGTTTTTCTCAACTTTTTTTGACTCCTGCCAATAGTAAGAAATACAGCATGACTCAAAACATACAAATATTTGAATATACATGTATGATAGATATAACTGAAACAAATGTTTGTTCTGTGAAATAATATGTACATTTATTATTTGAAATGAACTCTGATATATTCTATTCTACTCTTTTTCATTATTTTTTTTCTCAGCACCACTAATGGGTTGCCACCTGCAATGTGAATAACACTTCTGGGTGATGTTTCTTCCCTAAGAAGGGATTTATAGATTTCAATACCTACATGTTATTACTTGTTCTCATGGAGGTGTTTGTGGATGGCGGGAATGAAAGGGAGGACTAATCTTCACCTTCTCAAGGAGTGAAAGGTTGTGGGAATTGAGCTCAGCTAATCACCTTGGTTCAATATAGATTGGACTGTTGGTGCCATACATGCATATTACTCAATTTTTTGTCAGACTTGGAAAAATGTACTGATGTTGGGCTATTGTGTTCCAATGTCTTCTTGGGAATCTTAGCACCAAGATTGGGGAATGGGGGTCGTCAATCATCTTGGAAAATCCTCAAACTGAAACCCAATCTTTGGGTGATGTCTTTAAGGGAGAAATAGAAAGGTCTTCTGGCACCTCTGACTCCAGGGAAGAGACAGCTCCAGGACATTTTTACTGATGCAGTGGAAAAAAGGCGGAAAGGGGAAAGGAAAGGGGAAAGGAAAGGGGAAAGGAAAAGGGAAAGGAAAAGGGAAAGGAAAGGGGAAAGGCAGGCGGTGGGGGTAGGGGGGAGGCGGAGTGAAGAATACGGTGAACTCTTTCAACCAGTGCTGAGGCCAGGGAGAGGGGCAGAGGTGCTCTTCAGGGACTAGCTGTGAGCTCTGTTTTAGGTCACTGTAATGGATGTGCTTGATTACCATCCAGATCCCCTTTAAGGGGCCATGTCCCTTAGCTGCTATGAGTGTTGCCTGTTAACAGCTCATAGCTGCCTTTCTCTGGAGAATTGCCCTGGGCATAATAGAAGTCTCCTCATCTGGGATGCCATGTCATCCCATCCCCCCAGAGGCTGTGGTCAGTGACTAACACAGCAGTACAAAATGTTGGCCTCCTTGCCTTCAAAATGCTACTCTCCTCTGGTGCAATGTATACTTCAGAGTGCTCTGCAGGATCAGGTTGAAACTGAACTCCCAGTGACAGCCCATGATCGCTCACTTTCTTCCCCTGCCTCATCTTGCTCTCCTCACTACTCTTCTCCTGAGCATTCTCCCCTAATAAACCACAGGCACAAGAATTCTGAAACCCAACCCAAGACAGTTGTAAATTCTTCAATTTGTAGTTTTATTATTACTCATTATTCTTTTCTTTTTTTATTACCTATTATTACTTTCTTCTTATTTTTTATTACTGCAGGCAACAGCCTTGCATTTCAGTCTGGTAATTAAGGAGGATGAGCAGGATCATGCTTTGGGCAAAGCAATACAAGGGAATGAAGCAGGAATGCAAAGTGAGTCCCGGAGGAAGTGTAGCCAGCAGCAGGGTGGAGGGAAGGAGTGGCCTGGAACCAGGAGGGGATTGAGTCAGCAGGAAACAACCAAGGCAGATTGTGGGAGTAAGCCTTCCCCTTTGTTTGTGAAGAGGATTCACAACAAAGCCTGGACTCCTACTGATAAGTGAGATGGGACTTAAATCATTCTAACTTGGGGAGCAGGAGTAAATGGAACTTATCTTGTCTGCATAGGCTGTTGGCATATTAGTTTCCAATTTCTGCTGTAACAAATTATCACAAACTGAGTGGCTTAAAGCAACACAAATTTATTATCTTACAGTTCTGAAGGTCAGAAGTCCAAAATGGGTTTGCAGGGCTGCATTCCTTCTGGGTGCTCTGAAGGAGGATCCATTTCCTTGCCTTTTCCAGCTTCTACAGGCCATCTGCATTCCTTAGTCATTGGTTCCTTCCTCTGTCTTTAAAGCCAGCAGAGCAGCATCTTCCCATCTCTCTCTGTTCCTCTACCTCTGTCATCACATCTCCTTCTCTCTGACTATGACTCCTCTTGTGTCGCTTTTACAAGGACCCTTGTGAATACATTGGGCATACACAGGTAATCCAGGATAATCTCTCCATCTCAACATCCTTTATTTAATAACATCAACAAAATTCCTTTTGCCATGTAAGGTCACATATTCACAGGTTCTCAATGTTAGGTCATGGGCATCTTTCCAGGACTGGGTGGGGCATTACTCTGCCTCTCACAGTCGGGGAGGCCCGGGCACAAAAGTTATACTTGCAGCTGGGCATGGTGGCACATGCCTGTGATCCCAGCACTTTGGGAGGCTGAGATGGGAGGATTGCTTGATTCCAGGAGTTTGAGACCAGCCTGGTCAACGTAGTGAGACCCCGCCCATCCCTATTTTTTAAAAACTTATACTTACCTTTCAAGATATGGCTTCATGTTCAATGCCTAGAATTGGTTTTCCTGAGTTAACAATGGCTAATTATCTAAAGACTGGTCTTGCAATACTATCTGCACCAACTTCCCACTCTTTTAATGTAAGATTTAGTCTCTGCCAGGGCTTGGATCTGGACCAAAGTAGACCTTGCTGCCATTTCCAAGGCTATGGTTCAGTGTCACACAGGCCCTGAGAGTACAGGAGCTATGTGACATGGCTGTGCCTATCCACGGGCACGGCTTTCTTCTGGATGATTTGACAAGGGCAGAACTGTGAGCTGACTCTTTTTGGCCATTAAGAGTGTCTATGTATATTCGGCTGATAATTTATAGCCACTGATGAAGCAGGGGGAGTTAGAAAAAAAATCACCATCAGCCCCACATCAGTCTCACTCTCAATCTCTCTCTTTTCCCCTGATTTGTCACATATTACACTTCTTTATACTTTTTTTCAACATCAAAATCAGGTTCAGGGCTCCATACATAGTTTATATTCCATGCAAATGAATCCCAGAACGACTGTTTACTAAGACACTAAGATAAGGTGGCATATGCTTTCTTTCTCTGTTAAATAAAAATTACTTTATGGAAAGCAATTCATGATTAATGTCAGCCAAAGGAGGAATGGTGTCAGACAGTACTGTCATTTGATATTGGTAATTTTCCCTTTGCCTTCCTCAAATTACTGTCAAAGATCACTGAGAGTGAAGTTAGTTAGACATTATTTTGCCCAGTAAAGTATGTCTGGCTGAACAATTTCCTGTTTCCTATGTGTGCATTGCTGTCCTGATGTGAAAGAAATTATTGAACCTTCAGCAAGGGCTGTATGGTGTCTTCTGTTCCTCATACCTTGAGTTCATGCTTTTGAGTACTCCCTGTCATGAATGTCCTTGGCCTTCTTTCTCTTTCCCTCTATCCTGTTCAGGATTTCCATCCACTGTATTCCTTATGTTCTTCATTCATTCTAATGCCTCTTAACTGAACAGGAGCCTGGCCACCACATGGATGGTTTGGCAAGAGCTAAAGCTGGAAAGCTAGGCTGCTCTACTTTTAAGATAGAGTATCTCAAAAAATTATCTGAAGGTTTTGAGTTGCTTGCCATCTAATTTCTAAAACCCACTAGCTATTTTCTTGGAATAACATTGGTTTGAGCCACATGCTGTTTCTGACAATTCATTATGCCTAATGTAATGCAGAAAAGGAGATATTGATTAAAGGTCAGATTCAGGCACATTGCCTAGTCACTTTCTGCAGTCCAAGATGTGGAACCATGAACTTGATGAATTCTGGGTATCACTGATATGCTTCAAGAAACCAAGAGGCTGCTTGAAAGATATTTTTTCAGTCTTCAATCTTTCTTGCTAGCTGACTGTGACAATTTCGTACAGGGCAAGAATATCCTTCCTTAATATGTTTCTCTCAATTCCAAAGAATATAAATGAGTTGATGATTAGGGCTATGAAGCATACAGGAGTCCATATCAGTCTAATAAGTTTCTGAGATTTGAGCTATTTATTTTGCCAGCTCAATATTTTCCCAATGCCAGGAAGAAATTTAGCAGTATTAGAAGCCCAATGATATTCTTTACTTGGGCATCACTGTGGAAAAGACTGGGTACGATCCAATCTGCAGCCAACTTGTTTTAAGTAATAATAATAAAAAAAGGAAATAAAAAGACACTTTACTTCAGCAAGAAGCCATAATGTACCATCAGGGGAAATAAGCAAAATTATTTCGGAACTTGACCAAGCTTTGTGACAAGGATTTTAAAAAGCACTAGACAGAGGATTTTATGGGTTCATTTGAATTGATTGAACATTTATTTAAGACAGTAATAGGTATGAGACAAATAGAAAATCCTTTCTCCATTTAGAACCATTGGCCTAAGGGAAACATTTTTATTGATAAACCATACATCAAAATGCAAGGTTATTAGTTTCATTTTTTAAAAACAGAGATAATCAGTACATTACTCAATAGATTTTTTTTACAATTTTAAAACATTTTATTATGAAAATTTCAAACATACACAATATTAGTTAGAACAGTGTAATAAATCCCCATGTATCCATCACCAGCATCAACAACAATCATCATTTTGCCAATCTTTCAACTTCTTTTAAAAATAAGAAATATGTGACTCACCTATTCAATTTCTTACCTAGTCATTTCTATTTCTTATGGACTTTAAGACATCTCATCTTAATATCAATAGATTTTCTTACCTTTAACTTCTCTGAGAAAACAGGGTATTCAGTTTGAGATCTGCCATTTTCCCCTCTCTCTACTTCAAAATGTATTCTTTATCTCAGAATTATACTCTATTTCTTCCATCTTCTCCTTTTATTTTGTCTTATTGTAGAGAAATAAAGTTTCTCTTTGTGAAGTTAAACGTCTGCCTGACTATTTGGTGACATCCATCTCCTCCAGAATTGTGTCCTATTAATTTTCTCTCCTCAATTTTCTATCTTTAGTCTTCCTCTTGGCTCCTTTATCTCTGCCAGTAAACTCATTCAGATATTCTCCAGACTCAAATGGCAGGGCTACTGGGAATATCTTCGAATTTTTTTTTTTTAATTTTCAATTTTTTCTAGAGATGGGGGTCTTACTATGTTGCCCAGGTTGTTCTTAAACTCCTGGCCTCAAGTGATCCTCTCACCTTGGAAAATCTCTTGAATTAATTATTCTCACAAAGTAGCTCTGACTTAAGCCTTCTCTTTCGTGGTTATTCTTTTTTCCACTCATACTTTAACTGTGGGAAAATCCTTGATTTTTCTTTTTCTTTTTCCTCTAGCCAGCCCCTAAGAATCCACATGACTTCATTGACTTTGTACTTGCCGCAAAATGAGGGGTTGTATTTTCCAAAGATGGTCACAATAATGTCCCTTGTCCCACAAGTTCTTCTTCTAAAGTGACCTTGACACTCCTCCCATTGGGTTATGGGGTCTATGTCGCTTTTCCTTGAACTAGGTGAACCTTTGTGACTGCCTTGACCATTAAAGTATGGCAAAAGTGACACTATGTGACTTCTGAGATAGGTCATAAACATCCCATACACTTGGCCATGCTCTCTTTTTTTGTTTGTTTTTGTTTTTGTTTTTTTTACAGAGTTCAGTATCTGCTGAACCTCTTACTCTCCTGGAGCCCAGCCACCATGCTGTGAAGAAGCTCAAACTAGTCCACATGGAGAGACCACATGGAAAGATGGAGAAGCCATGTGTAAGTGTTCCAGCCAACAGTCAGCCTCAACTACCAGACATGTGAATGAGGAAGCCTTCAAGACGACTCTAGTCTTTGAGTCACCCCCAGACTTGGAAACTTTTCAGCTGAGGCCCCAGATATTGTAGAGCAGAGACAAGTCTTCCCCATAGTGTACCATTCAAATTTCTAGCCTACATAATCTGTGAGCATAATAAATGGCTATTTTCAGCAATGTTTTTGGGTGGTTTGTCACCCAGCAGCAGCCCTGGAATACCTAGCTTTCCCTTCCTCACTGTGCCAGCTCTAGTTCACACGTACATCCTCTTGGCCTAGTTTCCGGGCTAGTCTCCTGGCCTTAAGGATCTCTCCAATGGATGCAATGCTGCCTCCATGTCTCACCTGAATAGAGTGTTCTCCTGTTTTTAAAATACTTTCCTGTCACCTTTTTCATTTGGTTCTCAACACCAAGGAGGTGGCAGAGCAGGTACTACAAGAGCCATTTTGCAGATGAGGAACTGAGATTTGAGTAAAGGGAGGTTTAACTAACTTTCAAAGTAGCTTGTAGAACTGGGACTAGAACTACAAGAGGAGATTTACTATAGAATGTAGAATTTCTAAAACTCATTTTTCTCATAGAATCCTTTCTGGAAACACCTATTGGCCTTGAAGGACAATGGTTTCCCAAGGAACATAATTTGGGAAATACCTTATAGTCCAATTCCCTCTTTTTTTTTTTTTTTTGATGGAGTCTCTCTCTGTTTCCAGGCTGGAGTACAGTGGCGCGATCTGGGCTCACTGCAACCTCCACCTCCTGGGTTCAAGCCATTCTCCCGCCTCAGCCTCCTGAGTAGCTGGACTACAGGCACGCGCCACCATGCGTGGCTAATTTTTGTATTTTTAGTAGAGACGGGGTTTCACCATGTTGGCCAGGCTGGTCTTGAACTCCTGACCTCAGGAGATCTGCCCGCCTTGGCCTCCCAAAGTGCAGGGATTACAGGCGTGAGCCACTGTGCCCGGCCTCCTCTTTTTTTTTTTTTTTTTAGGTTAATAGATAAGGCTTGAGAGACTCCATTTCCAGAGATAATTAAATCATGTAAAAGATACAAAAAGGGAGAGAAACTGGAGGGCAGAGGTGTTCTGTCAAGTCTTTCTAGTTTGTTCTATGTGGTGAGAATTTTTATATGCTTGTACCTCTATAATATTTCTATCAGACAAGAAAGCTCCACTCTTGGTGTCCCAGATGAGATGAGAGAAGGAAAAATGTAATTGGAGATGTCAGTGCTCTTTTAGCCATAGACCACGGGGAGCACACTTGATTAAACAAGTCCAGTTTATTACTCATTACAGGGAACCATCGGTTGTCTAAGTAAGAGGGTATTAGGAAGAACATACTATAGGAGGGTCTAAGGAAGCAGGAGTGTGGTCCAGATTGGATGTTGACAGAAAGGGTAATTCTGTGACTGGGTATTTTGTGTGTGACACATTGACCTTTTTGTTTGTGCTTAAACAAAATTAGGAAGTGGCATTATTTTGTTTCATTGTATCATGGTCTCAGGGTAAACTTGTCTGAGGCTGGTGGTCTGTGAGTTTATGTCCAAAGGGAGAACAAAAATGGCCTGGCTTTAAGCATCAGATGAGTTCGTAAAAAATATTGAAGTTTAGTTGTGAATGTCAGATTAGTTTTGGACAGCAGAGGCTACTATTTTCTTTCTGAGAGGTCACTGCAGATACATGTGTGAATATATATATCTATATATATATACACACACGAACACACATATATATATACACACACACATACATGCACACAAAATAGAGACAGAGTCTCACTCTGTTGCCCAGACTGGAGTGAAGTAGTGTAGTAGCTCACTACAGCCTTGAACTCCTGGGTCTCAAGTGATCCTCCTGCGTCAGTCTCCCAAGTAACAGGGACTACAGGTGTGTGCCACCATGCCTCCCAATTTATTTTTTTTCATTTTTTGCAGAGACAGTGTCTCTGTATTTTGCCCAGGCTGGTCTTGAACTCTTGGTCTCAAGCAATCTTCCCCTCCAGGCCTCCCAAAGTGCTGGAATTAGAGGTGTGAACCAGCATGCCAGTCAGAGGTCATTCTTAATCAGCTCGAGTGTTAATGAGCAGAGAAGATCTCTTTGTCTGTGGCCAAGACTCATCCAGAGACCATGAACTTGTTTGGAGTGGGGTCTTTACTGCTGGGTCATAGGAAATAATTACAGCCAAGAGACTTTGTGAATAGTATCAGATTCTATTGTATAAAATCTTCAATGGACTAAAAGACTAAAAGAGACTCTTTATTATTATTTTTTTTATTTAGAGACAGAGTCTCGCTCTGTCACCCAGGCTGGAGTGCAGTGGCACGATCTCGGCTCACTGCAACCTCTGCCTCCCGGGTTCACGGCATTCTCCTGCCTCAGCCTCCCAAGAGACTTTAAAAAACACACACAAACCCTTCTAACCAATATCTTTTAGAATTCTGAACCTTTCAATCAGTGCCTAATAAGAAGAAACAGATCCTCTTGATTTGGACCAAAAACACTCAAGAGGGATACTTACAGAATTGCACTAGAATGGAGAGATAACATTTGTGATCTCAAAACCTGGCCCATAACGCAACACTTGCCCTTTTCACGCAACTGGTTAGTATTAGATTTAGGACTAGAACTCAGGTCTCTGACTCCGAATTTAGTGCTATTAAATCCTTAGTGCCTAGCACATGGCCTAATATACAGTAGGTATCAAGGGAATAGTTACTAAATGAACTCATCACAGATATTTGGTTTGGAAACAGATTGTTCAAAGTGACAGTGAAATTTGTCACCATTGAACTGGCTGCTTTTAACTGGGCTCCCAACCAGCCCTTCCCCTGCCCACCATCCTTAGCTTAGCCCTTCTACCCGTGGCTCTTAGTCTTAAAAATGAAACTGAGGCTTATGTAGTCCCTATTTCTTTTATAGCCTTGGATGTCTCTCTGAGGCAAACCGAAGTTCATCGTCTTGGTTCTCCGACAGTAGATCTCAGCAATAACCAATAACCAAAGAAAACCCTTTAAAGCGTTCTTCAAGTAGAGAAGTAAGTTTTCTGGATGTAAAAATGTTACAACACTTATTTTTCAGCATCAATCAAATTGGCACTCATGTACATAGGAGCTGATAGTATTCATAGCAGCATCTAGAGCCAATTATATGTGTCCCTTTATGGCCCTTAATAGGTATGTTTTCCGTGGAAACAGTTAATCACATTTTAAATGGTTACTTCAGAACTTATAAGATCTGATAATACTCTTGTATTTGATGATACACTCCCAATGATTTCAAAGGATAAGACTGCAAAAGAGAAGTGAATATTTTCTCCTTACAGCAGTGTAGCTCTTAATTAATTGATCATCATCTCCTATTAGTGAGATACCTTTGATCCTGCTAATTGAAAATGAGACATTTTCCTTAGCACAGAATAAAAGCAATATTAAATTGCTTAGTCTTTGTCTGCTTAAGGGCCAAATATTAGTCAAGCAAGTTTATAGGAACAATTAATCAAAAAGTTTAACCAATTGATATTTTTAATGATTTTTCTGGCCACACTGGTTGAGGAAACCTCTTACTTAACACATTGAGTTTCCCAGTAGTACAGAAGTTATTTTAATGAGGTCGAGGGAAGACAGAAAGAAGACAGAAAGAAACATATCACTGTCATCATGACACAAATGTGATGCTTTCACATAATTATTAATACTTCACAGAAGTCCCAGGAGGTGTAATTTATATTCCTATTTTACTGATCAGTTCATTGGGGATACAAGATGTTAAGAAATTTATCCAATGTAAGTGCTAGAAACAAGATTTAAATGCAAATGTTTGGATTCTAAATCCTATTCCAGCTCCAGCATACTCTTTGCTGTATCACTTAGCCCCATAATCTGATTCATATCAAAAGAAAATATGAGCATCGCCAGAATATAAACAGGTGAATAGACAAATGTTTAGAATAGTATCACTTAGCGTCTCAGCTCAGGAAATGATTGTTACACTTTTACTCACACCTATTCGAAACGCAATGTAACTTGCAGAGTTGATGGATTGGTAAAATATTCTTTGCCTGACTGGATATTGTGAAGTAACATTTAGTGAACAGTTATTGTTTTGGACACCACAAATTTCCTATAAGAGTGTGTGCTACTATGGAATACTTAAGTGAATAGTTTCAGAAACAAGGAATCCAGTTTTCCTCAAATTATTTCTTTTCATACTGCAATGCTATATGTCTTTATCCTGCTTAGCAGCAGCAAAAAATACTGTACAAGAGCACAAGTTGTTATGGTGTCACAGAGACGTGATCTAGTGTGTAGAGGATGTTGCTGGACCTTGCCTTTTTATAAATTTATAGTCTAGACATCAACATGGAGGCAACAGAATGAAAATGCCTAAATCAGGGGACAGCAAACTTTTTCTTCAAAGGGCCAGATAGTAAATATTTTAGGCTTTGTGAGTCACATGGTCTTTCCTGCAGCTTCTTAGCTCTCCTGTTGCAGTGCTAAAGTCGTCATAGATATACAGAAACAAAACGGGCATGACTGAATGCCAATACAACTCTATTTATGGACACTGTAATTTAAATACCATATAATTTTCACATCTCATGAAATCTTTTTCTTCTGTTGATTTTTTCCAGCAATTTAAAAACGTAAAAAACCACTCTTCACTCCCAGGTCATACAAACACATGCAGCAGGCTGGAGTTTGCAGACCCCTGGCCTAATCAGTACAGAATGGGCAGTAGGGGACTGGTACTGGGTGCAGAAGAGATGTGGGCTTGATTGGGGAAAGGGAAGAGGACATTAAGGCGAGCACATAACTGATTTCAGGTGTAGAGAGGGACAGAGGAGAAAGCTCTTTTGAGTCGGCTGGCGTTTCTTCCTGGCCGCTATAATGAGTGATGCTTGCTGCCCAGAGGAATTGTCTGAACAGATTCACTCAAAATGACTCACCCGCTTTAACAAAGCCGGGGAAGATTTCCTGCCTTTTATTCAGAGGAAGTAATCGGCCCACCTGCGTCTCTTAAATTAAGATTTCCAGAGCTCAGGCCTTTAAGCCTCTTAACATGGTTTACTTCTTAGACCTTTCATCGGTATAGAAGAATAGCTGCTTTTCTCATCTTTTCTTGTAAAACCTTGTTCGAAATGTACAAAGTACTTTATCCACATGATGTTTTATGGCTATTTCAGGGCCTAGCTCATAGTAACACAAAAAGAATAGTCATCATTATAGGTAAATAAATGTGATAGTTGTAGAAAATTTAAATGGCTTCCTGTTAAGTGTTGTGAGCAGCGTTTGACAAAACATAGCTACTCTGGATTGCAGTTTCAGAAGTGTGATTGGAATTTCTTGTCTGCCTTCCTCCCTATTTTGATTTTTCTTTTTTATTGAGGAATAAATTATATAGGAAAATGCCTTCTGTTTGGTATATTGGTCTATGAGATTTGATAAACACACGTGACGTTACATCTAAGAGTTATATAACTACAATGACGAACATGATATAGAACATTTCCATTGACCCAAAAGGTTCCCTGCTGCCCCTTTCTAATTATCTTCTCCCCTCACCCCAGCCCCTGGTAAACACTGATCTGGTTTCTGCCTTTATAGTTTTGCCTTTTTCAGAATGCCATGTAAATATTAATAGAATCAGACAGGATGTAGCCTTTTGAATCTGGCTTCTTTAATCCAGCATAATGCATTTGAGATTCATCCAAGTTGTTGCCTCTATCAGTAGTTTGTTCCATTGTATTGCTAAATAGTATTTCTTTTTTTAAAAAAATCATTTTATTTTAAGTTCTGGGATACATGTGCAGGATGTGCAGGTTTGTTACATAGGTAAACGTGTGCCATGGTGGTTTGCTGCACCTATCAACCCATCACCTAGGTATTAAGCCCCATATGCAGTAGCTATTGATCCTGATGTTCTCCCTCCCTCCAACTCCCTGACAGGCCCCAGTGTGTGTTGTTCCCCTCCCTGTGTCCATGTGTTCTCATTGTTCAGCTCCCACTTATAAGTGAGAACATGTAGTGTTTGGTTTTCTGTTCCTGTGTTAGTTTGCTGAGGATAATGGCTTCCAGCTCCATCCATGTCCCTGCAAAGGACATGATCTCATTCCTTTTTATGGCTGCATAGTATTCCATGGTGTATATGTACCACATTTTCTTTATCCAGTCTATCATTGATGGGCATTTGGGTTGATTCCATGTCTTTGCTATTGTGAATAGTGCTGCAATGAACATATGTATCTTTATAATAGAATAATTTATATTCCTTTGGGTATATACCCAGTAATGGAATTGCTGGGTCAAATAGTATTTTTGGTTCTAGGTCTTTGAGGAATCGCCACAATGGTTGAACTAATTTACATTACCACCAACAGTGTAAAAGTGTCCCTGTTTTTCCATAGCCTCACCAGCATCTGTTGTTTCTTGACTTTTTAATAAAGTAGTATTTCATTGGATGGGTATACTACAGTTTCCTTATATATTCTCCAACGAAGAATATTTGGGTTGTTTCCAGCTTTTGATGATTATAAACAAGGCCACTATAAATATTCATGACAGGTGTTTGTGTGTTCATAAGTTTGTATTGCTCTTGAGTATATTTCTAGAAATGAAATAATTGTGTTGTATGTTAAATATTTGTTTAAATTTATAGGAAACTCCCAAACTGTTTCCTATGCCATTTTGTTGCCCACCAAGCAGAGCATGAGAGTTCTAGTTGCTCTACCTCCTTATCAGTATTGTCAGGTTTTAGTTTTGTTTTTTAATTCTGGCCATTCCAATAGGTACATAGTATTATTTCATTGTGGTTTTAGTTTGCCTACTCAAATGAACAACAATGTTGAGCATCATTTTGTATGTTTATTTGCCACCCATGTATCTTCTTTGGTGGAAGGTCTGTTCAAATTCTTTTCCTATTTTTGTCTTTTTTAAAATTAATTTTAATTTTAATTTTAAGTTCCGGGGTACATGTGCAGGATGTGCAGGTTTGTCACATAGGTAAACGTGTGCCATGGTGGTTTGCTGCACCCATCAACCCATCACATAGGTATTAAGCCCCGTGTGCATTAACTATTTGTCCTGATGCTCTCCCTCCCCGCACCCACCACCGCAGGCCCCAGTGTGTGTTCCCCTCCCTGTGTCCATGTGTTCTCGTTGTTCAGCTCCCACTTATAAGTAAGAACATGCAGTGTTTGGTTTTCTGTTCCTGTGGTGGTTGGCTGGCTGAGGATAATGTCTTTGCCCATTTTTTTATGAGTTGTTTGTCTAACTTTTGAGTTTTGAGAGTTTTAAAAAATATATATGTTCATACAAGTCCTTCATTGGATATGTATTTTGTGAATATCTTCTCCTGGTTTGTGGCTTATCTTTTCATTTTCTTAACAGTATCTTTTGCAGAGAAAAAAAAAAAAAAAAGCAAAACATTTTGTTAAAGTTCAATGACATTCCAGTAGCAAGGAGTACACACAGTACCCAAATCTTGATTTCAAATTACCGTTCTTCAATAAGAGTAACCAGAACTCCTTGGAGAAATGACTGATTCCAGGACTGGGACAGGGGAAATACAAGAAGAGCCTGAAACAACTTGTGGCATCAGAAAGTAAAAGTGCTAAAAAATTGTGGGGACATGTTGAAAGGACATGGGAGCCAACTCAAAGGAACTCTCAATAGCCAAATCTGGGACAATATATGCAACAAAACAAACAATGAAGTAATACAATAAGATAAATAGAACAAGACAAATATCCACAAATACATACTACTATAAACAAATAATTGAATAAGATAATAAATGAAAGAAGAAGGAAAAGTTTTTTTCATAGAATTTCCATTAGTAAACATAGAAGGAATGATGAAAATAGAAAACCATCACTTGGAAAACACTATAGTAATAGTTATTTCAGGCAAGAATTATTAATAGATGTTAAAATTAATGGGCGAAAGCTTAAGCAAAAATAAGATGTTAGCATAGCTTAAATGTATCTCCCCCCAAATATTTACTAAATACAATGGGAAAATAGTGACTTTGCAGTGGAGAAATCTGGCTGACACTACCTTAACCAAATTAACTTCATTGGTAATGGGGTAAATTGACATCATGTGCCACCTGATATGATGCACTGAGAAGGGAAGAGTACCATTTCTATGGTTTTCTTGCCAAAAATGCATTACCTGAATTTAATCATACAGAACCATTATTCAAACTCAAATTGAGGAATATTATACAATATAACTGGCTGCTACTTTTCAAAGGTGTCAAATTCATGAAAGACAAAGAAAGATTGACAACCTATGTCAGTTTGGAGAAGACTAATGAATCATAACAACTATATGTCAGGCAGGATCCTAGATGGGATCCTAGCCCAGAAAAAAGACATCGGTGGGACAACAACATGATAATGAAATCTAAATAAAGTTTGTATACTTAGTAGTATTGTACCAGTGTTAATATTTTAGTTTTGACAAACGCACCATGTAAGAGGTAACATTAGGGGAAGCTGGGTGAAGGATATACAGAAACTCTCTGAACTATCTTTGCTATTTTCTGTAAATCTAAAATAATTTAAATATAAACACTTTATTTAAAATGGAAAAATAATCCAACAACTTTTAAAATGGTTACATAAAGGAGGAAGGAGGAAACTGGGTAGAGGAGACAGAGATAGGAATTGGGTCTTCTGATAGATCTTGTTTTATAAATTTAACTTTGCAATCATGTAAGTGTTTTACATAATTCTAAACAAAATTAAATTTAAAAAGCATGCCCTAAAAATAAAAACCAAAATAAAACAAACAAAACTAAGGGTATAGCAAGTTAGTGGCAAAACATTGAGAAGAAATATTTCAAACGGCTTTAAGCTACAGTAATTTAACTATTCCTAGTGAGATATACTATGGACAAAAAAAGAAGCTAAAAAATTTGGTTGTATCTTATGGGCCAGAGCTGGATCAGATGGCAACCCTCAGCTGTAAGAGACTATGGAAAAGTATTTGACTTTCCACTCTAGAATGAGGTGGCAAGGGAGAATGGGGTTGGGAATGGCTTTGGGGTGGCCAATCAGCAGTGCCAGCCAGTGTTATCTATTTGAACAACCTCTTCTCTCTCCACTCACCTTGGATTGGAGTAGGTAAATTTTTTTCCCAATATCAGATAAAATGGTAATGGCAGCAATGCCTCAGCATCAAGTATTCTATAGCCACCTTACTGAGGTTGGGGTAGCTGCCATGACACAGTTGGGCCACAAATCTTGAACCATCTCTTCTCTCTCTGACCAATGGAGGAGAAATTCCAAGTTTGTTATCAATGTTTCTAAGCTGTCATCTACATGCTAACAGTGGAATACTGCTTCTATTACTTATCTTTATGCTGAAGAAAATGTTAAAGACTTTTGCATTTTATAGCAAGGCTCGTGATTTTAAAAGAAAGAGTAATATAAGCCTAAAGTATGGAAAGATGCATGATGTGTAAATTCAGACATCATTATGTAAATGCATATGCATGTAATAAATCCAGAGATGGCTGACGATATTTTAGAAATATTATAGGCCAATTATTTTGACATCCTGCAGGAGTTTGATAAATTGTGAAATATATGTTATAGTATACAGAGTGGCTTGTTAACGAGATGTCTTTCGCTAGAAAATATTTTAGTGGAGAAACCATCCATCAGCACATTTCCTGCTTTGTTCTCTTAACTTGACTTTACAGGCACATTTAGTGGCAGGCGAAAAAAAAAAAATGGGAGGAAGCCTTATATGTTTGCGTAGAGGCTTGTGGTGGTTTCATAAATGTTTTTCTCATTGGATACTTAAAAAATTCAGTGAAATCTTTGAACCTCAGCTCACGTTCCCATTTTATAAATTAGCAAACAGGGGCTCTTGGAGTTTTAATGATTTGCTCAAGGTCAGGCGGGAGGCACACCTGGACTAGAAGCCTATATCCATTTAGTGGACTCTGTAACACTTCCATGCTTCTTTCACTCTTTTATCAGATCAGGTTAGTTTGAGATGATCCAGCACCCTTAGATGAGTGAACAAAAGCACACAAAGACTCCAAGATTATTGGTGCCATGTCAAGAGATGGAGTGTAATGCTAAAGATAAAAGGTGCATTTTTAGCTAATGCCTGGGTGGCAAATTGCTAAGTGGGTAAAAATCAAATCTCCCAAAGACTCTTCTATCACTACTGTTTCTGCAGGTGACTGGGGACAGTGTTTCTATTCAGAAATGCATGTTGATGGCAAAGTGTCAGAGTGTCAATGCAGTGAGAGCATCAGGAGATTACTGATCTGTTGGGTGACATAGGATGAATCACTTCACCTGTCTGGGCCTCAGAGTGGATTATTTCTCAGGTTCATACATAGTTCTAATATTCCATAATTCCTTACTTGGACTTGCAGTGAAGATGAGAAAATTCTAAACCAGGGGACTGTTAAGAATTCAGCTGTTTATGCCATAGATTTCTTTGTGGACATATGGGCCTCACCTGCAGAGTTTAAGGACTGACAGAGAATTTTCAGTTCCCATTAGTAACTGGAGAGTACAGCTGAATTAATGAAGCTAATACCTTTGCTAGGAATTTTAAATAGTACACTTAGTGCTTTCTCTGTTGGCCTCTCCAAAGTGTCATGAATGATTTTGTAAGTGTAACGTGTGACATGACGAAATGTGTTACCAAAGGGTAAAGTGTGACGTGGGTAGGAGAACAATACTCTGGCAGACACAGTGGCCACATGTAGGAATCACTTGGGGAGCTTTTTCAGATCATTTGTAATTGAGGTTTAAAATAATTAATGAATGAGTAAATACACATACAGCAAAAATCTTGTGTACAACATAATGAATTTTTACGTATGTATCCATATGTTATTCAGGTCAAGATACAGATCATTCTCAGCACCTCCAAAGAATACCTCCCATTCAATGCCCTCCTCCAGGGCTTATCACTGTTCTGACCTCTATTATCCTGAAGAGTTCTGCCTGTTTTTGAACTTCATATAAGTAGTACCATATAGTAGGTATTTGTGTCTGGCTTCTTACCTTCAACATTATAAGATTCATCCATGCTGTTCTATGTATCAGAGGTTTATTCTTTTCCATTGCTGCATAGTATTCTATGGCATGAATCTACTACACTTTATTTGCCCATTCTGCTGTTCGTGGACATTTAGGCTGTTTTCAATTTTTGTATTATGGTAAATGAAGTTGCTGTGAGTATTTTGTGCATGTCTTGTGGTGGACGTGAGCACTCATTTTAGTTGGGTGTGGATTGCCTGGGTCATAGGGTAAATGTCTGTTTACTCTATAAGAAACTATCAAGAAGTTCTCCACAGTGGTCATACCAATTGACATTCTCACATCCCACCTGCAGTGTAAGAGAGTTCCAGTAGCTACACATTCTTGCCAACATTTGGTATTGCCCCCACCCCACCTGTCTTTTAATTTTTGCTATTTGGTTGGTGTGTAGTTGACTGTGAACTATTAAGAATATCGATGTTTGAGCCCTACCCCAGCCAATTGCCTCATAATTTCTGAAGGTGGGTCCAGACATACGTATCATTTGGAATCTCACTTGGTGATTCTATGCACAGTGAGGGTAAAGGCCTCTGTGTCCCAGCGTTAAGGCCTAGGCTTGTTTCTCTCTTATCATCTTAGTCCCAAAGAGGCAAATCCATTTATTGCCCCAAATAGGTAAATCATTCCTTGTCCACAGATCTGAAAAGGAACTGAGGTTTTTCTTCTGGGTTTTTGCCTTCTAGTTCTCCTTTTCTTTTGTTCTCCAGAAGTCAGGGAGTACAGGGCCTTTCCTCCTCCCTCTGGTAAATCCAGCTAGTGGAACAAAGTTGTCATCAGTTAAACTCACGGAGGATCAAATTAATTGCCTTATTCCTCTCCCAATCCCTGAACATTGGAATGGAAGGCTTTGTCCTATGCTAATAGATTTTATTCATTAGGAAATGTAAAGTGTGAGGATGGGGCAGAGAACTCTTTCAGGGCTCCTGACAGCAACTTACCACAAGGATAGCCACATTCTTACTAGATTGGTGCAAAAGTAATTGAGGTTGGCAAAAACCGCAATTACTTTTGCACCAACCTAATAACTTCTTACAGTACAGAAATTTACCTCCTTTTGGCATTTCTCTACCTGATTATGCTGAAGGACCATCATTCTCTTTTCCATCTTTTAGTGTTTTGAATTGACCTCACTTAAAAGAAATTTTACAAGCAACATGTCCCATTTCATTGATTCATCTGAATTAATAAGAACAGCTAGTATTTATTTAGCAGTTACTGTGGGCATGATCCCCTGCTATGTGCTATGCATGCATTCTCTTTTAAAACAAGTCAATGAGCTCGGGAGCTGTTATCAAGCACATTTGACAGATGAGGAAACAGGATTTGAGACCTAACATAACTGGGATTCAAACCCTTGCATTCTGACTTCAGAGATGAAACTGTTAATCACTAATTTTACAACCTGAGGTTTGAGAGCTGTTTATGGCTTAGCATATGAAAGACAGGCTATGGACTTCTCTGAGTTATAGGTCTCTTGGAAAGAAAAATGTCAGGTAATGGCGGTGTCTTAAATTATGGAGCAACAAGGAATGGAAGAAGGGTCAAATGCGGCCTTTATATATCCTTAAAGGATTGCCACTCAGCCTGATTAATTTTCAGAAGAGAATAAAAGAGAACAGAAAAAGCAACTGGGAAGTCATACAACCTTTTTCATTCTTCACTCTTTGTAGATGATGTTATCCAGGACTGGAACTAAACCTCTAAATGGGGATGACTCCAAAATTTTTATCCAGCATAATTCTTGAGTTCCTCCAACTGCTTACTTGATCCCCTCACTTGGATGTCTCACAGGCACCTCAAATATAACTGTAGGGGAAGAATAAACTCCATATCATCTTAGTTGGAATGGGCCCCTTTAACAAAAAACAGATTAACAAGAGAAAAACAGACAGAAGTTCATTAACATGTATATTTCACAAATACATAGGAGACACCCAGGGAATGAATAGTTCTCAAAGAAGTGACTTCAAGTTGCAGCTTATATAGCATCTTCAACAAAGAACAGTAAATTTCTGGAGAAGTGAAAAGACCAAAGAAAAAGTCTTTGAGTCTCTAAGACAAATAACTGGCAGAAAACGGCTAGTTAATGTAGAGTTCTCTGTTACCATCTTCAGGCCAATAAGGGTCTAGAGTTGTCTTCAGTGGTTAACCTTTGTTCTCCCTGGTAGAGAGGGGAGGCAGGATACCTTTTGTCTTTGTAAATCTATGTCTTGCTTTTAGGCAAATAGAGGGAGGGCAGAGAGCTTTCTTTACTCCATCTGCTTCTTAATTGTCTTTAGCTCAATAGTCCTTCAAATTTGGGGACAGCATAGTTTAGTCTCCCATAGTCCCCCCATTGAAACTTTATTTTTAGAAAGTTTGCACATATTAAAAGTAGGATTATTAGCCATGGAAAGACTTGGGTTAGAAGTTGCCAAATAAGGGATTGGCAAAGGGAGAGAAAAGCATAGATTGGAACAAGCAGAAAAGAACAAACTTGGCCGGACCCAGTGGCTCACGCCTGTAATCCCAGCAGTTTGGGAGGCCCAGGTGGGCAGATCACCTGAGGTCAGGAATTCAAGAGCAGCCTGGCCAACATGGTGAAACCCTGTCTCTACTAAAAATACAAAAATTAGCCAGGCGTGCTGGTGGCGCACCTGAAATCCCAGCTACTTGGGAGGTTGAGGCTGGAGAATCGCTTGAACCCAGGAGGCGGAGGTTGCAGTGAGCAGAGATTGAGCCATTGCACTCCAACTTGGGTAACAAGAGCAAAACTCTGTCTTAAAAAAAAAAAAAAAGAAAAAGAAAAGAAAAGAACAAACTTGAGTACATTGTCTCATTTCTTATTGAATCAGTCTCAGTCCTGAGAATAGATCAGTTCAGTTAAATAGTTGTGTTTCATTTGAAGAAGTGGTATTTCAGGTGAGCTCCTATCAAAGTTAGGCCTCTATAGTGTGTGAGCAAACAGGTATTTAATAAGAGGCATTTCTATGGAAACAAAAGAAAAACAACGGTTAATAGAACAAACTATAAACTCAGTTTTTAATTCCAGATGGCAGCCAATTGAGAAGATTTCTAGGTCTGAGCACAAAGTGTCTTTAGTTGGACTGAGGGCAGGCAGTGGCAATTTGATGGATTTTTCTGGTTTGCAGTTTGCATGAGGTATTCTGGTAAACTTTCTTCATGGCCCATAACAGCAATAAGCATGAAGGTTGCCCATACCTAAACTGTTGTGGTGGTTTCTTTGAAGTCTATATCAAGTCATCCAGCTTCAGCTTGCAGGGCTTTGAGAAAAGGGCAGTTTTTGTTCTTAGCGATTCTAAGTTAGAAAGATGGAAGAAAGTTAGAAATGTTAGTTTGGAGAGTCGCAATTAGATATTGGAGGAAACTAAAAGAATTCAGGATCCAGTTTAGTTTATAGATAGATACTAAAACCTCGAAAACAGTGAATAGGGGGCTGGGTGTGGTGGTTCATGCCTGCAGTTCCAGCACTTTGGGAGGCTGAGGCGGGAGGATTGCTTGAGCCCAGGAGTTCAAGGCTGCAGTGAGCTATGATTGCACCACCACACTCCAGCCTGGGCAACTGAGTGAGACCCCATCTCTAAAAAAACAAACAAAAAAAGCTAGAGTCTAATAATGACTGCACTACAGTCTTCTTCTGAAACATATTTTCCTCTCTGTATGGTCACCCCCATTTTTGCCAAAGACAATCGGAGTAGGATTAATTTATTTGCAAAATAAGTCTAGTCTCATTAAACTTGGCCTGATTATTTATATAAGTGCAGCAAGAATAGTGATTGACCATCTACACTCCGCTTTCCTGGAAGATTTCATATGAAATCTCAGGTTAAACTTTTAAAAGCCTCTTGAGGCTAAGAAACCAAGCCTAGGACTTGCCATCAGACTTTGCCTGCAATGCTTATTGATTTGGGTGAATTCCTCTCTTCTTTCTGTCTCCAAGGTATCTTGAGGTTCCTGGGCCTTCTAGGAAGTGGCATTCTTTACCCACCTGTAACGCTGGAAACGCATTTAAATTGGGTACCAAGGCAGTTTTTCTGGGGGGTCAGGGAATGGTTATTGTCTCCATGAAGTTAACCTTAGTTCCTTAAAAACTGATCATATCTAGTTCTATGCACATTCTCAAATATGATGTTCTAGTCAAATGCCTTGGTAATATAATCAATGTTTCCAATTATGTCCTGTTAAAAAAGAAAACAGATTCTTATTGAACTTATGCAAATAACTACATTGCCATAAAAACAGAATACCCACTAATAGCTTCTGAATTCTGGAGGGATCAGGTAGGGAGAAAAAGTCAATATTTTAATTCTCTTTACAAAAGTATAATTTGCCAAATTGTTATAAGCTATAGATAGCTTAAAATAAAAGAAAAAGTTTTCTTAAATCTAGAAAACACCTGTAATCCCAGCAGTTTGGGAGGCCAAGGCGGGTGGATCATGAGGTCAGGAGTTTGAGACCAGCCTGACCAACATGGTGAAACCCCGTCTCTACTAAAAATACAAAAATTAGCCAGGCATGGTGGCGTGTGCCTGTAATCCCAGCTACTCAGGAGGCTGAGGCAGGAGAATTGCCTGAACCCGGGAGGCGGAGGTGGTAGTGAGCTGAGATCGTGCCACTGCACTCCAGCCTGGGCAGTAGAGCGTGACTCCATCTCAAAAAAAAAAAAAAACAAACCTAGAAAAACATTAAAGAATCAGTGCAGTTTTAAACAACAAGTTTACAAGAAAACATAATTCTTTTTCAACAGTTCATTTGGTCCCATGTAATTAACTCATATTCTGCTTGATATTGGGTTAGTACTTTTATCAACCAATCAGTTTCTTCATTGGAGTTCTAGAAATTCTCCCCAGTTCAATGGTATGATCTTAGAGTTATTAGAAACCTGTACTTGTCAGAGTCCTTTCCATGAATCTCCTTGAAGATGAAACACTTCAGGGTTATAGTTGCTTGCAAAAGCTTTCATGAAAGAACCAGAGTAAAACAATTGACGGTGGATGACAAGACTTAAAATGGCAATGGTGAAAGATCAGATAAAAGTTCATTATAATGTAATTGGCAAGGAAATTTTATTTCTGTGAAATACAATATTTTGAGATAATAACTAAAATTATGACTGAAAACATTATGTCAGGATGTATCAGATTTCTAGGAGTTACATACAGTTACTGAAGTGTCATTTTAGCAACATGTAGAAGCTTTAGCATCACTTGTTATTTGACAATACTTTCCATACAATTTAACATGTAAAATAAACTTAATTAGTTTAACATCTCTCTTTGTATTAATATAAGGAGATAGAACAAATTCTTTTGTGATATTCCTGGGGCCCATCTAAAAAATCCCAAAGTTAATTTGAGGTTAAAAAGACTTAATTTAGAATTTGCCTTTGGGAGGTTGTCAAAAATGTCAAAAAGTTTAAAACAGTTGATTAAAGAAGATCACAGGTCACTGTGAAACAATAGTCATTCATGTAACCAGAGTGATAATTAAAAGACTTCAAAGGCAAATACAGAAAGTTAAATAGTTGTAGAAAAAAACCTTGGCTATTTTAGTAGAGGGGACTCAGTTTTCTTAAGTCACCAAAGACCTGATAAAAGACAACATGAAGCAAAGGAAATTATTTTGATAAGACATAAAATCTTTGTTTTCTAGCCAGCTCACTCAAAAGGTAAAGAAAACCTTTCAAGAGAAGACCAATGCTCCAAAAAACCTTTGTCCTTTTAACAGAGAGAAAACCAGCTTCTAGTTTTATACCAATGTACTTTTAATATTAAGGCTCATTTTTTTTTTTTTTTTTTGGAAACGGAGTCTCGCTCTGTCGCCCAGGCTGGAGTGCAGTGGCGCGATCTCGGCTCACTGCAACCTCCGCCTCCTGGGTTCAAGCGATTCTCCTGCCTCAGCCTCCCGAGTAGCTGGGACTACAGGCGCCCTCCACTACGCCCGGCTAATTTTTTTGTATTTTTAGTAGAGATGGGGTTTCACCGTGTTAGCCAGGATGGTCTTGATCTCCTGACCTCGTGATCCTCCCCTCTTGGCCTCCCAAAGTGCTGCGATTACAGGCGTGAGCCATCGCGCCCGGCCTATTAAGGCTCATTTTTAAAACATTTATAATACATTAATTCCATTTTAGCCATGAGATATTCTCTCTCTTTATCTCTCTCTTCCAGCTTTCTATATGCATTCAGTTTTTGTCCTTCATTCTCCTTTTTCATCCTAAAACAATCTGTCAGCCTATTTTAGCATAGAATTCATTACTCTCTTTTCTTTAGCAAAAATATATCCTCATACCTTACAACTTTCCTTATCAAAAATACATCTTATCTTCCTTGTATATAGAGCTGTTTCTCTTATAATTTCTAGTAGTTTTAATCACATGTATTAATTCGAATTCTTAACTCTTAGTCATTTTAATTTCTAAAAGTATGTGCTCCCTCATATTACCATTTTTCAATGTGGCACAGGACATGTTTGCTAATAGGCTCAAATATCTTTAGTTCTTCTTATAATAAGATGCCAAAAGTGGTAAAGCTTATGTAAGCAATTATCAGCATTTTATCTTATTTGGAAATGGTCTAGATATTCAATAGGTATCTGCTATTTAACTTACTGACACTCTAAGGGTGTAAGTTACCAAAGAGATTTGGAAATCTGCTTTTAAATAGACATATTATAAAATATAATTAACGTTAGGCTGGGCGCAGTGGCTCATGCCTGTAATTCCAGCACTTTGGGAGGTCGAGGTGGGCAGATCACTTGAGGTCAGGAGTTCAAGACCAGCCTGTCCAACATGGAGAAACCCTGTCTCTACTAAAAATACAAAAATTAACCAGGCATGTTGACTCATGCTTGTAATCCCAGCTACTCAGGAGGCTGAGGCACAAGAATTGCTTGAACCCGGGAGGCGGAGGTTGCAGTGAGCTGAGATTGTGCCACTGTACTCCAGCCTGGGCAACAGGGTGAGACTCTGTTTCAAAAAAAAAAAAAAATATATATATATATAATATAATATATAATATAATTAATATAATATAATATAATTAAAAAGCACATTTATAAATTCCATCCCACTTACATCTATTTAATTTACCTATTCATAACAATTATGCTTGGATTGCTCATGAAAATTTCATGAGACATTACACAAAGCTAGCCATCATCTCAAGTTATTTCCCTCTTAACTTTTTTACAGCATGTGCATGTTAGGCAGTCATCACCAAAGCAAGAACCTGAAAGTTAAATACATGTTTTTTTTCTGCTGTGCTTGATATACATGGAGTAATGAGCACTACACATCCACTTGCACATTTGTTCTTAGGTTGATCTCATAGTTTCATAATCTTAAACCTCTAGTAAAGATAACATAAACTTATTTGAGTAGTGAATCCAGGTAGAACAAGAATAAAAATGTTAATTTTCATATTATTTTTAAAGCGGATAACTTGTAAGACACAGCTGTTTTTATTAAACCAACAATGTTGAACTAGTCTTATTTACTAAAGATTTACCCATGTCATGTGAACTTGAAAAGTTTTTGGGTTAGTTCCTATATTTCTAGAAGTTTTAAGAATATGTAATTTACACTTATTTTTCTTTAAGCCAACTAAATAGGGCTCTTTTACAAATTAATTTTGGCAATACCATCTGCAGGTAGAAAATATGCATACATAACACAGAAACATATACACATATGTAAACATACCTACACATCCAGATAGGCACAAAGACCTTATAGTTTTCATGCTAAAACTTTAACTATGTGCCAGGTACAGTAATACAAAAGTCACTAGCTTATAAAAGAAAAGCTGGAACCAAATTATGTTTTTGGCAAATGGGACAAATTAAGGTTACCTGCTCAGATAGCCAAAGCTTTTTCTAATATTTGTGGAAAACACCTTTGAGGTTTTTCATTTGCCCAATTTCCAGAAAGCTTTTTTCCTTCTGATGAGTCATCTCACTGAAGTTAGCACTTTAAAAGGGATGGCTCTCAGTTAAGATGAGGTAGAAAATTCAGTTTCAAAGGCACACACAAAGAATACAAGCTTTCCTCCAAGAAGGAGTCTTGGGGCAAATTGCTTAACATCAGAGGTCAATCCCATGGAGGCTGTGGACTAAATTTTAGGTACCAGTTTATTTCTAATTAATCTTTTTCCTTTTCAGCTTCAAGTAGTTGCTTTTTGCGGCCCCAAAGTCCTTGGAGAGCTGGATCCTAAAGTCCAAGTGACTGAGGCTTAGAGGAACCAATCTGGGGAGATCTTAAGTTTTCTAAAGGAGCCAATGAAGTTCCATATTGTTCTTAAGAAAAATTGTGCCCACAAGAAAAGAAGCAGACAGAGGGGTCAGATAACATAGTCAGCAGGGATTGAAGAAGAGGGGTTTCAGTTCACAAAGAAGTTCTTACAGGAGAAGCAGTATCAGATGGAGAGAACAGAGTGGCCTCTTAAAGAAAATTGCTTCTGCTGGGTGTGGTGGCTCACACCTGTAATCCCAGCACTTTGGGAGGCCGAGGCGGGTGGATCACAAGGTCAAGAGATCGAGACCAGCCTGGCCAAATAGCAAAATCCCATCTCTACTAAAAACACAAAAATTAGCCAGGCGTGGTGGCGGGCGCCTGTAACCTCAGCTGCTCGGGAGGCTGAAGCAGGAGAATCACTTGAGGTCAGTCAGGCCATTGCACTCCAGCCTGGGCTACAGAGCGAGACTCTGTCTCAAAAAAAAAAAAAAAGAAAAGAAAAGAAAAAGAAAATTGCTCCTTTCAAGCTCTGATGATCAGAAACCAAACTTTTAAGTGAAACTTTCTAAACCAAAGGCATATCTACCAAGTGACTCTAGACTAAAACCAATAAGCTTTTTATGGCTTAACCACAGGCATAAAAGGCATCTCCAAACAGGTGAAAAGACGCAGCCCTCTCAAGATCCAGAGCCACTCCCAAAGACAGTCGGAAGAAAGAAAGACTTAGACTCTTTGAGAGCTGGCAACAGTCAGTATACTAGCTGCAAATGGGGTACAACCCACATTTATATCCAGCCTTTCGGTGGGCTGCCTGCATATGCAGGACTGATAACCCATGTGCCCTCAACAGGCAAAAAGCCAAGCCAAGTTCTCAGGAAATAAAATGAGACAAAAGGGAAAATAATAGCTGTCCATGGGAGGGAAGAGATCAATAACAAACGTATGCCTCAAGACCAAAAGTCACAATTCAAGCTAATTCTCATAAAAGTTTTTCTCCTGCCAATCTGAATTTGAAAAGAAAGGGCCAGGAGAAATTTTTGCCTCCTTCTCTCAACTGAGCACTATAGACAGAGAGAGATCTAGGAGAGCTGACTTTGGTAACAATTTCTTACCCTTTTGCTAGCTTCAGCCAGTTTTCTGAGGATCCTATCTACAGGCCCTGGAACGAGTGGGATGTCCCAGAAAAGTCTCACCTTCATCGCTGGAACGGTAAAGGAAGAATAACCCTTATAGGTTCTTAGTTGGATTCGACCCCTTTGACAAAAGACAGATTAACAAGAGAAAAACAGAACTTTTAAAACATGTATATTTTCCATGTACATAGGAGACACCCAGAAAGTGAGGAGTTCTCAAAGAGGTGGCTTTGAATTCCAGCTTAAATAGCATCTTCAGTAAAGAATAGTAAACTTTTAGAGAAATTAAAAGTCAAAGGAAAAGGATCTTGAATCTCTATGGGTGTGGCAACTTGTGGAAAGGCAAACTGCAGTTAAAGGCTAGTAAGTAAAGCTCTGGTACCATCTCTTGGCCAGTATGGATCTGCCATTTTCTTCAGTGATTAATCTTTGTTTTTCTTGGTAGAAGGGGTGGAGGCAGGATACCTTTTGTCTTCGTAAATCTATATCCTGCTTTTAGGCAAGTAGAGGGAGGGCAGAGAGCTTTCCTGCATCTGCTTCTTCTTAATTATCTTCAGCTCAACAATCCTTCATATTTGGTGTTCTGGTCCCCCATATAACATTGCCTGGAATGGAATTTTTGACTCCCTCTCCTGTCCCCCAGTAATCTGTTCCTCTTATAGTATGCTGTACTCAGTAAATCTCACCTTCACCCACCACAACTTAAGCCCCAAACTGGAGTAACCTTGTCATTTCCCCTTTCCTTCTCTCACATTATACCATCACTAAGTCCTATTGATTCTGGTTCTAAAATATATCCCAATTCTATCCCAACTGTCTGCTTGAATCCTGGCTCTCTTATCATGGGAAAGTTTCTTGAACTCTGTTCCTCAGTTTCCTCATCTGTAAAATGTAGTCGATAGTACCTACCAAATAGGTTGTTGTGAGGAAAGTTAGCATTATTCTTTCTCAAAACCACACACTTGTCCAAGTCACAATGATCTCTTCCTTGGGCTTCTGTAATCACCTCCTAACTGGTCTCCCTACAACCACTGATGTCCTTAGGACCCATCCTGTAAAGCAGTGGATCTCAACTGGGGCAATACTGTCCCCTAGGGGACACTTGGACATGCCTGGAGACATTTTTGCTTGTCACAACTGGGGAAGGCGTTACTACTGGCATCTAGTGGGTAGAGGCCAGGGATGCTGCTAAGCCTCCTACAATGTACAGGACAGCCTCCCACAACAAACAATTATCTGGCCCCAAATATCAATAGTGCCCACGTTGAGAAACTCTGCTCTAAAATGATGATCTTTCTTAAACACAAATAAAGTCAGTCTGTTCCCCTGTTTGCATCCACCCAGTAATTCCCCATAGCTCTTGGATAAAGCCCAAATCCTTAACATGGCACCCCCAGGCCCTGGGATACGGCTCACTGATCCTCCTTCTTGATCTAATTTACCTTTTCAACTACAGCCAAAGATCTAAGATTCCCTGTAAACCAACCCCAGCTGCAGACTCCCAGGCCCTGGGATCCAACCCACTGCTCTAGCCTTATCTCACACTACTGTCACCTGCCTTCTCTTCACCCTGCTAGTTTACCCTGATCCAGCCACATGGGTATTCCTTTGGTTTCCCAAGAAGACCAAATACTTGGCTGCCTCAAAATCCTTACACAGGCTCTTCCGGCTGCTGGAACCGTGCCTGCCTAGCTGTGCTTGGATAGCTTCCCTTCCTCATGGGAATTGGGTGGAATTGGCTGTTTTGGGCTGGTGGAAGAGAGCCCTTGAGATGGAGCAATCCATTGCACTTGCTACCACGTGGTGACCAATTTACTAGAACATCCTCTGCTGGTTCCTCCTTCCCTGCCTCAAGCAGCACTCAGTGCATTCAGCAGGCACTTCTCTTCTGTGGCCATTAATTTAGAGCAGCTCCTTCAGCAATTATAGAGGATTCCTGTGAGGTTAGGAGGGTGAGGTGGAAGGCTAGACCTCCCTGAAAGCCCTCACCTGGAGGTAGTAAAGGGGAAGCCTGATGGATAAATCAATTCTTCAGACTGTTCTCAGAGAATTAAAAATTATGTTAGTTACCAACATTTACAGATCCAGAAAATTACCACGAACACCAGGATTCCATTTATCTCCTTCACTGGAAGATCTAGAGGCGCATGCTTACTTCTTCATGCGGCAATAATCAGCAATTGCTGATCCTGGCTCCCCTTTCAGTGGAGCTCCCACAGCCCCCACCTAGCCTGCTTTGCACAAGTGCTTTACTGCTTACCCTTAGTTTGTCATGCTGCATTGAAACCCCAATGTCAATCCAGAGCCTGCAGTGCTAGAGGACTTTGTCTCTGCAGGACTGCCAGCCCATGCCACTGAGCCTTTGCTACCCACATTTAGGGAAAGTATAAACAGCCCACAGGGCCTATGTCTTCTACTTCTTGGGGTGTTCTTTGTTTCCCTTCTGACTGGGGTTAGTCTCCTGGGTCCTATTGCAAAGACACTCTGTGCCTTCATTTCTACTTAAAGTCATTAGGAGACTGATTTGAGACTGGCTGGAAAACAAGTTTATTCTGCCATCTCAGCCCAAGTGACCTGCACAGGACAGCTTGATCAATCCTTCCAAAGCTGTCTGGGTCTCGTAAACACATTTTGTTATATTGCAAAGCAAAGCATAAACATTTCTAGCAAACATTAGCGCCCACCAGCTATGTAACCCTACATGGCATTCGATGGGTCAAATTTCTTTAACTTCTCTGGGTTCTAGAGTCTTGACCTCCTGATCATTTCTAATGCGCATTCTGTTGGTGGCAGTTCCCCTGCTCCCCAGGCAGGTAGAAGATGAAGCTATGTGTGTCAGTTCACCTGGAGTCCACCTCCCTCTCCGGGAGATTACTGTGGCTGAGAGCCCCCAATGGCACAGCTTGAGCAAATGCAGGGCTCTTCCCACTGTATTCTCAATTCCAGGCCGGACTTCCACAGGATCTTTTCCATCTCTATAACTGAATTCATGTTGATCACCTTGATTCTGCTCTGAGCTTACCAGAGTTCAAGGCTCCTCCACCATTTTTCAAAAAATCATCCATGCAGGCTGGTTGGGTTGGAGATTTTATACAGCTTTGGGGCTCACATAGAGGAGGGTTTTACATGCATCCTGCACAACTCTCCATTGCCTCAGAAGCTCTTAGCTGATTTCTCCACCCCCGACCCCTGTCTCTCTCCACCAAATGTTAGGCAAACTTCCAAATTCTCTAACAAAAAGCAGGCCTTCTGGGTCTTCCCATCACTTGCGACTTCCCTAGGAATTCTCATGAGCAAAATTCTCTGTCTCACACTGAAAGACAACATCATGGGAGGTGACATCACCTTTCAGCTCAGGTGGTTTTTGTTTGTTTGTTTTGTAAAAGAGATAATATATTGATTGTAGAAAGTTCTGGAAATCCCAAGAAAATAATTAAAATAAGATTTAAAACATCAACTGCTATCCTTCCACCCAGGGATAATCTCACATTTGATGTTTTGGTATACTTCCTTTCTTTCTCTTTTTTTTTTTTTTTTTTTTAGTTTCTTTCTTTCTTTCTTTTTTTTTTTTTTTAATTTTACTTTAAGTTCTGGGATACATGTGCAGAACATGCAGGTTTGTTACATAAGTATACATGTGCCATGGTGGTTTGCTGCACCTATCAACCCGTCATCTAGGTTTTAAGCCCCGCATGCATTAGGTATTTGTCCTAATTCAGCTCAAGTATTAAGTCTTTCTGAAAAATCGCTAACTTGTACCAAACTGCAGATTTCATTCGTTCTAAGGTATATATCCCCCTTGCTGTACATTTGACATCTGTGAAATTGGATGTGCATTATGATTGATAGTAGGTCAGAAATTAATTTTTGGTATGCTTTTCTTAGTGGTATATGAATTTTTTGTGGATCTTACAGTTAATGTCATCTTAGATTTTCTGAACTACAGTAACATTAACATCTTGCTCAGAAAATGTTTTCTTGAGATAGAAACAAAAGAGCCCCTGTCTGAAAGTTGTGTAGAGATGAACTGTGGGAAGGGATCAGGGTCTAGGGAGAGGCAATAGTATCTGCAAGGTACTTGGGGTGGGAAGAGAATGGCCTGTCCAAGAAGTTAAAAGCAGTTTTGGGGGAAGGAGAACAGACAGCAAAGGTCATGTCCTCTGTGAGGCCTTCTCTGCCTTGCCCAGCATTTGAGGATAACTTCCTCCTTTACAGTCACTCTGCACTGAAGCTTTTCGCCTCCCATTTAATGCTTGACTTCTTACAATTGTACTCTTAGCACAGTACCATACATAGAGAATATCCTCAGAAGTCTGCAGCTGTGGTTGGTTTACAGGGAATCTTAGATCTTTGACTGTAGTTGAAAAGGTAAGTTAGATCAAGAAGGAGGATCAGTGAGAGATGGTTCTGTGCCCTGGTCCTTATTCTCAGGCTTCTTATGGGGAAGGGCAAAGAATGAAAACCTTTTGGGAAATAAAAATTAGATGTTGGAGGTTTAAAACCAGAAATTCCTGAAGGTGCTGAGGTCTGCATGTGTTTGAAGAAATATAGACAATTATGAAAGTCTATGCTGGGTATCTATGGATTATTAGCTCAGTGGGCTGGGTAGTGGTAAAAGGTCAAGGTCTTGGATGTCATTCCCATAAGGACTATGAACTTTGTTCTGGTCTCCACATTCTGTATTTCCATGAAAGCTGGCCAGACTTAGTTATTTAACTCAGGCTAGCTATCTCATCCCACTTGCTGAGATCCTGGACACAATGGAGAGTGGATGAGCGATTGGTGAATTAGGTGGATCCATCTCCCCTAGGAGGTTAACAAAATATGTCTTAAATCATGTAGCTACTAGGGCAGAAGGGATTTTTTTTTTCACCAGTTCCCGGGAAGGAAACCAAAGCAGACCAGATATTAGACCCTGAAAATGGCAGATTTTCTTTTTCACAGAATGGCTCTTTTTGATGGTCTTTTGATGCATGCCATTTGTGGGGAGGGGTGAAGGCTGTGAGTATAGGGCAACATCTGGACATGGTAGAAGCTTTTCTGTCTGCCCTAAGTGTAAAAGTCTGCTGTATGTTACTCTAGCAGACAGGGAAAGGCTTCTAAACACTGGGCTTTCCAATTCATTCCAGTGAAATTTGGATTTTTGAGTGGATCACATGCTTTGAGACTCTAGGTGGTAGGAGTGCAGGTGGGGAAGAGGAAGAGACAGGAAATTCCATTTCTTTCACAGCATGCTAACTTGAGGATGCTTCTCAGGGCCAGCTTATCAGCAACCACTTTAAATTGACCATGATTTTATCCTTGCCTCTCTTTGTAAAGGTTTCTTTTTCAGAATTTTCAGCCAACAGCTTCCAAACTGTCATTTACAATTTACGGAAGGACAGAAAGTAGAATAGTCGTGAGCAAGCAGTATAATTATGTGCCAGGAAATGACATGGCAAATAGTCTAGCTTAGCAAGTGCTAGAGAGCTTCTTCCCTATCTTTTAGCTTCAGGCAGGAGCAGAACTATAATATCTGCTGATCTTTTTGCGACTTATGTTACACTTGAAGTGCAGATTACTAAGGAGTATTTGGTCTGGAAATCAGAACTGGGGCAGAAATTTATTTTTAAAAAAGCAAAGCAAGGGGTAATAGGAAGTTGAAAAGTAGGATGTTTACGTTACACAGTCATATGCTGCATAACAACATTTCAGTCAACAACAGACCACATGTATTATGGTGGTCCCTTAAGATTATAATGGAGCTAAAATTTCCTGATGCCTAGTGACGTCTTGATGATCCTGACTCTGTGTAGGCCTAGCCTAATGTGTGTTTTTGTGTCTCAGTTTTTAACAAAAGACATTCAAAATTTTTTTTAGAAAAACATAAAAACAGAAAAAAGTTATAGAATAAGAACATAAAGAAAACATTTTCGTACAGCTGTACAAGGTGTTTGTGTTTTAAGTGTGATTATAAAAGAGTCAAAATTAGTTTAATTAAAGAGTTTATAAAGTAAAAATTTTAAGTAAGTTAAGGTTAATTTATTATTTAATAAAGAAAAATTTTAATGCTCAACATTATCAGTCATTAGGGAAATGCAAATTAAAACCGCAGTGAGATACGATCTTACCCCAGACAGAATGGCCATTATTAAAAAGTCAAAAAACAATAGATGTTGGCATGGATGGGGTGAAAAGGGAATGCTTATACAGTGCTGGTGGGAATGTGAATTAGTAAAACCTCTATGGAAAACAGTATAAACAGTATGAGGATTTCTCAAACTAAAAGTAGGTCTACCATTCGATCCAGCAATCCCAGTACTGGGTATCTACCCAAAGGAAAAGAAATCATTCTATCAAAAAGACACCTGCATGCATATGTTTATCACAGCACAATCCACAATTGCAAAGATATGGAGCCAACCTCAGTGCCCATCAACTGATGAGTGGATAAAGAAAATATGGTATATATACACCACGGAATACTACTCAGCTATAAATAAGAAAAAAATGATGTTTTTTTTTTGCAGCAACTTGGATGGAGCTGGAGGCCATTATTGTAAGCGAAGTAACACAGGAATGGAAAACAAAATACCTTATGTGCTCACTTATAAGTGGGAGCTAAGCTGTGGGTACACAAAGGCATACAGGGTGGAGTAATGGACACTGGAGACTCAGAAAGGGGGAGGGTCTTTCTGAGACTCTCAGAAAGGCCTGAGGAGGGAGTGAAGGATAAAAAACTACATATGGGGTACAATGTACACTACATACACTACTTGTATGATGGATGCAGTAAAATTTTCAACTTCATCACTATGCAATTCATCCATGTAACCAAAAACCACTTGTACTCCAAACTCTATTGGAATTTTTAAAAAGAAAGAAATAAAAAAATACATTTAGTGTAACCTAAGTGTACAGTGTTCCAAAGTCTACAGTAATTTACAGTAGCATCCTAGGCCTTCACATTTACCACTCACTCACTGACTCACCTAGAGCAACTTCCGGTCCTGAAAGCTCCATTCTTGGTAAGTGCCCTATACAGGTGAACCATTTTGTATCTTTTATACGGTATTTTTATTGTGCCTT
This sequence comes from Homo sapiens, assembly GCF_000001405.40. Taxonomy (NCBI): domain Eukaryota; kingdom Metazoa; phylum Chordata; class Mammalia; order Primates; family Hominidae; genus Homo; species Homo sapiens. The sequence continues at coordinate 15,979,465 of NC_000023.11, forward strand.
TTCTATGTTTAGATATGTTTAGATACACAAATACTTCACATTGTGTTACAGTTTCCTACAGTAATCAGTACAGTACCATGCTTTCCAGGTTTGTAGCCTAGGAGCCATAGGCTGTGTACCATATAGCCTAGGTATGTAGTAGGCTGTCCCATTTAAGTTTATGTGAGTGCGCTCTATGATGTTCACACAATGACAAAATCACCTAATGATGCATCTCTTGGAACATATCCCTGTCCTTTATTGATGAGTGACTGTAATTGTGTTTATGTTGTGTTGTGCTATGCTGTGCTGTGGTATTCTATGCTTTGCTATGCTGTATTATGTAGCGTTATGTTTTATCTTATGTCATGAAATGCTATTGTGTAATCCAGTGGATCCTTAAAGTGAGGCCCCTGGTACAGCAGCAGCTGCATCACCTGGGCACTTGTTAGAAATGCAATTTTTTTGTGAGCCATCCAAGACCTACTGAATCAGAAACTCTGGGGCTGGAGCCCAGCAATCTAATGGATAAGTCCTCTGGGTGATTCTGAGCCATGCTCTAATTTGAACCACTAGTGTGTCATAGACGGCAAGTAAATCCTGCTTTGTTTTACTTATTTATCAGTTACAAATACAATTAGCTGCCAAAACAAGAAACAACAAGCCCCCAAAAAACCCAGCAAATAGTGGCTGTGTAAGTAAGAAAGAATTTTCTTATTCTCATAAAATAAGAATTAGCAAGGAAGCCAGTCCAGGCTGTTGTCCAGGGCTCAGGCATGATGTCTAGGGATTCACGATCCTTCTAGCTTCCTATCCTGCCATTCTTAGGAAGTGGCTTTTGCCCCAGAGTTGCAAGATGACTGCTGTAGTTCCAGGCATTACTTCTATGTTCCAGGCAAGGAAAAGAGGGAAGGACAAAGGGCTTCTCCTATTTTTCTTCAGGTAAAGTAACTCTGCTCAGGAATTTCTGCCTTTATCTCATGGTCAGAGCTATGCCAATATGGCTAATTCTAATAACACTGCAGGTTAAATCTACTTTAGCTTTCTGTCTTTATGATAGAGAAGGTCAAGGGAAAACGAATGGTGGTAAGAATAGTTTGGGGCAGGCCAATTCATACTATTGCCGTCAGCTTGCACCTTGCAGCTAATTCTGTTGCTTTCTTGTTTTTGGTTGAAATTCTTGGAGTAGGCTGTTATGACAAAAGTGAACATTTTAATGTTTAATAGGGAAATAGGATCAACAAATTATCTTTCCATTTACATTTTAATTCTGACAGCTAATTCACCAAGGAAAACTCAGGTTTTATGTACAACTAGCTATTTTACATTACGTTAAGGGTTTGGCCGGATTTGCCTTCTAGAGATGTAATGGAAGATTTGTGAAATAATGTAAAACAAAGCAAAATAAGAAATAATGTAAAATACTGCACAACTACACATATTTGGGCTAATTATATTGGCGAGTCTGAAAATTTGACTATTTCAAGATATGCATCTATTACTTCTTTAAAATATAAATAATAATTAGAATTAGGCTCCAGGGCTGTCTGTCACATATAATTTTCTTTTATTGTAATGCATAGATAATAATGATAGTTGGCTTATTTATAGTGAGAATTGTTTCTAAATTAGTATAGCAGTGTTAAAGCAATTTATAGGTCTCTGCAATCCTATTTATTTCTTGACAAAGCCATTCCTCTTGCATTTTAAATGACAAATTTGCCCAGAGTCTGTTGAAAATATTAGTAATTTTGATTTAATGCAGTGCAAGTATGTGAGCTATTGTTGGACTCATTAAGGTTGCTGCGGTAATCATCTAGATGGTAGGAAGGACTAGAGATGATCAATGATATGACTGGGGTATAAGAACTTACTCATGTCAGAACTAGGGTCAAAACAGAGATGGTTGGACACACATCCTGTGTTCATTTTCTCTAGATTCCAAAGTTCTAGTTTTTAATCTTCAAGAAATGTCCCTGTAGGAAAAAAAAATGATTTTTTCTTCTTACCTCATAGGATCTTAGTTAGAATGGACTTCTGTAAAAAAAAGCAGATTAACAAGAGAAAAACAAAGAGTAGTTAACATGTATATTTTACTTACATTTAATATGTATATTTCACACATACGTGGGAGACACCCAGAGAATGAGTAGTTCTCAAAGAGGTGGTTTGAATTCCACCTTATATAGCATCTTCAGCAAAGAACAGTACATTTTTAGGTAAGTGACAAGACAAAGGAAAAGGACTTTGAGTTTCTAGGGACAGTAACAGTAACTTGTGGGAAGGCAAATAACTGGCCAGTTAGTAAAGCTTGTTGATGTAGATTCCTCTGGTGTAATCTCCCAACCAATATGGGTCTGCCATTTTCTTGGGTGGTTAATCTTTGTTTTCCTTGGTAGAAGGGTTGGGGGCAACATACCTTTTGTCTTTGTAAATCTAAATCCTGCTTTTAGGCAAATAGAAGGAGGGCAGAGAGCTTTCCTGCATCTGCCTCTTCTCAATTGCTGTTAGCTCAACAATCTATATTTTGGGGCAGCATATTTTGCTCTCCCACATCCTATAATTAAAATAGAAGCTTTTAGCACTCCTTTCTTAATCCCCCTCCTTTGGGGGTTGGCAAACAATGGCCAGTGGGCCAAATCTGGCCCTTAGCCTGTTTTGATAGGGTTCACGAGGTCAGAAAGGTGTTTACAATTTTTAAATGTTTGAAAGAAAAATTTCATGACATGAAAACTATGTGAAATTCAAATTTTAGTGTCCATAAATAAAGTTTTATTAGAATATAACAATGCTCATTTGTTTGTGTTATCTATGGCTGCTTTGATGCTCTAACAGCAGAATTGAATAGTTGTCACAGAGACCGTCTGGCCTGCAATGCCTAAAATATTTATGCTCTGGCCCCTTTTACAGAAAAAATTTACTGACTCCTGATTGAAGTCAATCCTGATCAACAGGACTTTGGGGCATAGAGAGAAAGGGAAGCTCTCCTGTCTGAAATGCCAACTTAGGCATATCTGATTGATCCCTCCTGCTTTTCTGACATCTTCCATAGTAAATTATCATTCTTCAATTTTGAGTCTTGCTTGGACATAAAAGGTGATAGTTTGCATCTGCGCTGTGGAATATGGCAGACACTAGGCACCTGTGTGTTGAGGACTTGAAATGTGGCTTACTGCAAATTGAAATGTGTTGTTTAAGTGTAAAATACATACCAGATTTTGAAGAATTCGTATCAAAAAATGTAAGATCTCTCATTAACGTTTTTTTGATTACATGGTGAAATGATAATATTTGGGATATATTAGATTAACTCGAATATATTCTTACAATTAATTTCACCTGTTTCTTGTTACTTTTTAATGTGACTAGCAGAAAAATTTAAATTCCATGTATGGCTCACGCTGTATTTCTTTTGGACAGTGCTGTTTTGAACCCTTTCACTTCTTATTTATTTATTTTAGAGATGGGGTCTTGCTCTGTCACCCAGGCTGGAGTGCAGTGGCATGATAGCAGCTCACTGCAACCTCTACCTTCCAGGCTCAAGCGATTCTCTCACCTCAGCCTCCTGGGTAGCTGGGACCACAGGTGTGCACTGCCAGGCCCAGATAAGTTTTTGGTTTTTTTGCAGATGGAAGTCTCACTATGTTGCCCAGGCTGGTCTCCAACTTCTGGGCTCAAGCAATCCTCCCGCCTTGGCCTCCCAAAGTGCTGGGATTAGAGGCATGAGCTACTGCACCCAATCCTCCTTTAACTTCTTGACCAGTTTCCCATTTGCAAACATCTGGTGAGTCACTAGAGAAACCATAACAGGTGCTTTATCAGAGCTCACCACCTTCTTGTTTCTCCATGAGCCACTTCTGCCCATATGGGTAGAAACTTGTCTTCTTAACCAAGCAGGTAGAAAACAGTTTAACAGTGGACAGGTATCTCCAAATGTGTTGAGTTACTAGTAAAATTAACTATTTACTGCTGTATTTAGAAAACATGTTATTTTTCTGAAGGGAGAAAGATTTTTTTTTTTTAAAGAATAACATTTCCCAAATTACAGCAGTTAAAAATATCAAGCTATTTTATTTACATGAATTTTCCCACTGGAGCTTCTATACTTTGTAAACTTTATAAATTACAGCATGGGATTCAGAAACAAACGCAGGTTAAGGGTTTATTTTTACAAACTTCAACATGGCAAAATAATGGTTAAAGAGTCATAGTGAAAATTTTGAATTGACTGCAGGTACCTAGAGAATGTCATTTTACCTTTGTATTATGTTTTCAAATCACAAATGGGGTAACATGCTAATTTTTATTTGATTTGTTTTTTTTTTTTTTTTGATGGAGCAGCAGAGTCTTGCTATGTTGCCTGGGCTGGACTGCAGTGGCTATTCACAGGAAAGATCATCCCTGCACTGCAGCTTCGAACCCCTGACTTCAAGTTATTCTCCTGCCTCAGCATCCCAAGTAGCTGGGACTAAGACATAATTAAAGAAATAATTAGGGAATTGAAATACGGATTTGAATACTTACCCAGAATTCTGCTCACATAGATTAAAAAAATGAAAGAATAAGAATGCTCAACATATGCCAGTGTGAATTCAGGAAGGAGAAAATTAAAAGGATGAGGGAGAATTAAATATCAAAGAAATAGTGTCAATTAAGGAAGAGCAATCAAATGACTGGCAGGAAAATCCTTATGAAAATAACACTACTATCTATAAAGACTAAAGGTGAAATAAAGATTTTCCCCAATAAAGTCTGAGAGTTCACAAACCCTTGAACTGTTCACAAACCCTTAATACTAAAGAATATATGTTTATAAGAAGGAAATCAGACCTAAAAAGAAGGATCAGTATCTAAGAAGCCACGTTTAGCAAAGAAATTGGTAAACAGCTTGGCAAATTTCAATAACCAATGACCATTAAAAAAATCTTACAATAAAAAGAGCAATAATGACTATTTGGGAGGAGGAGATGGGGTCCAAAATAAAGAGGTATTAAACATTATATGACCTGTCATGGAATATTGGGGATGGGTCTATGTGGGGTTAAAGGGTTCTAAGTACCTTGAAATGTTCAGGAGGAGTCTAAACATGTGATTGTACTCCAAATAGTAAAGTCAAGTAGATATATGAAAATCCTTTACCAAAACAGTAGAAATATGATGTGTATCTTTCAAGTAAGTGGAAAATAGAAAAAGAGGGAAAAAAGAAGCAAAGACAAAGATAGGCAGATAAAAAACTCAAAATAGGGAAAAGAACTCCACATATACCTATAGTGACAATAAATATAGGAATATATATTTGGATAGGACTGATTCAACAGTCCTCATTAAAGACAGAGCCTCTTAGGTTAGATAAAAAGACAAAATTTAACTATATGCTGTTCATAAGAGACACATATAAAGCATAAAGACACAGAAAGGTGGAAAGTGAAAGGATAATAAAGGAACAACCAAGTGACTATTTGTTGAACAAATAATTAAGTTTCCTGGATGGCAGAGACTTTTCTGTAACCCCCACCCCTTAATAGACTATTTTTTACAGCAGTTTTAGGTTCACAGCAAAATTGAGCAGAAATTACAGAGTTGCCGTGTACCCTTTCTCTCCCTTCCCATTGCCCTCCACCATCAATATCCTCACCAGTGGGGTACATTTCTTACAATAGATAAACCAGCCTTTACACATCACCCAAAGTCTGTATTTTACAATAGGTACCACTCTTTGTGTTGTATGTTCTGTGAGCTTTGACAAATATATGACAAGTATCTACCATTGTAGTCAGAATATATATTCATACAGAATAGTTTCACTGCCCTAAAAGTTCCCTGTGTTCCACCTATTCATTGAGACTCTGTTTTATATTTCTTCTTTATTTGCCACAGAGCCATGCTTAATTTAGGGGTTTGAAAGTCTTTGCTTGGATTCAACTGTTTTACTGAATTTCTTCTGATTGAATTCACAATAATCAAAGAAAATGAAAATTTTTGTCAGTTCCATATGATCTTTAATGACTATTCTGCCACCACTATCAGCAAGTGCCCTAAGTTCTTTTCCAGACAATTTTCAGGAAATAGTGTTTCCTGCATAAACAGAAAATGAACCTCCTAAATTTTATCATCAAGAACTAAGAATGCTTAGCCCAGCTATAAGAAAACCTCTCACTAACGTGCTATTTGTGATAATAAAATAATTTGAATGTTCTGTGAAGGGTTATCAAATAATTTTTATTTTTATTTTTGAGGTTGTAACTATTCTTGAAAGGAATTTTACAAGCTGGAGTCCTATGTGGCAACCATCAAAGATGCCTGGACAGAAAGACAGGCATTCTAGTTAACAATTCATCAATTGATTTAAATTAAATATTTCTATGCCATTTGTAGACATAAACTATACTGAAATCCTCTGTATTGCTTTTTTATTATGCGTAACAAATTACTGTAAAACTTAGTGACTTAAAACAACAAACATTTATTATCTCATAATTTCTGTGGATTGAGAATTTAGGAGCATCTTATCTGTGTAGTTCTGGCTCAGGGTCTCTCATAAGATTTCAGTCAAGATGTCAGTTGGGGCCACAGTCATCTGAGGGTTTGACTGTGGCTAGAAGATTCACTTACAAGATGGTTCACTCATGTGGCTGTTGGCAAGAGGCCTCAGTTCCTTGCCACATGGGCTTCTCAAATTGTGGCTTGAGTGTCATGACAGCTGGATTTCCCCAGAGTGAGTGATCCAAGAGAGAGAAGACAGAAGCCACGTGTCTTTATGACTCAAGCTTTCAATGTCATACTCCATCATTTCTGCAGTATCTTGTTGACTGACACATCAGCCCTATTCAGTGTTCGAGGGGAGTAAAAAAGGGCATGATCCAGGAGACAGAGATTATTGGGGCATCATTTCAGAGACTGGCTATCACATTGTTAGATACAGACATGAAACCAGTGTTTAGGAAGGATAGAGGAAATATTTTTGGGAAATAAAAGAATTTAGAATCTTATCTTTATTTTCATCTTCTCCATCTTACATACTAACAATTCTTGTTGACATCAACATTTTACCTTTTCATCAATCTCTACCTTTTCTGGATTTATTAAGTATGAAGCTCTTCAAAATGAAAATAGGTGAAATTTAGACGTTTGTCTACTCTCACTCTTTAGAAATATTGAGTTTTTAATGGTCTCTCTGATACAAATATCTCAATATATATAAAACTTGGTTAGTATCTGTATCTTATTTGAAGTGAATACTGTCTTCCACCTCTACAATAATTACCTTCACTTTATAGGTAGCTTGTCTTAAAAACAGAAGTTATCCTTTTTTGTCAGAATTTTAGCTGTTCCAACACGATTGAGCCCATGTTAAGCAGTAGGAAAATGTTTCTTTTTTTTATCTTATTATCTTCTAATCTCAAATTTTCCTGCAGTTCAATGAAATTAATGTCTTTAACATTTCCCATCCACACTAGAACCATGCTAGAAAGTGCTTTTATAATATTTTTAAGGGGGTGATATATGAAAACCCTCCTATAATTGGCTAAATGGAGACATTAGAGAATCAAATACTTCATCCTTTTTCGAAGCACTGCTTCCATGGGGCAATATAAGCTTTGAAAAGTGGATGCAATTTTATGAAATTGGTGGGTTATGATGCATTAAAATCTAGAAAGTGTTCATTTCATTTCAAATAGAGGTCTTGAAAGTAATGCTCCTTACTTACAGCTGCATTATTTTAATAAAACTTCAGCGATAATTATTTTAAAACCAACATCCTAGGTTTAAATGAAAATCACAAAAAAATCGATTTAGGACTTTAGAACTTAAACCATAAAAGTTGCTAGGGTCTATTTAATATACTTAGAGAGATTTGAATTAAATAAATAGTTTCTGCCATCACCAAACCTCACTCCAGATGATCTTGTGTGGGTCCCTTGTCTCTCTGACTGCTTGCATGGTGTAACCTAGGAGAACTGCAAGTTCCCTGGGGCCTGCACACAGCCATTTTTACTTTGTTTGAATTCTTCATGGCTACCCACTCCTCTGGGTTAGAGAACAAAGGAGAGGGCATTGTTTTCAGAAGGTCACAGTTGTTTGCACCGAATGTCCCTTCGGTTTCACCAGTGTGAGGGTTCATCCCTAGAGTCCTCAATTGGAATCTGCCCATTGCTGGAACAGCAGGATCTTCTTGTGCCTTCCTAAAAGCAGGCTGGTGGGATAAACTGGGATCCACAGGAAATTAGAGCTGATGTCTTTAAAATGGCTACCCTTCTAGCTGCAGTGCTCTCCCTGGTCTGACTTAAAGATCAGCTGTTCTGCTGGTGCCCAGTGAGGAAATTCAGAGGGTTAGACTATTGTCCAGGGCATGGGGACCACAGGTACCCCTTGCCTGCTGATCTCTATTACTTTATTTGAGCCTTTTCCTGGGCTATTGGAAATATGTCTTTTTCACACGGTAGGGCTAAGCAGGTAAGATTTGATTCCATAGCTGTTGGTGATCATTTTTGTCATGATTTGTTGGGGCAGGAGAGAGGGAGCTACTAGACAGAATAAAACCAGCATAGAAGAAGAGAGAGCCAGGAAATGGAAAGAGATTCATTTCTGGGTTTCTGCTAGATGACTGTTGGATTTTTCAATGAAAAAAGCCAAAAAACTGCTTCTTGGGTTTAAGTAAATTTGAACTGGGTTTTGGTCACTCGAGCCCCAAAGGAATTCTTATTAAAGCAGCAATTGAGATGAAAGTATTGTTTGTAAAAACATATGTTGTCTCTTGAATTTTCAACCAATAGTGAAGGAAGAATTTAATCTTTTTTTTTTTTTCATTGAGCAGTGGCTGAGAAAAACCTATGTATTTCCAAAGTGAGTTCTGACTATGGCTTTTGAGGTGCTACAAAAAGAATAGAAATCAGATAATATGTAAACATTGGAAAGACACTAAGAATGGTTTGGGAGGAAACAGTGGAGTAAGCGAAGACCAGCAATAATATAAAGAGGTTTGGATTGGCTTAATAGCTGAATTAAGATTGAAGAGAAAGTTAGTGAATTTAGTCCACAAATGCTTTGAGGCAATACTGAATAGGAGAAACACTTTCTCCCTGTTAAGGGAATTTCAAGAGAGCCATCTGGAGAAATGAGAGCAGTGGATAAAATAAGGACCAGTTGCCTGGGTCAGTTTTAGAATGTGAATTGTAGGGTGGGAATTGGTAGGGATAAAGGGTATTTGTCCTGTGTCCTGTTGTACTATGACTTGAGACACAGCCTCAAGATTTTGTGAGCTACCATGCCAGATAGAGATTTAAGAACCACATTAAGATAAGTGGAGCTTGTAAGTTCTGAGCCTGATTTTTGCTTCTGTCTCATGGAATAACATCTCCTTAGTTTATGGTTTCTACTCACATGCTAAACCAGTGATGTGGTAAGGCCCTTGGGACAAATATAGGAAAAACATCTCTCTCTCTCTCTCTCTCTCTCTCTCCTCTGTGTTGCATTGGGGGCGGTGGTGATTGGGGCACAGAACTCTCTATATAGTGAACTTTTTAACTGAGTGAGAGAGAAGCTGATTTCAGGGCTCTTACTGTAGATAGTGAGTAGTGTTTTGTAGAAGCATCAGGGAGAGAAGGAGGTGGCTTCAGTCCCTATGAGACAAAAATAGTCAAAGTTCAAATTTAGAGAATTCACAAATGTTACTCCCCCCACGCCTTCCTCTCCTCTGAAGCAAATGCTGACAAGTGTTTCTCCCCAGTTCCATTTATATCTACAAAATAGCCCTTTTTGTGACTTTTTCCCTCTTCAAAGCTACCCTTATACTTGGGAAAGAGAGGAGGGATTAAAGGGAAGATGATGGTAAAATTCCAGGACCTTGAAGGAAAAGAAGATGTTTTAGCAAGGCTTTCAAATAATAGAAGCTTTGATGGCTAGTTTGGACAAAACAGGAAGTAGGATAATCCCCAGGGAAAAAGAAAGGGAAGTGAGTCATGAAGCCCAAGTGCATTTCAAGGCATCCAGTGCTGCTTGAGAGTGAGCATCAGGCACGGTTTCGAATTTTCTGGTTGGCAAATTCTCAGCCTCTGTCTCGCTGTTCAACCATGCATTCTAACATTTAAATTACTCAGAGTCACATTTAGTGGTGTAATGTGAATTAGAACAGTATGTAACTGGGATTATTTCTGATTCCCATCTTAAAACCTTGCTTTTGTGTCTGAGAGAAGCGATAGATTCATAGACCAGAATATATTTATATACAGAAATACAGCGTTTGTGCTCCACCTCAAGATGTAACTTGAATTACACGGAAAAATCCTATGTTTAAAAATGTCTATCTAATAAACCCAATGTCATTCAAGGAAACAAGACCTGTTATTAGGTTGAGGCACTGGATGGCTATCATTTTCCTGGTCAAGACCTTGAGGCGTGGCAATTTAAGATTTAGCTCTGAAACAAGCAGCTTTTTCAGCTTGGAAACCTTTTCTCCCTTCTGTTGCTAGGTCCTCCAGCCCTGTTCAAGCACGGTTCATAATAGCTTCTTGTGAGGAAATGACATTTAGAGCTCTCTTGATCTGTCAGCATAATACCGTTTTAAAAATCACATGTGTGTTTGTGAGGCCCTCTCTTTTCTGAAGTCTAAATTTCTCTGATTCCAAGGCTGAAAATATATTCAAGAAACAATTTAAAGTTGACATCAGCATTTGTGTAATTATTTCTAATTTAAAATTATTGACTTTCCATGTTGAAAGTAGCTTATTTAATGAGCAAAATATGGCATTAAAAACATTAAAAATAACTGTGAATGAAAGACTTTCTCATCATATGTTGGTGCCCCATAGCATTCCTTTCCAAGTCAGTTACTATGGGTGAAAATAGATAATTATTTATTGAGTGGACTCATCTGCATTTTTGCTTTCTTTCAAGTGCCTGGCAGGTAATAGATGTTCAATAAATAACTGTTAAATGTTTGAATGAATTAATGAGTGCCTGATGAATCAGACTTGCCTAATTATTTTATGTTGAGCTTCAGATCAATATACAAATATTGTATCGTACTTGGAAAAAAAGTCTTTTAGTTGTCTTGAAGGGATGTCAATAATGCTATGTATGTACTTTTAATTTTTAAAATTACTTTATTATGAAAATGTTCAAACATCAGCAAAGTTGAATTTTATTGTGAATATTTGTATACCACTACCTAGATTCTACCATTTGTACTTTAATATACTTATTTTATCACCTATATCAACCCATTTTATTATTATTATTTTTTAAAGATAACAGACGGGGTCTCACTGTGTTGCACAGGCTGGCCTCAAACTCTTGGCCTCAAGCGAGCCTCCTGCCTCAGCCTCCCAAAATGCTGGGATTACAATCATGAGCCACTGCACCTGGCCCATTTCATTTTTTAATGCATTTCAAAGTAAATTGAAGACATCTGTACACTTCCTCTGTACACTTTGGCATGCATATTACCAATTAGAGTTCAGTATTTGTCTAAGATTTTTCTTTTGATGTAAAATTAACATACAATGAAATGCACAGATCTTAAGTACACATCCACTGAGTTTTGACAAATACAAATCCCCATCAAGATACAGAACATTGCCATCACTCCAGAAAGTTCATTCATGTTCCTTCCCAGGCAAACCCTGTCCCCACATCTCACTCTTCCCTTCAACAGGAAATCAGTGTTCTGATTACTTTTCACTATAGATGAGATTTGCTCATTCTAGAACTTTATATGAATGCAATCACACAATATGTACTCTTATGTGAGACTTCTTTCACTCAGTATGTTTTTGAAATTCATGGATGTTGTACTGTATATTAGTAGCTCAATTCTTCTATTGATGAGCTGTATTCCATTATATGAATAAACAGTTCACTTGTCCATTATTTTATTGATGGACACCTGGGCTATTTCAAGTTTTAACTACTAAAAATAAAGCTGCTGTGAACATGTGTGTACAAGTCTTTATGTAGATATATATTTTCATTTCTCTTGAGCAATACCTGGAAGGAATTGCTGGATCATAGTGTGTGTGTACATTTAGTTTTATAAGAAACTGCCAGATCTTTTGATAAAGGACTTATACAGTTTTGCAGCCACATCAACAATATATGAGAATCCTGATTGTCCCAAATTGTTGTCAACATTTGGTGTTGTCAGTCTTTTTAATTTTAGCCATATCAGTGGATATGTATTATTTCATTGTTTTTAAATTTCCATTTCCTTGATGACTAATGATGTCAAGTACTTTTCATATGCTTTTTGGTCATTAGTATGTGTTCTTCTGTGAAGTGTCTAAGCAAATATTTACCTTTGTGTATATATATATATATATTTATTATTAAATTTTAGATGTTCTTTATATATTCTAGAGATCAGTCCTTTGTCAGATATATATTTTCTGAAGCTTTAGCCTTTCTTTTACATTTAGATCTAGGATCTATCTCAAATTAGTTTTTGTTTAAGGTCTGTGGTAGGGACTGGTGTTCTTCTTAATTTCCCCTTCCATATGGATATCCAGTTATTCCATTATCATTTATTGAAAAGACTATTTTTTTCCTATTGGAATTCTTTGGCATCATTATAAAAAAATCAGATGACTATATGCTAAGGTTTGAATGTGTTCCCCAAAGTTTATGTATTGGAAACTTAATCCCCAATGCAATAGTGTTGGAAGGTGGGACCTTTAAGAGGTGATTAGGTCATGAGGGCTATGCCCTCATGAATGGATTAATGATGTTATTGTGGGAGCGGGTTAGTTATCATGCAAGTGAGTTCCTGATAAAAAGATGAGTTTGTCCCTCTCCCTTCCCTCTCCCTTCCCTCTCCCTTCCCTCTCCCTTCCCTCTCCCTTACGTGCTCTCTTGCCCTGCTGCCTTCTGCTATGGGATGATGCAGCTTGAAGGCGCTTGCCAGATGCAGGTCTCTTGACCTTGGATTTGCCAGTCTCCAGAATCATGAGCCAAATGAATTTCTGTTGTTTATAAATCAGTCAGTCTGTGGCATTCTGTTATAGCAACATATAATGGACTAAGACACTATAATTGGGGGTCATTTTTTGGGCTTTATTCTGTTCTATTGATTCAATTATTAAGCCAGTACCACACTGTCTTGATAACTGTAGTGTTTTATACTAAGTCATAAAGCCAGGTAGTATAAGTTCTTAACTTTGTTCCTTTTTTTGAAAATCGTTTTGGCCATTCTATGTCCCTTGATTTTCCATGTAATTTTAGACTTAATAGATCAATTTCTACAAAAATTGCTGAGAGTTTTTTATTGGAATTGCATTGTTTCTACAGATCAGTTTCTGAGAGCACTGCCATCTTAATAATATTGAGTCTTTCAATCTATGAAATGGTATATTTCTACATTTATTTAGATCTTTAATTTCTCTTAGCAATGCTTTGTCTTTTTAGTGTAGAGGTCTTAGAAATATTTCGTTATGTTTATTATGTTATACATTATATTATAGGTATATATGTTATGTTATATACATATTATATATTACATTATGTTACATGTTTGAATTATTTCATGATTTTTGATGCTATAAATGGAATCAGTTTTTAAATTTCATTTTCTAGTTGTTTGTGATCCTAATTGTTTTTTTATATTAACTTTGTATCCTGCAACTTTAGTAAATTCGCATATTACTTCTAGCATTTGTTTTGTAGATTCTTTTGACCTTTGCGTGTAAATAACCATATCATCAGCAAATATAGATAATTTTACTTTTTCTTTTTCATTCCTTTTGCCTTTTATTTCTTTTTATTCTTCATTTTGCTGTACTGAACTGGTTAGGACCTCCTGCACAATAATGAATAGAAATGATGACAGGGGGTAACCTTGCCTTTTAATAGTCCTAGGAGATAACATTTAGACTTTCACCATTGAATATGAAGTTAGCTGTAGGTTTAAACATTTTTTTTATCACATTCAAAAAGTTCCCTTTTCTTCTTAGTTTGCTAACAGTTTGTATGATGAGTAGTGTTGAATTTTTTTCTACATTTATTCTAATTATCATATAGTTTTTCTCCCTTATTCTGATTATATGGTGGGTTACGTTCATTGATCTTTAAATGTTAAACGACCTTGCATTCCTAAGATAAACTCTATTTGGTCATCATGTATTATCCTTTTTATATATTATTGAATTCAATTTGCTATATTTTGTTAATTTTTTTGCATCTATATTCATGAAGGATGTTAGTCTGTGAAATTCTTCCTTGGACTGCCTTTATCAGGTTTTAAAATTAAGGTGATACTGGCCACACAAAATAAATTGGGTGGTGGTCTCTCATTCTTTATTTTCTGAAGATGGGGGGTTTGATAAGATTCATGTGATTTTTTTCCATAAACATCTGATTGAGTTTACTAGTGAAATTATCTAAGTCTGGAGTTTCCTTTCTGGAAAAGTTTTTAACCATGAATTTAATTTTTTCTAAGATATATGGCTATTCTCTCTCACACCATGCATCCAATACATCAGCATATCCTATGGGCTTGACCTTCAGAATATGTCATGAATCTCACCTTTTCTTATCACCTCCTTGGCTATCATCTTGCACCAAACATCCATGGTCTCTTTCTCTTTTCTCATTATTGCAGTAACTGCCTTACTGGACTTTTTGTCTCTGCTCTGGCTTCTTGTAGTATATTCTCAAAATACAGTAGCTGGTGTGCCTTTTAACATAAGTCAAATTGTGTCACTACAAAAAATCCTCACCCAGAGTAAAAGTTAAAATCCTTGCAGTAGCCTATAAGGTTCCACATGGTCTAGAAGTGCACTATACCTCTCACCTCTCGTTCTTCCACTTTTCCTCTCATTTACTTTTCTCCACACTGGCCTTTTTGCCATTCCTTGAGCTGGCCAAGCATACTTTGCCCCAGGGCCTTTGCATGGGCTTTCCCTTCTGCTTAATATACTTTCTCCCCAAATATCTACAAATCTTGCTCCCTCATCTCCTTCTAATTTTGCATAAATGTTATCTTCTAAATGGAACCATCCCTGAACACCTTATTTAAAATTCCCAATGTTCCGTTGCATTCCTTGTCCTTCTTCCCTCTTATCTTGTTCTCTACACACATATGACTCTGTAATATACTATATACCGTTTACTCATTTTGTTTATCTATTGTCTCTGTAAGTTCTATGACAGTATGAACGTTTGTTAATTTTAGTCACCATTGCATCTGAGAATCTAAAACAGTACCTGGAAAATAGAAGCTACTCAATAAATATTGTGAAAAGAATGAACTATGCACCTGGAATCATACAGTATTTTCAACAGAGGAAAACTAATATGTGTAAGTTTTCCAAAGACAACTTTGATGAAAGTGTCTTTTCACTAATATCCTTAGCTTTCCTCATTTAAAAAATGAGGAGTTTTTTTTTGAGTTTGGATCTTTTGTAAATACATGGAATCATAAGATAGTGATTCAACATCGTTCAACAACCTTGTTCAACAACAGTCTCAAGGGACTTATTCTCAGGAGCAATATGTTATTTTACAACAGTTGACAGAACTAAGAGATGGAATTGCTGAGTGAAAATTGTTAGTTATCAATCCCAATAATCCCTTCCCATGCTAGAATACTTTTCATTATAGTACACCCCAACAAAAGTTCTGTGCTTCTCATTTAATACAAATACACATAAGACAGGAAAGAGAGAAGTCCTACTGTGAGTTTATGGTCATTTGAATAAATGAGCTTTGGAAACACTGATAGTTTAAAACTATTTTTTTTGTTTGTTTGTTTGGCACCCTTGAAGTTTTTATACTCTGGGGCAAGGCACAGTAAGATTTGAGAATCCAGAGAAATATGACTTCCTTTGAAATATGGAAAAGAATACTTGTGAAAGGAGACATCGGAAAGAAAACCAGATATAATGTGTGCTATAAAATTTGAATACAGGTGTCTTTATAAAATTCATATGTTGGAACGTAAACCCCAGGGTGGTGATATTAAGAGGTGGGGCCTTTGGGGAAGTGATTAAGTCATGAGGGCTCTGCCCTTATAAATGGACTAGTGCTCTTATAAAAGAGGTTAAAGGGAACACTGTAGTGCCTTTTGCCTTCCATCTCTTCTGCCATGTGAGAACATGGCAAGAAGGCACTGTATAACAAACAGGCCCACACCAGGCACTGAATCTGCAGATGCCTTGATCTTGGATTTCCCAGCCTCCCAAACTGTAAGAAATAAATTTCTGTTCTTTATAAATTACCTGGTCTAAGGTATTTTGTTATAGCAGCATGAATGTACTAAGACAATGCACATCTCAAGTAGCTCAATTTTAGGAGATTGCATATATGTGGAAGTTGAGTTGAAATTGATTCCTCAAAACTATTTATGGCCGTATGCAACTTTGAAAGCCTTTAAAGGTATAGCCCCAGTTTGAAGATTGCAGCTACAATTTTAACTCATTTTGTTCTGCAGCTTTAATCTTCTTAAATTATTTTGGTAAACATAGATTTCATGGAGGGGATGGGCTATTTATGATACAGATTTTAATAACTGTAATCTTCCTTAGCTTTTCTTTAAATGTGAACTGATGAAGATAGAGCCTAAAGTTAGAGATGTCTGTGAAATGTTCCCACATGTGTGACCAGCCTGTACCTAGTAAGTTGCTTCATTTTCCCTCACAGGGTCTTCTTTGGGATACAGAAGCTTCATTGGG
The DNA here is from genome assembly GCF_000001405.40 of Homo sapiens. Classification (NCBI taxonomy): domain Eukaryota; kingdom Metazoa; phylum Chordata; class Mammalia; order Primates; family Hominidae; genus Homo; species Homo sapiens. The sequence continues at coordinate 15,996,105 of NC_000023.11, forward strand.
ATGGATGGAAAATTGCAGCTTCTTCTAAGTGCTTTGTAACCTGGAACATGTGGAAGCTTTAAAACAATTTTATTGTAAACTTCTAAATCAAAAGTCCTGTTTCTTTCTAAATTTATTTGGAAAATGTCCATGAATACTTAAAAAGAGAATCATATTGTACTTTTCTTTATAGCTGTGTTTTCCTGTTAGGCCATTGTATTGACTATCTATTTCTGCATCACATTATAACAGTTACCCCAAAACTCTGAGGTAGATATGGTTGGTGCCCTACTCATATCCACTAAGACAACAAACATTTATCATCCCACAGCTCAGTAGTTGTGTGGGCTTGCCTTTTAATTTACAAAAGTGATTTACTTTACACATTGATTTGCATATGCTTTTTCATTTAATGATATATCTTGGAAACCCATCTATATCAGAAAATAAAGATCTACTACTGCTTAGCAACCACGGTAAGAATATACAATAATTTGTTTAACTATAAGTCTCCTATCGATGCATGCTTTGGATGTCTCTAGGTTTTCACTATTGCAAAGAAGGTTGTAATTAACATCTTTACACATATATCACTATACATTTGTGATTGAACTACCCAGCATCCTCCCAGCTTCTCCCTTCTCAACAGTACCCAGATTTTCTATGTGCCTTTGAGGAAGACAACCCGTCTTTATCTCTGGGGGTAGATACCAATTGATTTAATCCATGTAGCAAAGTCATTAGTTCAGAGATAAGCCTCTAACTCAATCCAGTCCAATTATACTAAATATAAGCATTTTTGCTTGGAACATTGACACTGAAGTGCTTTCTATATTCTACAATATATGTAGCCCCAGTTGGGACTGGTACTCACTTAATGACCACCATGGAAACGATTGTTTGGATAAAATTAATCCTAGAAATCAGAATGGAGAGGAGAGAATCTTCAATGGCATTGTTGAGCTGATGGGTCACCCAATCCAAAATCTATCTGAGGCAGATGTTATTGGTCCCCTACCCATATCCACTTGTTTTTACCACTTCAGTGTCCACTGGCCCAAATTCTAATTGTCAGTACTGAATTTGTTGTCTGAGGGGTTTCTCTTACTACTGGAGTCCTCTGTCTAGCACAGTGGAATTAAAGCTCCTTAAGATAATCTTTCAACCCTGTGGCCCTAGGATGGATGACCTCTGAGGCAATACGTTTTACACTGTTTCTCAGGGTTTTTCTATTGAAATTAAATTCTAGTTGTCCACAGTGGAAATTAGCTTGATGATACACCCTATATTGGCTGTCATCTCATTCCTGTATCACTTTTCTACTGTTTTGTCAATTTTTTTCACCTCCTAAAAAAAGCTCAAATTATAAACCATCTTATGCCTGAATTTTCCAAGTCTGTAAACCAGCAAACCCCCTTTATTGTTTAAGCTGGATGGCATTGATTTTCTGTTATTTGCTAGAAAAAAAGGTTCTAAATAAAACATATCTTTTGTGCGCATATATGAGGGTCAGTTTTGTGGACATATCTGAGCACTGAGTATTTTGGGGCTAAAAGTACACACATTTTACATTTATATAGACATTGACCTCCAGAACAGTTATAACAATTTGCAAAAGATTTCTCTGCAAAAAATATTCCTTGCTATAGTTACCCAGATGGTTCTCTTTTCTTTACAAAATTCCCCAATGGTACTGAGTGCTAAAGTGAATTTGAATAACCTGAAGCTTTTAAAGATCTTCATAACCTGTTCCAGTAACTTCTACCCAATCAATTATGCTCTGCACATACGTGAGGATTTTCAATGACAACCCAACACAGAAGCAGTCTTTTTACTTCTTATGAAGTTTCTTGTTTGCTTATCAATGCAACTCTATGGGAGTTATCTCCCCATTAATAGCTTTGGTTTTACAGCGAATCATTGATTCAACATTGTAGCTGTGTTGAATTAAACTATTGATTGATTTCACATGGAGTGAGTAAGTAACATTATATATTATCTTAAATTTTCTTGCAGACTGAGTTGCCTCCCCCTCCTCCAGGCACAGTATTGTCACCATGAGAAGTATTGATAGAAATCTCTTCCCTAGTAAAATATTGAATTTCTTGGCATTTTTACTACCCTGTAGTATTACCGATTGTCTAAATCCCATCTTATATAAACAAACTTTAATAATATACTTAATGTCTTTGAGCCAAAAATAACTGGACCTCAACCTTTTTGATAACAAAAGACAATGTGTTGAGCATCTGTGTTAGTCTGTTTGCATTGCTATAAAGAAATACCTGAGGCTGGGTAATTTATAAAGAAAATATATTTATTTTGGCTCATGGTTCTGCAGGTTGTACTGGAAGCATGGTACCAGCATCTGCTCCTGATGGGGGGCTCAGGAAGCTTCTAATCACGGCAGAAGGCAAAGGGGGAGAAAGCACGTCATATGGTGAGAGGGAAAGTAAGAGAGAGGAGAAAGAGGAAGTTCCAGCCTCCTTTAAACAACCAGATCTTGCATGAACTCATAGAGCAAGAACTCACTCATTATCATGAGGATAGCACCAAGCCATTCATGAGGAATCTGCTCCCATGATCCAAGCACCTCTCACCAGGCCCACCTCCAACATTGGGGATTATATTTCAACATGAGATTTGGAGGGGACAAACATCCAAATTGTATCAGCATCTATTAATCCAGCCCCATGAGTGCCATTTAGAACATGCCATGTTTAAAGCCTATAACTTAGCTGTCTCTTGGAGCTCTAGAGAAGGTGAACTAGAATCTCCCCTCTCCTGTGTCTTCTGCTTCATTGAAATCTTCCTTCCCAAAGCAAACATTTGGCACACTTTGTATTAGAGCGTTTCCCTGCTTATCCTTCCTCCTTGTGAAATCCCATTGACAATATCAGTGAGGTTAAGGGTAGAGATTGAGATTTTAGCACTTTTAGTTTAAGAATACCACAGGGGAAATGAGACAAAAGATTTTTATGGGCCAGAAAATGCTCTATTTTGGTAAATGTTCTCTGTGTACTTGAAAAGGATGTGTATTTTGTATTTTTTTGTGTTGCATAAATGCTAATTATGTCAATTTGTTTAAAGTGTTGTTCAGGTCTTCTATATCCTTGTTGATTTTCTGTTAATTTGTTCTCTCAATTATTGAGAAAAATATGGGGAAATCTCTTAGTATAATGATGGATTTTTCTATTTCTTCTTATACTTCTGTCAGTTTTTAATTGATGTAATAATCCTGTTATTAGGTGCATACAACTTTAGGATTGCCATATCCTCTTGCCGAATTGGACTCTTTATGAAAAGACCCTCTTTACTCTTATTCGTATTATCTCCAATGAAATCTACTTTGTCTTATATCATTATAGCAACTCCTGCTTTTTTAAAGATTGGAATTAGCATGGTATAACTTTTCTTATATTTTTATTTTTAACCTATTTGTATCCTTATATTTAAAGTAGGTTTCTTAAAAGTAGCATATAATTGGGTCTTGGTGTTTTTAAATCCAGTCTGGCAATCTCCATTTTAATTGGGTGCTTAAACTATTTACATTTAATATTAAATTAATTATCTATTGCTGCAAAAGAGTATTACCACAAATGTAACAGCTTAAAACAACACTCATTTATCGCACTGTTTCCGTGGGTCTGGAATTCAGGCACAGTTTAGCTGGGTCCTCTGCTTTAAGATATTTCACAAGGTTGAAATCAAAGAGTTAGGTAGGACTGGGGTCTCATCTGAGGCTCAACTGAAGGAGAATCACTTTCTAAGCTAATGTGGCTGTCGGCAGGATTCAATTCCTTGCATGCTGTCACAATGAGGGTCACTCTTAGTTTCTTGCCATGTGAACTTCTTCATATGGCAGCTTACTCCATCAAAGCCAGTAAGAGAGACAATGACAAAGTCTACTCAAAAGATGGAAGGTATAATCTTATATAACAATCATGGAGGTGACAGCTCATTACCTTAACCATATTATATCAGAATCAAGTCACAAGTTCCACCTACACTCAAGAGGAGAGCATGAATATACACAAGGGCATGAAAAGAAGGAGACAGGAATAATTGGGGGCCATCTTAGAGTCTGTTCACCACACGTTATTATAGATATGGTTGGGATTATATCTAACCTTTTATTATTTATTTTCTATTTTTCCTTTGCTCCTTTTTCCTCTTTTGCTCTCACCTTTTAGATTGAGTAATTTTTATGATTCCATTTTATCTCCTATATGAGTTTTACCTATAACTTGTATGTGTGTGTTATTATAGTGGTGGCTTTAAAATTTATAGTACATATCTTTAACTTACCATGGTCTACCTTCAAGTAATATTACACTACTTCCTATATAGTATAAGGACCTTACAACACTATCATTTCTCACCTCCTGGTCCTTGTGTTACTGTTGCCACACATTCTACTTCACCTGTTATAAACTTCACAATACATTGTTATTTTTGCTTTAAGTGGCTGATATCTTTTTTTTTTTTTTTTTTTTTTTGAGATGGGGTTTCACTCTTGTTGCCCAGGCTGGAGTGCAATGGCGCGATCTCGGCTCACCGCAAACTCTCCCTCCTGCGTTCAAGTGTTTCTCCTGCCTCAGCCTCCTGAGCAACTGAGATTACAGGCATGCACCACCATGCCCGGCTAATTTTGTACTTTTAGTAGAGACAGGATTTCTCCATGTTGGTCAGGCTGGTCTCGAACTCCTGACCTCAGGTGATCTGCCCGCCTTGGCCTCCCAAAGTGCTGGGATTACAGACGTGAGCCACCGTGCCTAGCCAGTGGTTGATATCTTTTAAGGAGACTTACATAATGAGAAAATTTCTTTAAATTTATTCATATAGTTATCATTTCTAGTGTTCTTTTTTGTGAATGTCAATATTTTAATCTTTTATTTTCTGTGATTTTTTTGTAATTTTTTTGTCTCCTTCTGATGAATTCTTTTATTTTTGGAAGTCTTCAAAAGTCTTTATTTTGCCATCATTTTGAAAGATATTCTTTCTGTGTGCAGAATTCTAGGTTGATCATTTTTTCTTCCAGTACTTTAGAGATATTACCCCATGGTCCTCTAGCTTACATTGCTTCAATGAAGAATCTGCTGTAATCCTTATCTTTGTTTTTCTGTGCTTGATATGTATTTTTTTCTTCTGGCTGCTTTTAATATTTCCTCTTTATTACTTGTTTTAAACATTTTGGTTATAGAGTGTCTTTCTGTGCTTTTCTTCATGTTTCTTACACTTGAGGTTTGTTCAGCTTCTTGAATCTGTGGGCTTGTAGTTTTTCATTAAATATGAAAATTTTGTCGACTATTTCTTTAAATATGTTTTCTGTCCTCTCCATCCCCCTTCTCCTTCAGAGATGATAACTGCATATGTATTTGTCCACCTGAAATTGTTTCATAGACCACTGATGCTGTGCTCTTCCCCATTTTATGTTTATTTTATTTTGGATAGTTCCTATTGCTAATTTGCTTAAGTTTACTAACATTTTCTTTTGCAGTATCTAACCTGCTGGGTCTTTCTCAAATCTTCCATGTCTCTATTTATCAGTTTCAATCTTTCCTCTATATTTTGAACAAATGAAATAGTTATAATTTTTTAAGATTTCTGCATTTGTGTCAGCTCTATGCGAATTTCCATTACTTGGATTTTTTTTTTTTCATTTTGGGCCATTTTTCTGCTTCTTTGAATGCCTGGTAATTTTTTACTAGATGCCAGATATTGTGAACTTTATCTTGTAGGATGTTGTATAATTTTGAATTTCTATAAATATTCTAAAGCTTTGTTCTGGGGTACAGTTAAGTTACTTAGAAATATCTTGATACTTTTGAGTCTTGATTTTAAGTGTTGTTATGTGAGACCAGCGCACTATGTAGTCTGATGATATTTTTCCTCATGACTGAGGCAAAACTCTTTTTAGTATTCTATACAATGCCCTGTGAATTGTAAGTTTTCCACTCAGCCTGCTAGGAATGGATGCTATTCTTATCCCTGTGCGATCTCCAGGGATTTCTCCTTTTAAACTTCTCTGGTGTTCCTTCCCTCATGTGCTTGTACTGGCCCATACTCAGCTGAATACTCAAGAGGAACACTGCAGGTCTCCAGAATTATTTTTCTGTGCAACTCTTATATACAGCTTATATTTTTGAGAGAAGGGTCTAAGTCTGTCTTAGATTGGGTACTTTAGAAATAGACCCTGAGATGTGGATTCTTTTGCAAATGCCTTATTCAGGAAGTGTTCTCAGGAGGAGGAGATTAAGGGAAGCAAAACAGAAAAGAGTCAAGCCAGGATATGATCTCACCTGGAAACCATCTCAGCCGGATTTTGTATGGGAGCTCTGAAGCACAAATTGCACTACAAAGTTTGTTCCACCTTTAGGCAAGGGTGGGGATATAAGAGCTTTTGTACACACTTGTCACTAAGTTAGTGAAACAAGCTGCCCCTTGCAGGAGATGACCCCCTTAGTGACACATCTCCCAGTAATACAATGATAACAGCCAGCACTCACAGCATTTAAAGGATGGATATATGGACTGAGTATAGGGATCTGGGCAGAAAAACAATATCTCCTATATTGTTTTATGAATCCTTATCCCCTCAATGTTTTATACTTGATAGGCATTCTACATGTGAATGTCTTAAAATATAGAACGGCAGCCATATCACATTTCCAAGAAATAAATTATTTCATTTAGGTACATTTTCTAGGTGTTGAAGATTGCACTTTTAAATACTTTTTGATGGGAATGTTTCTGAAAGATATCATATATTATCCTTACACACCACATAGAAGATAATAAGAACAAAATGATGTTTTTTTATGATGATTCAGGGTGATAATTTAGAAACCTTAAATACTTTGCTGGGGTGCAAATCAGTAGGATTTTTCTTTCTAAATCTTTAGGTGAATATTGGAACCCACTGTACAAGGTGATATGGTGGGGCTTTGTGTTCCCACCCAAATCTCATCTTCAATTGTAATCCCCATAATCTCCACATGTCAAGGGAGAGACCAGGTGGAGGTAACTGAATAATCATGGGGGTGGTTTCCCCCATGCTGTTCTCATGATAGTGAGTGAGTTCTCACAAGATCTGATAGTTTTATAAGGGGCTCTTCCCCCTTCACTTGGCACTTCTCCTTCCTGCTGCCTTGCGAAGAAGGTGCCTTGCTTCCTCTTTGCCTTCCACCATGATTGTAAGTTTCCTGAGGTCCCCCCAACCATGTGGAACTGTGCATCAATTAAATTTCTTTTCTTTATAAATTACCCAGTCTTGGGCAGTTCTTTATAGCAATATAAAAACAGACTAACAAGGCATCTGCTGGGCTGTCAGTTATACACTGTCACAGCTCTTAATAGTATACTGACTTCTTGCAAGTTTCTTCAATTTCAAATTTCTGAGGTCTGAGAAGTTTGATGATCAAAGATGTCAGGTTTGTGAGAAAATAAGCTGCCAAGTTATGTCCTGAGGGCCTCTCCTAGAGTGGATTACTGGGCTTTAGTGTTTTGGCAATCAACACGTGATGTATCAAGTGCTAAAACATGTTGTATTGGGTTCTCATTTGTGGTCCTGCTATGCATCCTGGGACACTCTAAGATGCAGCATCTGTGGGAACACTGTATTCAGAATCCATTCACTATTAATTTATGATTGACTTTTTAGATGAGAGAAAGATTTGAGCTGACAAATATCATCCTTACAGGTGTTAAAGAATTGAAGAAGAGACCAAGTTTTCTTTGGCTTATTTTCTGATTTAGAATCTTTAAAATTCATAGTTGTTTTTACAGTCTGAGATTAGGGAAGATTTTAAAGTAGTGAAGAAATAGAACGGAGTGTAAGAAAAGCAGATTAAGTTTGCATCTCAGTGTTTCATGGTCTCTGAAACGTTTGTTTCCTTTTTCCAAAATGGCAGGGAATTCAGTGGTACATTCTATGTGGTAAGCAGGGACTTATTTATGTCTCTTCCCTGACAGGAAGCTGAAAATAGAAAGTATCCTAATATCCACAGCTCTTTTTCTACATGATGTAAGAAATGCTCAGGAACTGAATGTGAGTTGAATAGTGAGTGCTGTGATCTACTGAGTGAGTTTGGCACAATGATGTGCTTGAGTCAGCACCATGAGAGCTAATTGTGTGTATACCTTTCTAACTCTGCCTTTAGTGACATCTCATTGATAGCTAGAAATTTGCCATGGTGGGAATATTCACACCATAATAATTGGCAAACACATATCAGGGCTTTTTTACCCGGAGATCCAATTGTTAAACATGTACCAGCATATCCCAATCCCAAGAACAGATGCCTTGGCCATAAACACTAACGTTTTGTTCAAGAACATCTTGTTGGACAAAGAAAACAAATTGCTTGAAATGTTTGTCAGGAGAGACATCAGAAAACCTAGTTCCTTCATTTTTTAAAATAACAACAACGAAAAAACTGAGGCTCATAACTGAATGGAAATCAAGTTGCCTAAATCAAATATTATTTAAAGAGCAATGTAGGTATCAGAACCAGGTCTCTTAATTCTGATCAGAGAGTTTTAAAAAATTATTTTAAATAATACATATTACTAATAATGTAATGTTTTAAAATGAAAAAATATAATACAATTTAATAAGAAGTATATTAGTAATTAAGTATGTTAATCTTTAATGTATATAATTAGTGATTGAATACTTACTATGTTCTAGGTACAGAACTGGTAACTTAAGGTATTATCTTGTTTAACCTCTAATACCATCATGTACATTATGACCGCCACTTTACTAAAATAATCAAACATAAGAGGGGTCATGTAACTTGCATGAGTTCACACAGCTAGTGAGTAGCAGAAGCTGGGATTTGAACAAGGCCCTTCTGTCTTCAAAGCCTGCTCTTCTCCATGTGCCAGATTGCCTTTACAAACATGACATTGGCAGGTTGAGATTGCGCCCCAATGGGGAAAATTTTTATTTAATTTTAAAATGCTTTGGAAAATAAAAATAAAGCTAAGCAGAGAAATGAGACTTTCCTCTTGAGCTGCAGTGCTTCTTTTTATAGCATTCTCTCCCATCTCCTCATAGAGATCTATACAGAAAAACAGCCTGCCATTTACAGCAGGTAGCTTTGTGCCTCTGCAATGCTCCCTTGAGGTTGCAAGATTCCTGCTGTGTCACATTGGCTTGGCCCTGCTGGGAAAATATACTGATCAGGACTTGATTGCTCCACTGATAACCTACCATCTATCAATTTGGTTAAATATGTCTCTTACTCGTTTATGTGGCCTACTGAAGGGAAATTTGACACAGCTTCTGATTGCCTTCTAGGAAAGCAAGTTTTATTTTTTGCTAAGTTTTGTCCACAAGTGTGTGTGTGTATGTGTGCGTGTGTGTGTGTGTGTGTGCATCTACTTATGTGTTTAATCCTCTAGTTTATAACAGAAATTCTTCTTTGAAACAAAAGTAATTCTTTATGGATACAATGTAACCTTAAACTCTCATAGTATATTAGAACACTTTCTTTCTTCCTCCCTTTTTTTATTTTTGAGATGGAGTTTCACTCTCGTTGCCCAGGCCAGAGGGTAATGGCACGATCTTGGCTCACTGCAACCTCCACCTCCCAGGTTCAAGCAATTCTCCTGCCTTAACCTCCCAGGTAGCTGGGATTACAGGAACCTGCCACCACGCCGGGCTAACTTTTTGTATTTTTTAGTAGAGATGGGGTTTCACCATGTTAGTCAGGCTGGTCTCGAACTCCTGACCTCAGGTGATCCACCTGCCTCAGACTCCCAAAGTGCTGGGATTACAGGCATGAGCCATCACATCCGGCCTGAACACTTTCTTGAATCTGAGAAATTCACTTCTTTGAGCTTGCTAAATAGTTTTTAATTTGTAATATTCTTAAAAGACAAAACATTCTGCATTTGTGGGTGAAATAATCGTTTTAGAATGTGTTCCCAAATTGCATTGTCAATTCAAACCTGGCAATAGTTCAAGTAGGCTATAAGAAACAGATGAAAAGGCTTGGAAGCATGTGTTTCCACTAAGGGCATGAGGCTGGGAGGGCTATAACTGGAGGCTATTTCAGAACAGCCGTATGTCTGGGAGTAAATCTTGGAATCCAAGGTGAAATGCAGACTAAACTGCTCATGTGATACTATATTGGATAAACAGAGGCACTCATATATTTGGGCAGGCTGAGTACAACTACATTCATCTTCAACTTGAGAACAGTCTTTCTCTCCCTGGTAAGATTCTCCTGGTTGGCTCAATGTGCAGCTAAAGGAGGAATAGACAGTGAAGGCCAGAGGTGGAGAAGTGGAGTGTGACTGGAAAACAATTCAGATCTTTGAGATGACCAGGACAGTGGTGTGATGACAGAAGACTCAGTCAGATATTCTTCTTGTTCAGACTATTCTGGTCTCTATAGCTGGTTGTTAAACCACCACATAAGAAAGGCTTAAGGAATAACAATCTTTTTTAAAAATTTATTTTTTACTTTAAGTTCTGGGGTACAGGTGCAGGATGTGCAGGTTTGTTATATAGGTAAACGTGTGCCATAGTGGTTTGCTGCACCTATTAACCCATCACCTAGGTATTGAGCCCAGCATGCATTAGCATTTTTCCTAATGCTCTCCCTCTCCCCACTCCACCCCACAACAGGCCCCAGTGCATGTTGTTCAATATGGGGGTTGACTGGGCTCAGCTGGGCAGTTTGTCCTGGGGTTTCTCAGTCAGACAGTGGTTGAGACTGGAACCATCTTAAAGGCTCCTTCACTCTCATGTCTGGTGCCTGGGTTGGGGAAAACCAGACAGCCAGGGGCTGGAACAGATGGGGCTTCCTGGGCATCTCTTTCTTTATGTAGTCAGTCCACCATGGCAGACACAGGGCTGTGTTAGGATGTTTTTGAGCTGTTATAAAGAAATACCTGAGACTGGGTAATTTATTTAAAAAAAGAGGTTTAATTGGCTCACGGTTCTGCAGACTGTACAAGCATGACTCCTGAGTCTGCTTCTGGCGAGGGCTTCGGGAAGCTTTCAGTCATGGTGGAAAGCAAAGGGAGAGCAGGTATGTCACATGGTGAGAACTGGAGTGAGAGAGAGCAAGGAGGAGGTCCCAGATTTTTAAACAACCAGATCTCATGTGAACTAACTGAGCAAGAACTCACTCATCACCAAGAGGATGGCGCTAAGCCATTCATGAGGGATCCACCGCACCGATCCTCCAACACTGGGGATCACATTTAAACATGAGATTTGGAGGGGACCTACATCCAAACCATAGCAAAGGCAGCTGTACTTCTTACATGGTGCATACCAGGCACACAGAAGAGTGCCTTAATGGTAAATATTATGTTCATCCAAAGGGATTCTGAGTTTAGAATTCCAAGCAAGCAAATTATAGGTAAACACATCGTTCTCCTTATAGTAGGCTATATAAGGCCGACCTGTGGGACAGGAGAGTGTGGGGTGTGCAGATGTGTGCGTGTGTGTGTGTGTGTGTGTGTGTGTGTGTGTGTGCAAGGGGTGCTGAGTAAACAATCTTATGATTCCCAGCATCCCCTAGAGGCTCCTCTTGCTCCTGGCTGGAGAGAGGGAAATTCACAATGTCCTGTCCCTCTCCACCTCCAGCTTCTTCTTTGTAATCTGAGGTTTTTTGTGGCCATATATTGCCTTTTGTCCTCCACAAGGAAGCATGTCTAACTACCAAGTTGCACAGTAATAATTGAGCGTATCATAGAAGAGGCTGTGAATTTTCCTTGGTTCTAACCATGCCCAAGTGGCTCAGCCTTCAAAGCTTATAAACTTAGCTCAACTCAAACATAGGAGGGTATCTTGTTTTCTGTTAATTGGCTATAAAATAGAATTACTGTAAAAGTAAAACCATGTTGGGAATCAATCAAGGACTCCTTGATCTAAATTTGGAGAATGAGGAAGGCTTTTTTCAAGACGTATAGGAAGGGTAGGCATTTTCCCAGGGGAATTGAACCTTGCGAGGCTAGAGTTTAACTGTATTGTATACATACTACTTGCTTAACCCTTTTAAAGCCAATCAAAAATTAATTTGTACGTCCAGCATTAGAAGCTTGTTTTATTTACTTATCATTAAGGTGGTGTTTGTTTGGTTTTAAAAGTACTTTGGATGCTTTTCTTTGAGCTTTTCTTTGTGGTAATTAAGTTAATTGAGAGAAGTCAGGGTCCTAAGGTTTGAGAAATGAAATTACTGATTATCTTCTTATTCAGGGAGTTTAAAGTTAATTTCAGAATCATAAGTAAAGGAGAGATGACAAGTCCAGTTTTATGAACTAAGGCACTGACTTCAGCCACTTAAGGAAATTAGCCTAAGCCCAGTTTCTAATTGTCTTGATCCAATTGTGTGAATTATTCCCATTTTTTGCTTTTCTCATAAAAACAACTGGACACACATTTCTTGTAAAGGATAATTCATTTATTAAGAGCATCTTTAGTGCAATTTGACCAAAGGTCCTGTTCTGGGGAATTTATTAAGATATCTCTTGGTTTATTCTGTTCTCTAGGCCTGGGATCTTCTTCCTGTTCTTCTGTATCTCTATGACTCTCATGCGTCCTTGAAGACCCTACCAAGGTCCTGATGGATATCTCCACTCCTCAAATTGAGTAAGTTGCCTTGTCTCAGTGGGCATAGGCCTGCTATGCACCCATTTCTTTATGGTTTTCATCACTTGAAATGAAAGCAAGCAATTCTCTGTTCAGATGTCTGTCTCCTCACTAGATGTGAGCTTTCTGAGGACAGTAACTTTTTTATTCAACAGTGTGCTCCCCATACTCAAATAAAATTATGTATGCAAAGGAGAAACTGTGCCCCAAATTGAAGGCAAATGGTATGCACCCAATAATAAAGTGGGAGTATGAGCCATTTTGATGACTGAAATGTAGTTGTCCCTTGGTATCTGAGGCAGATTGTTTCCAGGACCCACTTCTGATACCAAAATCCATGGATGCTCAAGTCCCACAGTTGGTCCTGTGGAACAGTGTATTTTCGAATAGTGTATTTCTATCTGTGTTTGGTTGAATCTGAATATGTGGAACACACAGATATGGAGGGCCGACTGTATAATTTGTTATGCATGTTGCAAATCGATAATCATTTATGGACTAAATCTAATAATCAACCAAACTGGGAATTTTGCCATAGTTGGGTTTTATCATCTGTAATCCCTAGCTGATTGATAAATAATGTAGTAGTGATCTATTGTGTAACAAGTTACTCAACACTTAGAGGCTTAAAACAACACAGATTTATGATATCACGGTTTCCATGGTTCGGGAATCTGAGTGTGGCTTAGCTGGGTCTTCTGCTTTAGGATCTCTCATGGGCTGTAGTCATCTCAGATCGACTGGGAAGGATCCACTTCTGAGCTCACTCACATGGCTGATGGCAGGATTCATTTCCTTGGAGGCTGGTGGACTGAGTCTTCAATTCCTCATGAGCTGTTGGCCAGAAGTCTCTCTTTGTTCATTGCCATGTGGGTCTCTCCAAAGAGTGTCTCACAACATGGCAGCTGCTTTCATCAGAGCAAGCAAGTGAAAGGCAGGAGAGAGCACCAACTAGAGAGCATGCTAACAAGACATAAATCACATTGTTTTATAACCTAATCTCAGAAGTGACATCCCATCACTTTTGCCATATTCTATTGGATACTAGGTCCAGCTGACACTTAAGGGGAGGGAATTACACAAAGGTGTGAATGCTATGAGGTAGAGATCATTGGGAGTTATGTCAGAGGCTGCCTACAACAAATAATAAGAATTTAAGAAAAACACAAAATGGATAACACAGTATCTGATGGTACAAAAATAAACCATACTACTGTGATTGAACTACTATCAGAATGGATATATAGGAGAGACAAGAAAGTTTAAGCCTAAATTATTTAATGCTTCCTCCTCCTCCTCCTCCTCCTTCTTCTTCTTGCATTGGGATCTCGCTCTGTCACACAGGCTGGAGTGCAGTGGCATCATAATAGCTCATTGCAGCCTTGACCTTCTAGGATCAAGCAATCCTCCTGCCTCAGCCTTCTGAATAGTTGGAACTACAGCAGTGAGCCACTGTGCCTGGCTAAACCTTTATTCTCAATCCATAAGCATTCATTGACAGTCTATTTGGTACCAAGCATCATGATGCACTCAGGGTACCCTAGAGAGGAATAAAACTTTATTTGTGACTGAAAAAGTTTAGAGATTAGTGAAGAAAATCAGTATGGAAAAAAGTCAGTTTGGAAAATTTCATAATACAAGTATATTAATAGTGTTTTTGCAGTACAGTGATAGAGTGCATGTCAGGAAATTTTACTTTGAATTACTGAAAGTTTTGTGGAGAATTGAGCAATGAGAAATAATTCCCTAAGCAGAGAGTGACGGGAGGGAAAAGAGCCCGTGTAAAGGAAGAAATGTTACTGATTAGGGATTTTTGAAATCAGGAAATGATTTTAACTGTCCCCAAGTCTCAATCTCAATGCCAAAGGGAAGCAGGGAGGTTTAAGTCCTACACCAAGATGATATAGTCAAGATAATCTTTGGAAACTGCTCTTGTCTCCTTAAAGATTAGTTGAGTGGGGTGGGGTGGATTTATCTGAATGCCATGACTGGTCTTTGATAACACTTTCAGTCATGCACATTTTATCTTTAGGATTGTAGCTGAAGCTCCTCTCCTCCTCTGTGGTACTGTTGTACCCAGGCGAGTTAGAGAAAACGCCACACTTTGAGACGAATTAAGAGTCCTTTATTAGCCAGCGACCGAGAGACGGCTAACGCTCAAAATTCTCTCGGCCCCGAAGAAGGGGCTAGATTTTCTTTTATACTTTGGTTTAGAAAGGGGAGGGGGGTCTAGTTAAAACAATTTTACAGAAATAAAGTAGGCAAAAAGTTAAAAGGATAAATGGTTACAGGAAAGTAAACAGTTCCAGGTGCAGGGGCTTTAAGACTATTACAAGGTGATAGACTCGGGGCTTTGGGCATTATCAATCAGACAAATTCCTGGGAATTGCGGATATAGCTTGCCACAGTATCTTATCAGTTAATTGCATTCTTGGATGTGCTGGGAGTCAGCTTGCACAAGTTAAGTCCTTGAGGAAGGGGCTGCCAGTGAGAGAGCCAAGATGGAGTCTGTCTGGCTCTTTTAGCTAAGGGAGAGTCAATTCAGGTGGAAACAAGCCTAAAAACAGGGTTAGTAAAAACAAGGTTGGGCATTACAGTACCTGTGTAACCCCAGGAACTCGATCACTTTCTGGTAGTTTCTAGCTACCGGAGGCTCCACCAGGCTGATCTTGATGGGCATTGTTCCTACCAGACTCCCCTGGAGATATCTCCTTCCTCTCTTGCCCATAAGAGTCTACTTAATATGTTTCCTCTTTGGAGGGGAGGACAGGAGGATATTCCTGTACTGGGGTGAGCATCCAGACAAGCAGAGAAACTGATCCTTCTGTCATCTTATTTTAAAGCCAGAGTCTAAGGTGGCAGCAGGTATTATCCATAATGATGTGGGGAGTGGGGTGTGTGCTTGGCTGTGGATTATAATTGCATTGTTTTTCTTTCAATTATCTTATTTTTTTTTGCTTCTGCTGTCACCTCAATTACAATTTCACAAATATACCTCCTCTTTTTATTATAGCAGCATATATTTATTTCTGGGTTTAATTATTTTTGGCATCCTTCAATTTCACATTCTTCAAAATAATGACTATGGGATGCCATTATCTAATGACTGATGAGTTCTCTATTCTGCCAAGTCATTGTCTCCTATTTAGGTTTTTGTTTTTTAAATGTTAGGTTGTATAAAAAGCATTACGTATGCTAGGGAGAAACTGTAGTTCAGAGATGGTGACAGAGCTGACATTTGAATCCAAAGCCTGTGTCTTTGCACCAAGCCAAGCAAAAGATCCAGTAGATGAAATTACTGTCTGGAATCTTTGAGAAATCTCCAATGTCAGGAGAGCTTCCAGGTGGTGAGAACTGGGCAAATGATCTTTTTCTTTTCCAATAAGGAGGAGCATTCTTCAAACTATAGGTTGATTTGCTTGCTGTCAATCCTTGGAATAAGAATATGGATAGGCTGAGCTAAGAGAGCTTATACAATGGAATGGTTTGACTTTCTGATCGCCTATACTACCACTGCTCCTGGTTCATATCTCTAGTGAGAGAGAAGTGAAGCACTGAATAAGAAGACATCACTAATAATTAAAGAATCAAAGTGTCAACAAAATGATGGATTCTTCATGTATTTCTGAAAGGATACAAAACAAAAAACACCATTATGACTCCTTTCTAAGGCATGTAACAACTCTCCTTTATGTGGCTTTTGGAATTTACCTATTTATGACATGAGATCCAGCTTCCTCTCCTGAACCTAAGGGTCATAAAGACTCTCTTCCTTGTTGACCATAAGGCAGTTTCCGGCTGGCATCTTACTTTCTTTTTGAATATAAAATAAATTCTTAAGTGTCAATGTTTGCAGGAACAAGGATGAGTTATTCCTAGCCTCTGATTGGTAAAAATTTCCCTTCTTTTTATCTGCAATAAAGTTTTTATAGATGACAAAGTCTGATTTTTAAATTCTGAGCTACAATAGCAGCATGTATAAAATTATGCTACAATTATGTGCTTATATATCTGTCTCTCCCACTAAATTGGGAACTCCCTAAAGGTTGGAGTTGTTTGTCATTCTTTTATATATTGAAATGCATATAACAGTGCCTGCACCTAAGAAATTGCTAACAAATGGTTTTTCCATATAAATTCATTCATTCATTCATTTATTCACATTGTTCAGTCTCCCTGGATTTTACTTTCCCTACTTTTTATTAGAATAACAGTATAACTAGCACCTGGCAAATTGTCAGACACATAGTAGATACTCAATAAATGATATGACATTCCTTCTCCCTATTCAGAGATGCAATCCATCAAACCTGAAGAAGTAGATGTTATTTAGAGTAGTTGAGTATTCTGGGATGATGTTCTCATCCATTTTAGCTTCAAGTTTACCCTCCTATACATTTCTGTCCTTGGCCAAGGATCATAAGGAAAAGGCTTCCTGGGATGTCCTGCTTTCTCTGTCTTACATGAACATGATTTGTGTACAGACTGCAAGCCTTGTTACTCTTGCTTGGTGAACATAGCTGTAAGTAACCCCTAACCTTCCAGACATGATTTGTTCTGGTCCAAGCCCCTTTTTTATTTATCCTTGTTAAACATCCTCTTTTCTAATTGTTGTACGTGCCCTTTTATGCATCTGAGTTCATCAAATGACTGCTATTCATGTTCCACTTTGATCAGAGAGGCTCAGAAATATTTAATGCTTACAAAACAGAAACATGATAAAATATCACGTCACAAATATAGTCAAATTAGTATGTGTGATTTGAAATCTTATTAATGCATTAAACTACTTCATTTTGGTCCTGTCTATTTTTAAATGTCCAAACACATTAATAAAAGATCTGTGAATTTTTTTAAATGGCTTTTAAAAAAAAAATCAAGATGCTGAGGGCCTAAATCTTTAACTTGATTAAGGAATTAAGGTCCATAGTTCCTTGTCTGCAGTTCTGAAATTCCCCCAAAACTGACAAGCTAAAGTTTTGTTTGTAACTTACTTGGTGATAAAATTTGAGCTGAACTGAAGAGAGGTTATTTATAGTCTCTCTTTATCCTACTTGGTGTGAATATTTATGTTTCATGGAAAAATATCAATGTTT
Organism: Homo sapiens; assembly: GCF_000001405.40. NCBI lineage: Eukaryota > Metazoa > Chordata > Mammalia > Primates > Hominidae > Homo > Homo sapiens. The sequence goes on from NC_000023.11 coordinate 16,013,796, forward strand.
GATTACTGTGTGCTGCCCCAGGCCTCACTGCAAATGTTGTTTAATATATGGTCTATGTTCTCTATGAACCTCCTAAAATCTGAAAAGTCTACATTTTGAAACATATTTACTCCCAAGAGTTTCTTTAGGGTTAGGGATCATCCACCTATAGTTACCAAACTTCACCTCTTAGGTGTTGGTATTGTATATAAACACTAGTGTGGAATTAAGTTCCATCATCTTTGATTATATTAGTTTCAAAGAATATTCAAAATAGTTCCTACCTAACAAAGTATTTATGGATGAAATAATTTAATGTCTGGGATTTGTTCAAAATAATATGGGAGAGAGGAAGCAGTTGTCAAGAATTTTGAAGAGTTTCAGATTTTACCCTACTTGCCAGGCTCACAAGTTACTCTGCCAGTTTTATGGATACTGGCAAAAGACACAAGGCTCTTGGGTTAGAGAAAAAGGACTTTATTATCCACAGAACAGAAAGCAGCATGAGTTTTATGTTCACATCAGATCTCTCTTGGTTTTCAAGTCTCATGGAGGCAATGCAAAGTGGCTCAGTTGGATATTGTGCAAGCAGTAGGTTTGCATCACAGCTGGGGAACCTTGAGCTTAGGAAACATGGATCTTTTATAATGGGAAGTTAGCAAACTTTCTTGACTTTGCTTTGGAGGGAGACATTATCTTTATCATATTGGTCAGTAAACAAATATGCCCTCTACTCTGAAGACAGACACTATCTTTTTCATCCAAGACTCTTTGCTAGACAAACATCCTTAAAAAGAGTTTATAACAAAGTCAGTGAGCACCTATGCTCACAAGACATGAGGAAACACAAGAGACCCATGGAGACTTGTCTCCTAACAATCATGATGGTAGGGAGGAATACATGAAAAACAATTAGCTGTGACTTGATAATTATTAAAACTGGGTGATGGGTACATTGAAGTATAGTCTACTTTTGTATATTTTTGATGTTTTCCATAGATAAGTTAAAAAAAAAAAGCAGCTTTATAAGTAAAGTACTGTGTGATACTATACATATGTATTAGGCCATTCTTGCATTGATATAAATAAATACCTGAAACTGGATAACTCATAAGAAAATATATATAATTGGCTTACAGTTTTGCAGGCTGTACAAGCATGGCACCGGCACTGCTTGGCTTCTGGGGAAGCCTCAGGGAGCTTTGACTCATGGTGGAAGGTGAAATGAGAGCATGCATATCATATGGCAAAAGCAGGAACAAGAGAGAGACTGAGGAGGGAGATGCCACACACTTAGAAATGACCAGATCTCATGTGAACTCAGAGTGAGAGATCATTTATCATGAAGGGGATGGCCCAAGCCATTCACGAGGAATCTGCCCCATGATCCAAACACCTCCCACCAGGCCCCACCTTAAACATTGGGGATTACAATTCAACATGAGATTTGGTGGAGACACACATTCAAACTATATCATTCTGCCCCTGGCCCCCAAAATCTCATGTCCTTTTCACACTGAAAAATACAATTCTTCCAACCTCTGCCTGTTACCCATTTCCAAAGTCACTTCCACATCAAGTATCTATAGAAATGCTCCACTCCTCAGTACCAATTTTCTTTTTTAGGCTGTTCTTGCATTGCTTATAAAGAAATATCTGAGACTGGGTAATTTATAAGAAAAGAGGTTTCATTGGCTCATGATTCCGCAGGTTGTATAGGAAGCATAATGCCATCATCTGCTTCTGGGGAGGCCTCAGAAAGCTTACAACCATTGTAAAAGGCAAAAGGGGGAACAGGCACATCACATGGAAAAAGCAGGAGCAAGAGAGAGCGGGGAGGTGCTACACACTTTTAAATAACCAGATCTCAAGAGAACTCATTCACTAGCATGAAGACAGCACCAAGCCATGAGGGATCCACCCCTGTGACCCAAACACCTCTCACCAGGCCCCACCTCCAGCACTGGGGATTACAATTCAACATGAAATTTGGATGGGGACAAATATCCAAACTATATCACCATTTAAATCACAATAAAAAATGCCCAATGAGATGGTGGTAATTACCATCTCACATCTCTACCTCACTGAACAAATGTCTGAGATCTATTCAGTAAATGTTCTTGGAGGCTGGTTTGTTAGAGTATTGACAAATTCAGTGTGATTAATTCAAATCTCTACAGGTTAAATAAAACCAACTGTGAAAGTCAGGAACATTGGAGAATGGTAGAAAATGACCCTTCAGTTTCTAGTTTTTGGTGAGCACAATACACATATTACATATACATAAATATATATACCACAATATACATGTAACACATACATTAATGTGATCGTATGTATATAAGTGAGATGAAGGCAAAGGAGACTTCATTTATGTACACGGCCTTTTATTCACATGAATAGTAATCAGAGTGTCAAAAAAGGAAATCTTGAAAATAATGCTAATGTAAGTGTTTTCAGCAAATATATGTCTTTAGAATATATATGCTTTAGTAACACATAAATACATTCCTGTTCTAAAAACAGAGGTGTCTAGACTCAAAAGTGAATGTCTTATTCCCCACAGAGCAAGCACTACCCCCTCTCCAATTTCCCATTTGCCTCCAGAGAAGTAATTGCTGTTAACAGTTTGGTGTATACTCTTCCAGGCTAGTGTCTATAAATTTACATACATTAATATGTAAAAGTACAAATATAGTTTTTAAAGCATAAACGGGATTCTTCTGTGCATACTTTTATATACCCTACTTTTTTCATTTAAAAGTTTCTTGGAGATATTTCAATTTCAGTATATAAGAAACTGTTCCCATTTTAAAATTTGTTGCATAAAATTTATAGAATGGATGTATTATATTTGAAATATCCAATCTAAGCTCATCTTGCACTGCTGCTAAGAATTTTTCATAGTTATTATGAACACATATCACAACTGCCTTCTGTACCAAGTAAGCTTCATGGACCACTTCCTGCCCACCTGGGTCTGTAATCTAAGATAACCTTGACACAAATATATATTGAGAATAAATTCTCTTTATGTATCAAGAGTCTTGACACTTTTTTTTTTATTATGAGGCTTATCTTAAATTCTCTTGCTAAATTGTATAGGAAGAGAGCTTAAAGAGGAATAGGATATTTACATAGTCCCAGAGTATCTCCTCACCAGTTACTTATTAGTTATGAAAGGAAAATCTATATGGTGAAGGAACAAAACTTTAACCAAATGACCAAAATTAGCATCACCAGTAAGGCCAAATGGGCATCACATGCCTCTGGCTATGAGACCTTGGGAAAGATACAACATCACTTATGTGATATTCTTACTAGATATGCATTACTTGGATCAAATCATGAGAAAACATTAGATAAACCTATATGAAGGGACATTCTGTAAAATAAGTCCCCTATACACTTTAAAATAATGAATGAAATATAAATACTGATGAAAGAGGCTTAGGAACTGTTTCTGATTAAAGGATAGTAAATATACATGGCAACTAAATGTAATGTGTGATTCTGGACTGGATCCTGTACTAGAAAAGAATTGCTATAAAGTACATTGTTGGGATAACCAATAAAATTGGAATATGGACTATAGATTAGATAAAAATACTGTATCGATGCTAAATTTCCTAATTTCAATAACTGCACTGTGGTCATGCAAGATTATATGTTGGAAATATTTTAGGCTATGTTAGGAAATACAGAAAATACGCACTGAGGGATTAAGGAGTAAATGAATATGAATATGTCTGCACATGGTTCAGAAAAAAGTATATGTCTGTCTCTCTGTGTGAATGTGTGTGTGTAGACAGAGAGAGGGACTATAACATGAATGTGGCAGATTATTTTAAATGAGTGACTATGGACATGGATAACAGGTACAAGTAAATTCTTTTTGCTATTTTTGCAACTGTTCTCTAAAATTTAAATTATTTCAAATTAAAACATTGAAGTACATGTTTTGGTTTCAAGACTGTAAAGAAACCTGCAGTGGATAAGTCATGCATTGAAGTTCATTCAAGAGATGGACGTAGAGTCTAGTTCAACCTCTTGTCTTCTTGGGGTGAGCTCTGATTACAGGACTTTAAGGAATGGTTCTTTTTCAATAGGTTTTCCGGAGGTATTTTATGTATCTTACAATTAGGAACTGTCAAAACACTTCAGTTTCAGAAATACAAACAGCTGAGAAGCTGTTAATTTTCAGAGGCAGGAGGAAAACTTGTATTTTCAGTGGTAAGTTATTGTTTTAATAAAACATTGTCTTGCATCAACCTGTTGTACTAATTCTCCTTTTCAGGGGCTTTTCACTAAGCTGTGCCTATGCAGATAGATAAGGTTGCCCCACTTTTAATTCTTTACTTTTTGTAATGCTGATGGAGTTTGTGAACAATGGCTCAAGTGAGCATGGCTTAAGTTTAGAGAAACATAAAAACATAGAAATTATTTTAAAAGACCTATAATCTCTCCTGCTAATCTACCTGTGAATTGCTCCAAGGAACTGGGAATAGCAATTATTTTAACAGCTTTATTGAGATATAATTCACATACATACATTTTACCTATTTAAAGTGTACAATTCAATAGTTTTTAACATATTCCCAGAGATGCAACTACCCCCACAATCTAATTCTAGAGCATTTTCATTTGCCTCTAAAGAAATCCTGTATCCATTAACAGTCATTCTTCATTTGCTGCTCCCCCTTGCCCTAGGCAACCACTAACCTACTTTCTGTGTCTCTGGATTAGCCTATTCTGGACATCTCATATAAACTGAATCATATAATGTGTGGTCCTTTGTGTCTGGCTTCTTTCATTTACATGATGTTTTCAAGGCTAATTCATGTTGTAGTGTGTATCAGGACTTCATTTCTTTTTATTGTCAAATAATAGCTCATCATGTGGATATATGAATTATGTAATTTATAATTATGAATAATGTTGCTATGAACATTGTGCGGATGTGTTTTACTTTTCCTTGCATATATATCTATGAGTGGAATTGCTGGATCATGTGATAACTCTGTGTTTAACATCTTGAGGAACTGCCAGACTGTTTTCCACCATGGCTGCATCATTTTACATTCCCACTAGCAATGTTTAACAAGGCTTTCAATTTCTCCACTTGTTATTGTTTGTCTTTTTTATTACAACCATCCTACCGAGTGTAAAGTGGAATCTCATTGTGATGTGGGTTTGCATTTCCCTAATGACTAATGATGTTGAGCATCTTTTCATATGCTTATCAGCCATTTTTATATCTTCTTTAGAGAAATATCTATTTAGGTCCTTTGCCAATTTTTAATTGGATTATTTATCTTTTTATAAGTGAGTTGTAAGACTTTATATATTCTAGATACAAGTTCATTATTGGATATATAATTGACAATAGAAATTTACACAAGTTGGCCATCATTTGGCTGCTTTTCTTCACTTAAAAATTTCTTGGATATATTTCAATTTCAGTACATATGGTCCAGTCTCAATTTTTAAAAGGACTGTTTCAAAAAGTACAGATACTCCCCTACTTATGATGGGGTTACATCCTGTAAAACCTATTATAAGCTGAAAATATTGAAAATGCATTTAATACACCTAACCTACTGAACATAATAGCCTACTTTAGCCTAACTTAAACTACTCAAAATGCTTACATTAGCCTACAGTTGGCGAACATCATCTGGCAACAAAGTACACTGTAGAGTATCCATTGTTTACCCTGTTGATCGTGATCACCTGGTTGAGTGGGAGCTACAGCTTGCTGGCAATGCCCAGCATCTTGAGGAGGGTATCATTAGCCCAGGAAAATATCAAAGTTAAAAATTTGAAGTATAATTTCTACTGAATGTGTATCATACCATTGTAAAATTGAAAAATTGTGAGTCAAACCATGTTAAGTTAGCAATCATCTGTATTTTATAGAATGTGTGTGCCATGTTTGAAATATCCCCTAGTAATTGCCCCTTGAATGAAGGCTTCTGTTTGTATATTCTTATAGGACAGCTTCTGAACCATACTCTTATCTCTTCCACATTTTGAGGGTATTAGTTGAATCCACTCTACTAGATTCACGCTCTCTAAGATTGAGGAGCATGTACTCTGCATCTCTTTGAATGTGTGTGGTGTTTTCTCACCAGAGCATTTAGCATATACCACTCTGTTGTTTGCTAAATTTAGAGTAGATGATTCTCACTGGCTCTTTGTCAACTCTTACGATGTGGTTCGGCTGTGTCCCCACCCAAATCTCGTCTTGAATTCCCACATGTTGTGGGAGGGACCTGGTGGCAGGAAATTGAATCATGGGGGCAAGTCTTTCCGTGCTGTTCTTATGATAGTGAATAAGTCTCTGATGGTTTTAAAAATGGGAGTCTCCCTGCACAAGCTCTCTTCACTTGTCTCTCGCCTTGTGAGACATGCCTTTCATTTTCCACCATAATTGTGAGGCCTCCCCAGCCACGTGGAACTGTAAGTCCATTAAATCTATTTCTTTTGTAAATTGCCCAGTCTCGGGTATGTCTTTATCAGCAGCATGAAAATGGACTAATACATCATAAAGTCAAATACTTTTCCTCTTTGGGTTTTGTTTTACAATTATGAAATACGTCATCTTAGAGTTGGAATAAATCCCATGGTTTCTCTAGTCCAGTGGAACGCAAAGTGTGGTCCACAGACTGGTGCCAGATTATAGCCTCTTATTGGCCATGATGATTGAGTAGAGGCATGGAGAGTTAAGTGTTTAGAAACTTTTATTGTATTTGATATTGCCATTATAGCCAAACACATGATTTCATATCATACACAAATATCAGACCATAATAGATTAGAAATTCTAAGAAGTCCTTCACCAAAGACAGTTCAGAAATAGTGCAATGTGTCCCCACAGCAAAAGTCCCTTCTGCAGCCAACTAAGTAGAATTTACTTAATCAGTGTAGCTTATTAATTCAAGCAAGACTTATTCAGTTCCTACAACCTGTACTATACTGTTTAAGCTTGCAGGCCCGTATCTTGGTTTTCACTTCCTAGATACGTGGATGTGGAGAGGGTTCTTAATCTCTCTGGGCCACAGTTTCCCACTCTATAAAATGGGTAAATAAGACTTAGTCTCATAGGGTTGCTTTAAGGAATAAATGAATAAACCTATATAAAGTACTAGAACAGTCCCTGGTACAAGATAATCATTCAATAAATGATATAGAAGTTGACAATGATGCTAATGATGGAGATAGAGATGCTGGGTATTGTGGGTACAATTACGTAGAGGCAACAGCCTTTGCTATCCAGTAGCTAATGGGGGAGTATAGACAAAGAGACAATTTCAGTGCAGTAAGTTCTGAGACAGGGTGAGTACACAGGGTATCCAGTTTTGTCCTAGAGGGCATATTAGTTAGTGTAAAGTTGCTGTAACAGAGACCTCAAATACAGTGACATAAAGACTATAGAAGTGTATTTCTCTTTCACCTAATATTTCCGAAGTGAATAGTTATGTTAGTAATGTAGACTGACTCCTGTAACAAACAATTCCCAAATCTGAGAGACTGAAGACAATAAAATGCTTATTTCTTGATCACATCATGGTCTCATCAGGTGATTAGATAAGTGTCCTTCCTTGTGGTCATTTAGGAACCCAGGCTCCCTGGCTCTCTTTGGGTGACTTGTGTCTATAAAGTGGGGGAGAATGAATGGATTTTGAAGGATGACTAATTGCTGCCACAGGGATCCATTAATGGTATAATATAGCAGGAGGCCAGAACATGGGGAAATGGGGATGTGGGGATGACAAGAGGTAAGGCTGTAGAGGCATAGAGAGAACAGATCATAAAAGACCTTGAATGCCAAGTTAAGGAGGCTGGACATATATAAATGATAGAGGAATGGGGATAGGAATACAGTCTGGTTCTTTTTTTTTTAAGTTTTGAAAAGACACTCTGGCTGTAACATAAAGAGAATTTTGGAGAGACACAAGAGGGTACCAGTTAGAATCAAATCTATTACATTAATCGAGGCAGAAGATGATGGCTTGAATCAAGGTGGTATCTAATAGAGAAAATTAGATGGCTCTGAAGGGAATATCTTCAAGACTTGCAGACTAATGGACTAAGGAGAACTGGTAAGAATGACAGTGGGGACCATAATGACATCCTGCCAACAATTCTCTGACATGGGGAAACCAAGGAGGAGGGTATAGGAGGTGGGCCAAAGTGGGGCATTATAAATCAGGGTTTGACTTCATTGAGTTTCAGGTTACTTGGGAGTTTTCCAATGAAGCTGTCCAGTTGGTCTTTGGTGAAAGAGACATGGATTTCAGAAGACAGAGATCTATACTAGAACTAAGGTCCCGCAGTGTACAAATGGCAGTTAGAGCAATGGGAGTCACTAAAAGGATACCATGTAGAAAAGATACCATGTAGAATGAGAATAGAGTAGACCCAAGACAGAGGCTGGTGGAGCATTAGTGTACGTCATATAAAAGAGAGATCACAAAGGAGGCTTAAAGAGTGGCCAGAGGACTCAGAGAGGTCTCAAGAGAATGTGATATCAGAGAAACCAAGGAAAGACACGATTTCAAAAAGGACAGTCTAGTCAACAGTGTCATGTAAGAGAAACTGCAAAGAGCATCACTGAACTTATCCACAGTGACTTTACAAAGACCAATTTGTGTGGCTTGGTGGGAGCAGAAGCCAGACTGGGTGGACTGATAGGAGGGTGAAGGCTATGGAGGGCATATAACAAGTGCACACCACTCTTTCAGAAAGTCAGTCTTCAAAGAGGATGAGAGAAAGAGCCAGTAGCTTAGTGGAATATGAGGTTGAGGAATTTTGCTTTATGTACATAATGGGAGAAAACTATGCATGGCTGCCAACTAGAAAATGAGGTTGGGTGAAGATAAAGGTGAGAAAGGGCATAATAAATGGAGGTGGGAAAGGAATCAAGAGCATCATGGATGAGATTAGCCTTGAATATGAGTTCCCTTCCCCATGAGTCATTTCCTTTGTGGATGACTAAACAATAGAACTGTATTTCTTATACTGAGGGGAAATATATTTCCTTATAACTCTCATCTATTAGTCTTATTTCTGCTTCCTCAGCTCTTATATGGCTGCAATTCTGTTTCCTCTTCAGTTTCTTCTGTAAACATCCATAGTTCCTTCAAACATTTTTCATATGATTTGATCTCAAGCTTTCATTTGAGCAATGTTCAGCTTAAAATGTCAAGCCCAGAACTGTCAAAAAGCTTTCCAGATGTGGTTTGGCATATGCAGTACCAAGCCCACTGTTTATGTTTTCTTTCTTAATCTGAATATTAATATATTTAGTATTACACAATAATTGCAATTATGAGCAATTTTTTTCCTAAAAATGTCACACTATACAAACATTTCTTACGTGCTTATAAATAATTAAGACCCCCAAGTCTTTTTTCCAGAAACTGCTTTTTAACCAGATCTTCCATGTTAAAAGCTTAGTATGGGTCTCAAGTTTCTCTCTGCTAGTTTTGACTTATTCCAAGCTGTCACCCTATTGGATAGGAAATGGACTCTGACATCCAATATATTTTACTCTCTCCCAGTCAGTGCTATCAACTTCAACATTCACAATGCTGTTGTGGGAGGCAGAATTCTAAGATGATGCCCATGATTCTCACCCCCCGGTATCCACACTGTGGTGTAGTTCTCTCCCCTTGAGTGAGGGTGGAATCTGGGACTTGCTTCTAGATAATAAAGTATGGCAAACGTGAAGGGATTTTGCAGATGTAATGAAGGTCCCTTAGCAGTTGTCTTTGAGCTAATCAAAAGGGAGATTATCCTGGGTGGGCTTGACCTACCCAGAGGAGCCCTTTAAAAAAGGGTCCAGACCTTCTGGAAGATGAGACCTGAAGCAGGATGTCTCTTCTGATGATTTTGAAGAAACAAACAACCATACTGTAAACAAGCTATGGAATGGGTGGTCTCTAGGTTGAGAGCCTCAGTTCTCCAACCGCAAGGAACTAAACTCTGCCAACAACCTGAATGAGCTTGGAAGAAGTCCTTGAGTCCTATGATGAGACCACTGCTCCTGCCTTGATTGCAGAGGACCCAGCTAAAGCCCCACAAAACGGTGAGTTAATAAATGTATGTCGTTCTAAGCCACTAAGTTTGTTTTTCATTTGTTATGCATGATAGGAAATGAATGTACTTGTCTTGAGCATTACCGTCCATGTTTTGGGTAAGAGAGTTGGACTGCACAGGGAGAGAGCACTATCTGTTTGAGACTCCCTCCTCCACTTCTCACCTGTGGCTTCCATAGCATCCCTGATGCTATTTGCCCACCCAGGCTAATGAACTTCACTTGGTGAGAGGTAGAAAACATCACTGTAGTGCACCATATATTAGCTTCTGAGCCAGAAAAAAATAGAGGACATACTGAAAACCAGTTATGTTCGTATTGTATACTACTGTGGTACTTATTAACCATCCTGCTGACTCATTCTGTGACAAAGCACCTGAATCATGCATTAGCAGACCGTCTCTGTCATTGTGAGAGAGCCATTTGCCTCAAAATAAAGAATGTCTGTTAATATTCTGGGCAAACTTGAGACTCTTGACTGAGAGGCCAACCCTGCCCTCTCATTAGTACTTTGTGGGTGTCAAGACTTTCGTTAAAATTCCACTTCCTTTAATGTGGTCACCTTGGCATGCTTTTTGAATGAGTTTAGTGGCTTAGGGAGGATTGGTTTTTCCAAATACTAGGCAAGAATGCAGAAAGTAATTGGATTTGGTATACTTCGTAGCATTTCATCGGATTGCTTTGAGAAGAGCTCTTAAAGAAAGGCTTTATTTAAATCAGAACAAAGAGGGAGATTCAGCTGGAGGCACTGATGAGCTTCTATGGGATTCTATGACTAATGCTGCATGTCTATACCAGGCTTCCATGTAGACGGATATTATGACATTAGTGTGTGTAAACTCCACAGTGCTGAGGGAGGAGGGGAAGATGGTCACCCCACTCCATTTAAGAAAGTTTGTAGGAATGTAGTGAGAATCCAGGAGGCTGAATGGATTTTATGTTGCTTCATGAACAAGTGAGCAGAAAACTTCAGTTTTTGGGTGATTTTGTATCTCAGAGATGCTTTCAGGCAATAGCTCTGCACCCAGCATAAGCAGGCTGTCTCAACCTTAGCACTACTGACATTTAGGGCCAAGTAATTCCTTCTGTTTTTGTTTGTTTGTTTGTTTGTTTTTTGAGTTAGGGTCTCATAGGGTCTTGCTCTGTCACCCACGCTAGAGTACAGTGGTGTGATCATAGCTCACTGAAACCTCGAACTCCTGGGTTCAAGCGATCTTCCCACCTCAGCCTCCCCAGTACCTGGGACTACAGGTATGTGCCACCATGCCCAGCTAAGTTTTTCTATTTTTGTAGAGACAGGGTCTCACGATATGGGCCAGGCTGGTGTCGAACTCCTGGACTCAAGTGATCCTCCCACATTGGCCTCCCAAAATGTTGGGATTACTGGTGTGAGCCACCATGCCTGGCCCATTTAGTATAAATTTCAAGAAGTGAGTTAGTTGCCAGATCAAAAGAGCAGAATAATCTTAACACTCTTGATTTATATTGTCCAAATACTCCCCAAAAAAGTTGTATCAATATTCACTCCCAACAGCATATGAGAATCATTTGTTGCTTAGTATTCACATAGTTAACATTCACTGACACTGCGTATTTTTTAAGTATCAGGAATATATCTTTAAAATTGTCACTAATTATAATCTGTTCAATTTTGTATTTCTTATTTGAATATGAGTTTGTCTAATGACCAGGGAATTCACAGTTACTACTACCAATAATAAAAAATAGTCACATTGAAAACCCAGAGAAAAGTGAGCGAATATGGTTTTCCTTTCTGAGTTTTTGCTACTGCTTTCCTAAAACCTACTGTCCTGCTGGGACCATTCCTACAATTTCCAATCTAATTCCAACCTTCTTATAGGAGAGATGTGATCAAGAGCATGTTTGTTCAAGAGTTTCTACTCTATACACACAAAAAAACAGAGGATTGAATTGTCATTGAGCCAATTTGTTTTTGCCAATAATTGGGAAGAGCCTCAGATATCAACAAATCAAATACTTAGAGAGAAGGCTGTTGAAAAACTGGAAAGAAAGATCTAAAATGTCATGAATTTGTCCATGGATGTTCAGTTAATTATTCACTATAAGAGGTAATTTTCAATTCATCAAACCACTATCTATATTTATTGTTCTTAAGGAAGGTGAAGCACCAGCTTCTAATTAAGAAAACTAGCCTGGCTAATCTAACAAAATGGAAGTAAGAGGTTGAAGCCATTTACAGAACTTAGTTTCCTGCTGTTCATTCTGACTTGCCCAAGCTTCCTGATAGTAATGAAATTTTCTTCAGGTGGAAGACCAAGACTTGGGAGAGAAATTGAGCACGGAAAATCAATACTAAGTTTCAGTGGTTCCTGACCAGAACATTAAGCTCCTTTTTATGGCTCAGAAAGAAACAGATCCAAGTGACTCAGTCCCTTCTCCCTGGTTGGTGGGCGACTTCACAAACAATATTAGATTTTGGTTTCTTTAAAAACTATACAATTCACTCAAGTCTGAGAGGTTATTTTTTTTCAATGGTATAAATACTGACAAGATTTTCATCTTTAATTGGGTTGGCATTTTAATTAGGTATTAACTTTGTTCATGAAAACGAAGATGAAAGTAATTATTTAGGCTGCAGCCTTTTGAGAGGATAACACTTGTCAATAACATCAGAAAATGTTGGCAGTGAGGAAGGTCAGAAATGACCTCTGATCTTTTCTCACAGGATGTGCTATGAATTTGATGTTGTTAAGTATGTTAGTAAAAGAAAAATGAATGTAGTCCAGTTTGGAAAAGGTTTTCTTTCAATCCTGTAAGTAGATGATCTAAATCTTTTTTCTTCTTCAAAATTGCTGAAGATCTGTTTTATAATTTATATGTATCTATACGTTAACTGCATTGTATGCATATGTATGTATATATGTATTTGTATTCACATTACTCTAGAGCATTGGTTGGCAAACTATGGCCTGAGGGCTGAATGCAGCCTACCACCTGTTTTTTTTTTTCTTTCAAGACTGAGTCTTGCTCTATTGCCCAGGCTGGAGTGCAGTGGCACGATCTCGGCTCACTGCAACCTCCACCTCCGAGGTTCAAGCGATTCTCATGCCTCAGCTTCCCAAGTAGCAGGGATTACAGGCATGTGCCACCATGCCAGCTAATTTTTGTATTTTTAGTAGAGATGGGGTTTCACCATGTTGGCCAGGCTGATCTCGAACTCCTGACCTCAGGTGATCCGCCCACCTCGGCCTCCCAAAGTGCTGGGATTACAGGCGTGAGCCACTGCACCCGGCCCTGTTTTCAAAAATAACGTTTTATTGGAACAAGGCCATGCCCATTTGTTTATGTATTGTCTGTGCCTGATTTTATGCTACAATGACAGAGTTGAATAATTTTGACAGAGACTGTATGGCCCTTTGTAGAAAAAGGTGTACATATCCCTGTTCTAGAGCCAGATCTTTGTACTTGGCACATATTTGAATCAGAAGAGAATAAGTATTCATATAAAAATCTCTACTTATGAATATGGAAGGCCCTTGTTGGCATGGAGGAAAGAATGTGTAGAAGCATGAGAAGAGAAGCTCAGAATGTTATTAGAGGCCTCTAATAAAGAATTGAAGAGAAAACCATCAACTAAACTAAATCGTCAACTGAGAATTAATGAAAACTTTACCAAAAAGCCTATGAACATGCATATGCCGTTGGCCTTCTGTATTTGTGGGCTCTCCATCCATAGATTCAAGCAAAATATTTTTAAAAAAAACAATAAAAATAATAATACAATAATAAATAATACAAATAAAAACCCAACATAGTATTGTTATAGCTAGACAGGCATGAGCAGGGGGCAGGAGAGGGCTCTCGCCCCCACCCACTAGAAATGTAGGGTGATGGTTTGGCAATTATTGCATTGCCTCTCTAAAAATGACAATTTGGCAGCCAGGGAGAGACGAGCTCCTGATGGTCCACACCTGTTAACATTAAGTGTTAATTGAATGCAGGCCCCAGGGAGAAGCAGCTTCTTGGCCATGCGTGTTGAGACAAAATGACAAAGTATGACATTCCAGGGACGCACGCCACCAGAAAAGGAAGAAAGCCTCAGATGGGCATACGTATAACTCCCTAAACACACTGCGCATGCTCAATTCCCAAGGGTAAGGAGGGCACCGTGCACGCTGAAAGCCCACCCTAAGGGAAGAATCATGGGAAAGAGGCGAGCCTGTAAAGTCCCAGGGTCAAGGTTAAAGGGATCTCTTTTCTCTCCTTGACTTTAAGGCACTACTTGGGTCTCTTCCAAGCGAGTTTTCCTTGCTTTCCTGTTCTAAAGCTTTGTAAATAAACTTCCATTTCTGCTCTGCAACTTGCCTCAGTCTTTCTCTGCTTTATGGCCCTCAGTCGAACTCTTTCTTCTGAGGAGACAAGGGCTGAAGTTGCTGTGGACTCATACAGATTCACTGCCAGTAACTCAGGGTAACTCAGATCTCTGTTACCACAGCAATTTACAGAGCCTTTACATTGTATTAGGTATTATAAATAATCTAGAGATTACTTATAAACTCCTTAGTATAGAGATTAAATTATAAAGAGATTACTTAAAATCTCTATAATTTAAAGTATATGGGAGTATGTGCATAGGTTATATGCAAATACCATGCCATTTTATATAAGGGACTTGAGTGTCCTTGGATTTTGGTATCCATGGGGGTCCTGAAACCAATCTCCCATGGATATCAAGGGGCAACTATACTGAACTGTCCCATAGAACTTATGTTTATGGTCTTTTAAAATAAACATAGGAATTGACCCCCCTGGTCTTAAAGCTTGAAACTTATAATTGTCTTATATGAGTTCCTTCCTCAGGAAACCGACCCTCAGGCCTTCCAGATAGTAAATATCAAGGAACTGAAACTCACCAGATCACAGCATCCAGACAATGAGACACCAGACCCTTCATTTGTCATGATTACTTCCTTACCTCCTTAATTCCTGTTTTCCCCTTATGTAGCTGCATTCCTTCTCCACTATATAAACCCCCAATTCTAGTCAGCTGGGGAGATGGATTTGAGACTGATCTCCTACCTCCTTGGTGGCAGCACCTGAATAAAGCCTTTCTTCCCTGGCAGTACTCATTGTCTCAGTGACTGGCTTTCTGTGCAGCAAGCAAGGGGACCTAGACCAAACCTCTGGCATTTCAGTAACAGTATTAGGGATTCAATGTAATTCAATTAAAGACATTAAACAAATATTATTATGTGGCAGGCACTGTGCTAAGCCATGAAGGTTACAAGATGAATGACTCATGGGCCTACCACATGAAGAACTAAGAAATATTTTTGTAGGATTTCATTCTCCAGAGCTGTAGTTGGCTAGAGCACTGATCAGCTACACCATTGAACTGGTACATTGTGCAAAGGCAGAAAAACTGATCAAAATTGAATACCTCATCTTTCCCCTCAAACCCACTTTTCTGAATGTATTCTCAGTTTTGGGAGAGACATCGCCACTAGCTGGCCAACTTGGTTGTCAAATTGTCTGCTTTCTCTTTCCTATGCTGAAATTTGCTTCTCACTTTACCTCACCTGGCTCCTTGAGGTACTGCTTCAGGATGTCTCAGAAGATCCCGTGACCCATCTCTTCTTGTTTCCACACCAGCACTAGTCTGAGTTATGTATCTCCCATGTATGTTCCCATAGATCCTGGTGCATGCTTCTCATAACAGGGTCCTTGCTGTTACTACTATGTTAAACTATTAAGTGTGTTAATAGTTTCTTTACATGGTAGTGTGACAGCCCGGTGCAACAGGATCTCCAGAGAAACTCCAACCAGCCTGTGCACTGGGAGAGCCACAGAAGTTTGTGTGTTTGCAGGGGGAGGAGCCTGGCCCCTCCTCTTCCTGGGTGGAACCTGGGATTCAATCTGCGAGGCAGGAAGCACACTAGCAGGACTCTGGCTTTGTAGAGGGTCCCTGTTTCCCTTTTTTCCACTTTGTGTCCAATAAATTCCATTTACTCTCACCCTTCAAAGTGTCTGTGAGCCTAATCTCTCATGGCCATGTGACAATAACCCGGCTCGTAGCTGAACTAAAGAAAAAGTCTTACAACAGGAGGAGGCCATTTTCACGTCATGTAAAACTAGAAAGTGGTAATGTTTGTATGGAATGTGGTAAATGGACGTGGCCAAAGGTAGTGAACCCAGGTTTTCAACTGCCTCATGGTCAGTGCATATGTGAGTATATACATATTTGCTTATTAATTAATTAATTCCACCAATATTTATTAAGCATTCTCTTTCTACTGGACACTGTTATATGTGCTGGGGATATAGCATTGAAATAGGCAGGCAAAGTTTGTGTCCTCACAGAATTTGCTTTCCAGGAGTTTAAGGTTGCAGTGAGCTATGATGTCACCACTGCACTCTAGCCTGGGCAACAGAATGAGACCCTGTTTCTAAAAAGAAAAAAAAAAAAGAGAGAGAGAGAGAGAAATAAATGGAGACCAATTATCTACTTTAAACTCTAATCGGAGCAATTAAACTTTTATTCATGTTAGAAAATATCGTAAAGAAGTAAACTCTTCTAAGCTGTCACATAATTAATAAATTTACAATATAGAATATAGTAATATTAGAAATTCCATGAGAAGAGAAACAATTATATAAGGTGAGGTAATAAATATTATTTAAAAAAGCAAGATGACATGGGCACTGAATGTGTAACTGGTGTTTGGTAAGGTGGCCAGGGACAGCATCTCTTAAGACATAATGCTTGGCACTTGCAGAGACCAGGATGAACAGAGGGGTGAGTGTGGGGTGGTTAGAGCAGAATAAGAGAATGTCAAAGAGAAGGGAAGGGACAATTTATATAAAACTATTCAGCTCTGGGAAGGAGTTTGGATTTTATTCTGAATATGATGGGGACAGACACTGGAGGATTATGAGCAGGAATGTGACGTGGTTTGATTTGGTTTTACAAAGTTCTCTAAGTTCGCTTTGCAGGAAACAGACCATGGTTATAGGAAAAGAAAGCAGAAAACCAATGAGGTGACTCTGGCAGTCAGGAGAGAGTTGGTGGACTTTGATGATTATGTTGACAATAGAGGCAGTGAGAAGAGGTCAGACATGAGATCTGTCTGAATGTAGAGCTGCTAGGAATCGCGGAAGAATTGACTGTGGGAATGAGGAAAATAGAGGGGGCCAATCACACATGACTGCAAGGATTCATATCAAGTTATTCAGACTGGATATATGAACTAGCTATTTACACACACATACACATGCACATGCAAATTTATCACACATGTCATTGACCCAATGGACTTAAATGAAAAACATTTATTAAAGAATTTAAATAATATTATACATAAATTCTTCAATAAATGTAAACATTTCTTTGTGCCACCTGGCCATTATTTTATGAAACAAAAGTGTCTAAAGAAAATGTTGGCCCTTAGATTTTTTTTTTAATTTTACCTCCTATCAGAAATAACTAATGTAGATGATGGGTTGACGGGTGCAGCAAACAACCATGGCATGTGTATACCTCTGTAACAAACCTGCACGTTCTGCACATGGACCCCAGAGCTTAAAGTATAATACAAAAATAAAAATAATAAAATTGTACGTCCTATCATGGGTGTAGAAGTGAAGACCCAGAGATGGGCTCAGAGGTTCATACTAGGTCATAGTCAGTATATGCCAAAACAGGTGATAGAATCCTCTTCTCATGTTTTCTTTACAAGTTCTGGTATAAATCACCTTGCCTTTTATGAAAGGCATTATTTTATACTTGTATCTATTTAAAATAAAGTTTGAAGCTCAGCATGAGAAATTCACTCTTGGGAATAGTTTTAAAGCAGTGACTTAGGGCCGGGCGCAGTGGCTTACGCCTGTAATCCCAGCACGTTGGGAGGCTGAGGCAGGCAGATCACCTGAGGTCAGGAGTTCAAGACCAGCCTGACCAACATGGAGAAACCCTATCTCTACCAAAAATACAAAATTAGCCGGGCATGGTGGCGCATGCCTGTAATCCCAGCTACTTGGGAGGTTGAGGCAGGAGAATTGCTTGAACCTGGGAGGCAGAGGTTGCAGTGTGCACTCCAGCCTGGGCAACAAGAGCAAGACTCCATCTCAAATAAATAAATAAATAAATAAATAAAAATAAAGTAGTGACTTAGTAGTTTGAAAAGTTCCCCCATCACATATATGCATACTTTTTTAAATGTCTGTAATTCAATTTTACTTCCTGTCCCCCCTGCAAAAAAAAAAAAAAGCGTAAAATCCAATCAGTCCTACTTTGTTTAAATTCCACTTCCCCTTCTACTTTTAGTTATTCTATATGGAAATAATGTACTGAATTGCTTTAAAATTGCATAAATATGTGTATATATGTGTGTGTGTGTGTATATATATATGTATATATATAAACTTCTCCTCTACAGAATACCTTTAGCCTTAAGTTTATAATCTACGGCACACAGATGGAACAGAATGTACCTGAATATATTAAATTTTCTTCCCTCAGAGATGAAAGGAGGAAGGAAGTTTAAACTATGAGGAATTTTTTTCTTAACTGAGCATAGTACAATCTTATTAACGATTCTCTTCCTTGTCATTCAGCACATCTTGTAATACTAAACAGTCTTTTCTGGTGTTTTTCTTCTCATGAATTTCTAATATTACTAAGTTCTTTAATGTAAAGTGTATTAATTGTGTAAACGCTTAGAAAAGTCTACCTCTTTACAATGTTTCCTATCATGAAAAAACGTTTAGTGGTTCAAATAAGTAATACGTTGAAAAATGGCAGTGTTGGTGGTAAAGTTTATATAAAAAATCTTCAAGATTCCTTCTCATTTGAAGGAACTATGAATCTCATCTCTATGACATTTGAGTTACCTTCTAGACTAGATGGAGTATTACTCGGCACTAAAATTTAAATGTCATACCCTTTCATAAGCCCCTATGTCTTTAATTGTTTAATTGTGTCCTTTATGGAGATGCCCTCCCCCACCCAAATTAATTTATACTGAATTGAATTAAAGTATAGTATGCAACTCTCATTTCTCTAGGATTAAGAGGAGCTAATGGTGGGAGTTTGGTGGAAAGAAAGAGCTGTATAAAGAAGTTAACTACCTCTTTTTTTCTTTTTCTTTTCTTTTTTTTTTTTTTGAGATGGCGTCTTACTCTGTCACCCAGGCTGGAGTGCAGTGGTGCAATCTCAGCTCACTGTAGCCTCCACCTCCCAGGTTCAAGCTATTCTCATGCCTCAGCCTCCTGAGCAACTGGGATTACAAGCATGTGCCACCATGCCCGGCTAATTTTTGTATTTTTAGTAGAGACAGAGTTTCACCATGTTGGCCAGGCTGGTCTCGAACTCTTGACCTCAAGTGATCCTCCCGCCTTGGCATCCCAAAGTGTTGGAATTACAGGTGTGAGCCACTGCACCCGGCTGAAGTTAACTACCTCTTAATGCTTACTTTTCACTCAGCACCAAAACGATGAGTATTATGGTTTGTGGTGAATTGGGCTGATAAAAACTGTGAAATTAAATGATTCAAATTTAGAGCTGTTGAGACTTTATTTTGAGCGTTGAGAATAATGTGGCTGTGTGGCCTGAGTCACACAGCATGCAGCTGCAACATCTGCTTTTTCCTGTAAGTGATTAGGAAAGGCCTTGTGGAATCAGAGATAAATACCCCCTCAGATCATCACCCCTCCTCATGGCATGTTAAAGCAATCTTTCTGGGAATGTAGCAAGCTGTAACCAATCAAATTGTTATAATGTTTATACCAACCTCGTATAGAAAATGTTGTAACCCTGTTAATTGCCTATGTAAGTGAAACCTTAACTTTTTCACTTTGGAGCACTGACCCCGTTCCTTTAGAATCTGTATTACCCAGGTGGCTATCCTTAAGCTTTGCACTTGAATAAACTCTATACTTAATCATATTTTCTGAATCTAATTATTTAAAGTTGACAAAGTGCAAATGAAAAACACAGTTATTCATAGTTTTAATACATTGATCAGGACTTAGAATTTGCTAATGGGACACATGGGATCCTAGTCCTAAGTGGGGAGAAATCAGCTGGAAAAATCAGAAATCAGCTGGGAACTGGGAGAAATCAGGACACAGGAGATTCCCATACAGAGGTGGATGAAGTCTATGAACATAGAGGACCAGAACCACTGTGATAAAAAAGTAGAACTTGGACACATTTCTCTAGAGCAGTGTGGCTGAGAGAAGAGTCTAGTCACTTGTCTGCTTTATAAGACACCTTGAGAAGTTAAGCAGCTGTGAGAGTTACTCTTTTGATTATCCAGTCCTTCACTCTGCTTGTACGTATGCTACCCACATCTACACCCCAAACTGGCAAGTCTAGTAAACAACTCAATCATCTCAAGAACCTCCACCAACATATAAAAATTTGTGCAAGTTCTCTTTAAATCTAAAAGAGGGAGATCAATGTGCCACGTTAACTACCTTTTCTTCTGAGGTATCTTTTTAAATAAATTAGCCTGAAGTCACTGTTCAAAAATTAGTGCCCACTGTTCTTAAATGAAGATGATGACTCTTGTTGCCCAAATCTGCAACAAGTATATTTCTTAGATAAATCTATTTATCAATAAGAAGTCTCTGTTTTTCACTATTTAAAATTTTCAGAATGCTTATTTCATGAGCCCTGATAGCCACTTATATTTCACTTGTCCCTACTTTAATCATCTCATTCTTCTTGCATTTTTTTTTTTTTTGACAGAGTCTTTCTCTGTTGCCCAGGGTGGAGTGCAGAGGTGTGATCATGGCTCCCTGTAGCCTCAACCTCCTGGGCTCAAGCAATCCTCCTGCCTCAGCCTCCTGAGTAACTGGGACCAGGTGTGTGTCACCATACCTGGCTAATTTTTTAATTTTTTGTATAGACAGGGTCTCATCTAACTATGTTTCCCAGGCTAGTCTCAAACTCCTGGGCTCAAGTAATCCTTCTGCCTTGGCCTCTCAAAATGCTGGGATTACAGGCATGAGCCACTGTGTCTGGTACTTCTTTGTTTGTTTGTTTGTTTTGGAATCCTTGGCCTACAACTTCATCCACAATAGCTCCTTCACCCCTTCCACACACATAACCCTGCAAAGCTTCAGTCAACATTTTTCCTTATTCCAGCAAGGCTGTTATCTAGACTCTAGAGAAAGAACTATCAACATAGGAATAAAGGGTCAGCATTTGATATGTTTTGGGGATAGGCTTAAGGAGGCATTTTACCATGGTCCTATCTTTATATTAAAATCTGCTATCATAGCCTCTGATTGCTCATACACAAACTGGGATTTTTTTAAAAGACTCAATCCCTTTATCTCTGCAGTTTCACTTTATAGGCTGAATTTTTGCAGTTCACACAATGCTCTGTCTCCCTTCACTTGGGCTTCGCTTAAAAAAAACCCCCGAGTATTCATTTTAAAAATGAGTGTATGTTTAAAATAATATAAATTTTGTGAGAATACTCCATTATCAATTCCTATTTGATTTGGAAGAAACATGGGGAGTATTTTAGTTTTTTTTAAAATACCCTATATAACAAATTCACTAAATATTATTTGATCCTGACGATCACTATTTTTTATAGTGTTGATTAACTATAAAGGTATTTTAATAGTATTTCAAATCAGCCCTAAATAAGTATACTTACAGGAATTGGTCAAGTTTACCATGTGGTTAGTCTGTGTATCCACCTAGAATTTACAAATACCCAGGAGGTTGCTTGGCTTCCCCAAGGCACTTCTAGAGGACTGACAAAGGAAACATGGGAACCAAGACAGAGGGGAGATAACAGCTGGTTTCCAATCTTAGGAACAACAACAACAACAAACCCACAAGTGGGAGAAAGTTGGAGGACTTTTTCCCAACCCTGGGCAAGAGGACAGAACAAGCGACATCTAGGGATGGTGGGGTTAGATTCTCTATAAAAACACTTTGTTTAAAATGCATTATTGCTTAAAACCTGGGCTTTTGTTTTTCTGTCATGACTGACACACTTTGATCTGTGTTAGGTAAGAGTTTTTTGAGGTTTTCCTATTTCATACACCAAGGCTCATGGAATTTTGGAGCTGAAAGGAATTTTGAGAGTATGTGTTTGGCAAAGCCATACCTATGTGCTGTCATCCATTACTTGAAGTGGGGAGAGGCATCTGGAAAAACATAAGATCAACATTATATTTAAAGGAGTTCAAAATTTGTCATTTTATTTTTATTTCACTGTCCCCAGAATCTTGATTTTAGATCTCTGAATCATGCTTGCCAGTGTCTTAAACACAACTTCAGGGAAAACAAGCTTATTATTCCCTGGCACTCTACTCGTTGCCTTCTTACCCCCTCATTTGCTTCATGGAGGATGAAAATTGAGCTAGATCAGACTCTGAATGATAGAAGGGATTTCGACAGTTTGAGAAGGAAAAGAACATAGCATAGCAGAGATGGCTACTTGTCACTCAATATTCAGTCTACCCTTTCAAATGAACAGAATCCGCCCCTCTTATTCAGCCAGTCCTATGTCCTCCCAGAATGAAGACTATATTTCTCCCAGCCTCTCTTGCTGCTATATGCGGTCATGTGGTTAAGTTCTGGCCAATATTCTGTCCAGAAAGATGGAAACTTATGCAATCTATCCATAGAAGAAAGGTGGTGCACTCTCATCCATCTCCTTCCTCATCTTCCTCCATCTTATCGATTAGAGTGTGATTGTAGTGTCAAACCATCTTAGACCATGAAGATAAGGACAGCATAAGGTATCACAGAAGGTAATCGGAAGAGGCGTGGCTGTTGGGTGGCTTCATGAAGTAGATCTGTTACATCATCCTTGGACCTTTTACCACTGGACTATTTCATGACAAAGAGAGAAACTCTCATTGTGTAAGTCACTGCATGTAGCCAAACCTATTGACAAACTAATACAGGCATTTTAGTTAAAAATAATATGAGCAAAAGCTTAGAAATAGGAAAAATAGAGGCCAGATTTTAAAAAGAATAAGAATTTTGGTTCCAAGTTTCTCTCACATACTCCATGTATTATCCAGGTGTGTTTTTAACAATCCAAACCTGATCAGGTCATTCTCTCATTTAAAACCTTGGGCCAAATTACTCTGGGAAACAGAACAAAATCCTCATAAATGAATAGAGGGTGATAATAATGATAGTTGGGGAAAATACTAGTTTTGGGAATTGTAAAAATCCTGCTCTAGATATTTGAATTTTGAATGATGTCATGCATGGTTTAAATGTGTCTGCCAAAGTTTATGTGCTGGGAACTTAATCCCCAGTGCAACAGTATTGAGAGTGAAACCTTTAAAAAGTGATTAGGACATGAGGGCTCTGCTCTCCTCTCATGAATTGATTAATGCCAGTATTGAAGGAGTGGGTTTGTTATTGCAAAAAATGAATTTGTTATAAAAGCTAGTTCAGCTCTCTCTTTCTCTCTTGCTCTTGCCCTTTCTTGCTCTTCTGCTTTCCCCCATAGAATGGTACAGCATGAAGGCCCTTGCCAGATGCCAGCACCATGCTTTTGGACTTCCCAGCCTCCAGAATTGTGACCCAAATAAAATTCTGTTCTTTATAAGTTATACAGTCTGTGGCATTCTGCTTTCATAGCATAAAATGGAGTAAGACAAATGGCATAAGACAATTTGTAAATTCCTAGCCTTCTCCTTCCAAGCACAACTGTTTGTCTTTCATTCAGTGGTCTGCTTAGCCATCTTTATATCAGGATATCAGATATCTTTATATCAGAATCAGAGCCTTCTTTATACCAGAATAGCTTCACTGCTTATTCTTTTATCATATTTATTGTGTGTCTGTATGCCAGCTACCATCCTAAGGTCTGAAGATATTGTGGTGGGCAAAATAGATATTATACTGCCATCATAGAACTTTCAGTCTAACGGTACATGATGGGCATTAAGCAAATGATTAGATAATCACTTAATTGATTACAATTGTGGTAAATGCTTCTAAGAAGAAGTTGTGAGAGCATACCTAACTCTTATTTTTATTTTTGCATTTTCAAATGATTGATTCTATAGCTTTCTCTTATACCTCCTTAGAAAATTCATTTAGAAACTTGGGCTTCTGTAATGGGAAACTTTCTGGCTCATCTGATTTCTCTCTATCTATACTCCCCATCTACTGCACCACACAAGATTTGGTACCACCTTACTGCAAAGAAGCCCTGGATTGGTTTTGGGAGGCAAGATGTAAAGGCACTAAATTATTGAGTGGAGCATTAGAAAAGCATAAAAAAGAATTCATAAGAATTCTCCAGTGCAAAAGGACAGACCTCTATCGAACTCGTTGTTAGATCAGACTAGTGACAAAAGAAACTTTTTCATAGCTCTGAGTATACATTTATTAACTTCTAGCTTAATTTTAATCTCACCACTGGCTTTAAAAATATACAATAATACTTCACCTAGCACTCTCAAAATCTCCAGCAAACTAAAATAGTAAATCAGAGATAACCAGAAAACACACTATTCTCCAAGTAATAAAATAAAACCAAGGCAACTATAAAAAATCAACCAGTGAAAACATACCAGACATTACATTTAGGCAGTTCTCACACAAACTGTTTTGGGTGAACAATTTTTATAAGACGTTCTTTATAATAGTCATATTTCATGGATCACTAAGAGATCTTAAAATTCTCTTCAAGTCCAAACTGAAAGCTCTTCCTCTCTAGAATGAAAATTTGTGGCGTGGTTGTAATCTGGGTGCTAATATAGTCCACCAGACACAGTAGACTGCAATTCCGCTTTCAGATGATATTCCAGAATCATTCCATACCATTGATGGGATTCTTGACATGCCACTCCAAAATATGGCATCTTGGCATTTGAGAAAACAGGAGAAGCAGAACGGTCACTCTTACATTCCCCTCATCTTTCTTCCCTGAAATAGATCATAAAACCTAGGAAGGCCACTCTCTGACCTCCCTCTCTTCTTTCTGAAGGCCCTTATGTGACAGGTATCCTGCCCTACACAGAGATGCCAAGAAAAATCTGAACAAACAGGCCTTGCTAAGTTCGCCACAGTTTTGTTTTTTTTTTTTTTTTTACTATTAGACCACATCCTTTTGTCCTCCATTCATACTTCTGCATGACTGCTCATAGAAATACACAGGTTTCTCTGTTTTTTTTTTTCTTGCTCTTCATTTCTGAAGGCTCCTGTGTCACATAAAGCTTATATTAAATAAATTTGTATACCGGTCTCTTGTTAATCTGTCTTTTATTATAGGAATCTCAGCCATGAACCTTGCTATGGTTGAGGAAAAATATATTACTTTTTCTCCCCTATGGCATCCCAAACAATTCCCAGCCATCCTCGTTTGTAAATAATTCCTATGCATTTCTAGCCAGAATATTTTCAAAGCAAACATCCAGAATTTTTTCAAAGCAAAGCAAAACTGGAGAATTATTGAGTGCCAATATATTAACATATATACTGAATTCCATTTTCACCTGGACACAAGGTGTGCAAATTGTATGCATTGAATAAATGTCCCATGTCAATGTCTTATATCTTTATCTCTAAGTGAAATTTGTGTTGATGGACACATTCACCTCAAAAAGAAAGTAGGTTTGTTTCTCATTTAAGAGATGGCAGTCTCATATCTTTTCCTCTAGCACCTCTGTACCCCTTTCCCTGCTCTCACTCTCAGCTGATGACATCTCATACTTAGTTGAGAAAGCTGAAGTCACTAGACAGGAAACTATCTTTTCTATATTTGTCATCTTTTGTCCTGCTACAATGAAAGTTGTATGATTTCTTTTATCAAAGGTGCTCTGGCTCTGTCCCCAAGGACTTTGCTTCTGCCATTAGCCTTTCTTTTTCCTACATCACTTTTTTCTTCTCCATTGGATTTCTGTCATGAGCATAGAAATACACTTTAGTATTCCTACTACCCCCAATTAAAACCTTTTCAACTCTATATCTCCCTTTACTCCTCGTTCCTGGCAATTTTGTTGTAAGAGCTGCATCTATGTGCTGTCTTTACTTCCTCACCTCCCATTCTGGCCTCAGCTTATGCCAAACTGGCTTCAAACCACACCACCCCACTGAAACTGTAGTTGTTAGTGTCATTATTGGTCATAATTTTTGAAATCCAATCATCATTGTTTGATCTTTATTTTTCTAAATCTCTCAGCATTATAAAGAGCTTAGTACTTCTCTATTAAAAAAAATACTTTCTCTTTTGGCTTCTATGGCTTTACACTTAACTGCAGTGATTCTTAAAGTGTGGTTCCTGGGCCAGCAGCAATAGCATCACCTGGGAACTTGGTAGAAATGAAAGTTATTGAACCTTAACCCCTGTCAACTGAATCAGAAAATCTATGGGTAAGGCCCAGCAATCTGTGTTTCATAAGTCCTCCAGCTTATTCTAATCCAAGACAAAATTTGAGAACCACTGCTCTACTAATTTTCCTCCTACTTCAATTATAGTTCCTTTTAATTTTTGGCTTGTATCAGTTAGTTATTGCTTTATAACAGTTCACCCCAAAACCTAGTGACTTACAACCACCACCATTTCTTTATCTCATGAATAAGTTTCCCCATTGCTTTGTATATTTTCTTAGGTTAGGCTCCCCAGAAGAAGGCTATGAGGCAAGGATTTCAGAAAGGAAAGCATAAGGAAGTGAGATAGGAAAGAAAGGCAGCTAATATCAGGTATATTAATGAGCAGATTATTCCTGTGAACAACTGGGCTCGATCCCTCAGAGAGCTTCCAAGGCATTATCCCATCCAAAGGGTAAAGAGGCTGGGATATTTATCGACTAGCTCCCATTCTTCACTGGCTGTAACTTGTCCACGTCTCACAGCTGTAACTCCCTTGTATTCCCTACCTATCTGGTGTGAGGACCAAGCTTGTGTCTGTGGATAGAGAAAGCCCTAAAGCAGAAAGTCTAGGTGCTTGCACAAAAAGATCATCTGCACAGAATGATGATCAAGAGATGTGAGTGGGGCACCACAACATTTACCTCAGGAATCTCTGTTCAGGACTCAGCTTTGGTCTCAAACCTTGGGAAGCTTATACACTGAGGCAGTGTTAGGATCTCTTTTCTCTGCCTTCCTGTGCTTTTAAGTGTATTTCACTGTTTTTGATCCCTTGTCTGCCCCTTATATTTGACTATCAGGCTCTTGAAGGTCTATTACACTTACTCATTGTTTTTACCCCCTGTTCCTATCTCAGTGCCCAACACAGAGCTGACAGTTAATATATGTTGGTTGGATGCATGTGTGGGTATCTTATCTTTTTATCCTTTAAAAGACCTCACACGTAGATGAAAATTTTAAAATCATTAATTCAATCATCAATTCAATTCAATCATCTTTTTATCCTTTAAAAGACCTCACACATTGATGAAAATTTTAAAATCATTAATTCAATTGAAGAGGCCTTGTGATTGACATGAGTATAAATTGGACCATTATTAACTTCAAACTAATTCTACTATGCCAGAAACCATGCCTGAAGTATTAAAACATCACGTTAAAAAACAAAAGACAAAAAAAAAACTTATCTAAAAAATTACATTAAATAAAATAGACCAAAGGTAAATCTTACTCAAGTTTTCAGGAAAAAAAAATTGTTTTCTATACTCTTTTCTCACCTATTCTTCCTTGTCACAGAGAAGCAATTATTATATTAGACTTTCCTTTTTCAATGTGTAGATGACATCATATGATTTAAATTTTTTATGTATTTCTCTTGCAAAAAATGTCATGAGAAAGTTTAAATATAAATAAAACATTTCTTTTGGAAATTTTATAATTCAAGCTAATTTAAAATTATGTAAACCTCTATCTTTCATGTAATCTTCTTCCTTCTTTTAAAACAACATTTTTTTGGTGGTCATCTGTTCGGGAGAAAATGAAATTTTCTGTGGATAAGCAGATATTCTTCACGGAGAAAGCTAACATTCTGCATTCCTCTATTTTAAAAGTGGAAAACATAGTCCTGTTATTTGTATTTAGATGTATTTCTCACCAAAGAGTGCCAGGCTGGATTACAGAAGATCTATATTCTGATCTTGTCCTTTTTCTTTGCAAGCCTGAGGAATTGTCCAGACACAGAATTCCCTAGATCCCCAGATTTCTCACCTATAATATGAAGGGTTGAAAGAGAGGTCTCAATCGGCTTTGAATTTTCTGTTCTATACTTCTGCACCACCACTGTAGCACTGACAATTGCATGAAAATATTAAGCTCTATTATGTTTTCAGTACTATCCTTAGCTTCTTTAAAAAATTAGTCTAGCTGTGTTTGTAAATAAATGATGTCACTGGAAAAATGGTTTCATACCATTGTTGTCAATAGTTGAATGTGGCTTGCCCTCAGGAACAATGCATTCTTCAATAATATGGAGGATGGAAGGTGTATAAGGACTCAGATAGCTATTATTCTCATTTGCCCATGATCCTTTCATATCCCCGCCTCTGGTTTAGCATTCTCTTTCTTCCAGGGGAATTTCTCCCCCATTCCATGCATTCTAGTAGAATTTTTTATCACAGTAGATTGTCCTGCCCTGCCACAGAAATGGGCATTTGACACAGTGGCCACAAAGATTGGTCTAAGCAGTAGGCCTGTGACCCAAGGTAGGCCAATTAGAGTTTTCTGTAGAATTTTTTAGATTCAAAGTGTATGTGTGTGGGGGGGATGACTCTTCTTGAATTTTATATTAGGATGCATGCCAGAAATTGTTGAAAGGTCTTTAATGTACCATGTACAGGAAGCTTGCCTTTAGTAGGAGAGAATGGGACCATTACACAAGGAGAAGCAGAGATAGCAAAGATGAAGGATAGACGGAAAGCCAGAGGGCACCAAGTTCTTGGTTACAGGCCCTGATTCTGAACTTCTAGACTCTTACATTTGCCTGTTGAGATTTGTTCCTCTTTGTTTCATCATCCCTGGTTCTTTGACTTCATAATTCCCAATCTTTACTTTTGTAGGATACCAAAAATATGCCACCCGAAAATATGACTGTAGGAAACCAGAATATGCCACCCCAAAATATGACTCTTTGGCATAGGGATTATTTTGAGCTGATTATTTTGAGAAACTGCAGACACAGGAGAAGCTCTGAAAACAGAGTAGAAGTTACAGATTTGTAAGGGAAATTTACATCTATAAAAGAAATATCCATTTGTAAGGGTGTTTCCCTCTTTCTACCAGAAAGAAAAGAATGACTAAATCACTAGATACTCTTATCAATGGAGAAGGCACTAACTTAAATCTGCATAACAAACTTTGCTTTTGTTTATCAGACTTTTCCTGATTATTTCCTCAAAACCGGCCTTTTCTATACCCTTCTTTGTTTCAGTGGAGGTTGGTATTTAAGCCTGAATTCAAGGCTACCTCTTAGAAATTTACCCATTTTTTCTGAGTGTCTCCTGTGTATACATGAGGTCCACATGTTTAAAAAAAAAACAAAAAAACTTCTGTTTGTTTTTCTCTTCTTAATCTGTCTTTTGTTACAGGGGTCTACCCCAACTAAGCACTATGAGTAGTAGAAAGAAAATTATTTTTTATCTTCCACAGTTCATATGCCCTAGCTCTGACAACTCCTTGGTGTTGACTTTTATATCTACTCATTAAGTTCTGTGAGCTATCCCAGAATCTTCTTAGCTAGGTGAACTAATAAATCCCTTTTCTTGTTTATGATAGTTTGATTTGGATTTTAGTTTTTTTTGCAGTGAAAAGAGTCTTGGCTGATACTCAATATGAATGAGTAAGTGGTCTTGAGACAACTGAGAGTGAAACAAAAACATTTTTATAGGCCACTAATTAGAAGCCTAGTCTTTAAAGCCACCACTACGTAGCTACTCATGTGTTCTGAAATTACCTCATCATTGTGTCTAGGAAATAAAGGGTATGTGTGTTGAGGGGTGGGGAACTTGTTCTTGGAATGATTCATGGATAAGTGTCTATTGATGTTGTTGATACCATTAATGGCTTCAGTTTCATGATCTTTTCATGTCATCTTGCCAACACAACAATAATGAGCAAATATCTACCTAGATTTCCAAAGTCCTCATATGGTTTTCTATTACTCTATCAAATGGAGCCCTATAACCTATTCAAACAGAAGGATTTAACTCTATACTCCTCTTTCTAGACTTTTTGACTCTTATTATTTGCCTGTTAGGACCTGTTCCTCATATCTTCATCATCCCTGGTTCCTTAGTTCTTGCTTTGGGTTCCTTGGCTTTGATAACCTGTTTTGGACATGTTTCTCTATCCTGATGCTGACGCTTTCCTCACCTCCTAGCCCATAAGGGGAATCCACCTTTCCATTAACCAACACACCAGGAGAATGACATCTGGCAGTGTAAAATGTAATTGCCCAACAGGTTTGTCCTGCACTTTGCATGGACAAAATCAATTCACTGAGACTGTGGCATTGCAGTAAAGAAAGATTTTAGGCCAGGTGCGGTGGCTCATGGCTGTAATCCCAGCATTTTGGGAGGCCGAGCTGGGTGGATCACGAGGTCAGGCAATCGAGACCATCCTGGCTAACATGGTGAAACCCTGCCTCTACTAAAAATACACAAAAAATTAGCCTGGCGTGGTGGCGGGCACCCGTCATCCCAGTTACTCAGGAGGCTGAGGCAGGAGAATGACGTGAACCCGGGAGGTGGAGCTTGCAGTGAACCAAGATCGCGCCACTGCGCTCCAGCCTGGGTGACAGAGCGAGACTCCGTCTCAAAAAAAAAAAAAAAAAAAAAAAGAAAGATTTTAACTGACATGAGGCTGGCCATGATAGAGATGGAGTTATCACTCAAATCAGTCTCCCTGAAGGCTCAGAGGTTAGGGTTTTTTTTCACTTGCGTCCGTGTGAAGAGACCACCAAACAGGCTTTGTGTGAGCAATAAAGCTGTTTATTTCACCTGGGTGCAGGTGGGCTGAGTCCGAAAAGAGTCAGCGAAGGGAGATGGGGGTGGGGCCGTTTCATAGGATTTGGGTAGATAAAGGAAAATTACAGTCAAAGGGGGGTTGTTCTCTGGCAGGCAGAGTAGGGGTCACAGGGTGCTCAGTTGGGGAGCTTTTTGAGCCAGGATGAGCCAGGAGAAGGAATTTCACAAGACAATGTCATCAGTTAAGGAGGAACAGGCCATTTTCACTTCTTTTGTGGTGGAATGTCATCAGTTAAGGCAGGAACCAGCCATCTGGATGTGTACGTGCAGGTCACAGGGGATATGATGGCTTAGCTTGGGCTCAGAGGCCTGACATTCCTGTCTTCTTATATTAATAAGAAAAATAAAACAAAATAGTGGTAAAGTGTTGGGACGGTGAAAATTTTGGGGGGTGGTATGGAGAGATAATGGGCGATGTTTTTCAGGGCTGCTTTGAACAGGATTAGGGGCGGCATGGGAACTTAGAGTGGGAGTGGGAGAGATTAAGCTGAAGGAAGATTTTGTGGTAAGGGGTGATATTGTGGGACTGTTAGAAGAAACATTTGTCATTTAGAATTATTGGTGATGGCCTGGATAGTTTTGTATGAATTGAAAAACTAAACAGAATAAGAGAAGGAGAAAAACAGGTATTAAAGGTCTAAGAATTGGGAGGACCTAGGACATCTAATTAGAGAGTGCCTAAGGAGGCTCAGCATAGTCCTGTCAGCAAAGATTATTTATTTACTTCAAGAGTTAAGAGTGGTAGTTTGAGGATAGCACCAGGAGATATCAGCTGTGATGGCTTGGAGAAACAGTGTAAACCGGCAGTGTAAACAAGAGCAGGGCACGTATGAGTAGTTGAGAACGGTGAATAGGAGTATGACTAGACAGAAGATAGTAGGGATGACAAGTTTTTTGGGGCACAGTCCAAGTTGGTCTGGTGTCTGGAATGAGACTGGGGCCTAATAAAAAGGAGCATCTATACAGGAGCTCAAATGGGCTGTACCCTGTAGCATTCTGAGGACAGGTCTGACTTCTGAGAAGGGAAAGTGGTAAAAGTATTGTCCAGTCCTTTTTAAGTTGGTGGCTGAGCTTGGTGAGGTGTGTTTTTAAAAGACCTTTAGTCCGTTCTACTTTTCCTGAAGACGGAGGACCGTAAGGGATATAAAGGTTTCACTGAATACTAATAGCCTGAAAAATTGCTTGGCTGATTTGACTAATAAAGGCTGGTCTGTTATCAGACTGTATAGAGGTGGGAAGGCTAAACTGAGGAATTATGTCTGACAGAAGGGAAGAAATGACTGCGGTGGCCTTCTCAGACCTTGTAGGAAAGGCCTGTACTTATCTAGTGAAAGTGTCTACTTAGACTAAGAGGTATTTTAGTTATCTGACTCGGGGCATGTTGAGTAAAGCTAATTTGCCAGTCCTGGGTGGGGGCAAATCCTGGAGCTTGATGTGTAGGGAAGGGAGGGGGCCTGAATAATCCCTGAGGAGTAGTAGAATAGCAGATGGAACACTGAGAAGTTATTTCCTTGAGGATAGATTTCCATGATGGAAAGAAAATGAGAGGTTCTAAGAGGCGGGCTAGTGGCTTGTACTATAGCATAGCCTGCCTTTGCTGGTGTGTGGCGATTAGGCCTGGTGGAACTGCCATCAATAAATCAAGCGTGATCAGGGTGAGGAACAGGAAAGTAGGAAATATGGGGAAATGGGGTGAATGTCAGGTGGTTCAAAGAGATACAGTCATGGGGGTCAGGTGTGGTATCAGGAATAATGTGGGAGGCCAGATTGAAGTCCGGGCCAGGAACAATGGTAATTGTGGGACTTAACAAAGAGTGAGTACAGCTGAAGGAGCCGGGGAGCAGTAAGTATATGCGTCAGGTGTGAGGAAGAAAATAGATTTTGGAAGTTATGAGAAATGTAGAGAGTGAGTTGAACATAGTTTATGATTTTGAGGGCCTCTAAAAGTATTAAAGCAGCGGCAGCCACTGCACGCAGACATGAGGGCTAGGCTAAAACAGTAAGGTCAAGTTGTTTGGACAGAAAGGCTACAGGGAGTGGTCCTGGCTCTTGTGTAAGAATTCTGACCGCACTAACCATGCCTAGGAAGGAAAGGAGTTGTTGTTTTGTAAGGGATTGAGGTTTGGGAGATTAATGGAGATGATCGGCAGGGAGAGCACGTGAGTTTTTATGAGAATTATGCTGAGATAGGCAACAGATGAGGAAGAAATTTGGGCTTGACTGAAGCAATGGGGGCTGTCTGTGAAGCTTTGCGGCAGTACAGCCCAGGTAATTTGCTGAGCCTGATGGGTGTCACGGTCAGTCCAAGTGAAAGCGAAGAGAGGCTGGGATGACGGGTGCAAAGGAATAGTAAAGAAAGCATATTTGAGATCCAGAACAGAATAATGGATTGTGGAGGGAGGCATTGAGGATAGGAGAGTACATGGGTTTGGCACCATGGGGTGGATAGGCAAAACAATTTGGCTGATAAGGCGCAGATTCTGAACTAACCTGTAAGCCTTGTCTGGTTTTAGGACAGGTAAAATGGGGGAATGGTAAGGAGAGTTTATGGGCCTTAAAAGGCCATGCTGTAGCAGGCGAGTGATAACAGGCTTTAATCCTTTCAAAGCATGCTGTGGGATGGGATATTGGCATTGATCGGGGTAAGGGTGATTAGGTTTTAATGAGATGGTAAGGGGTGCATGATCGGTCACCAAGGAGGGAGTAGAGGTATCTTATACTTGTGGGTTAAGGTGGGGAGATACAAGAGGAGGACACAAAGGAGGCTTTGGATTGGGAAGAAGGGCAGCAATGAGATGTAGCTGTAGTCCAGGAATAGTCAGGGAAGCAGATAATTTAGTTAAAGTGTCTCGGCCTAATAAGGGAACTGCGCAGGTGGGGATAACTAAAAGGAGTGCTTAAAAGAGTATTGTCTAAGTTGGCACCAGAGTTGGGGAGTTTTAAGAGGTTTAGAAGCCTGGCTGTCAATACCCACAACAGTTATGGAGGCAAGGGAAACAGGCCCTTGAAAATAAGGTAATGTGGAGTGGGTAGCCTCCGTATTGATTAAGAAGGGGACGGACTTACTTTCCACTGTGAGAGTTACGTGAAGCTCAGCGTCCATTATGCTCTAGGGGGCTTCTGAGGCAATCGGGCAGCGTCAGTCTTCAGCCGCTAAGCCAAGAAGATCTGGGAAGCAGTCAGAGAGCCTTGGGCCAGAGTTCCAGGGGCTCTGGGAGTGGCTGCCAGGTGAGTTGGACAGTCCGATTTCCAGTGGGGTCCCGCACAGATGGGACGCAGCTTAGGAGGAATCCCGGGCTGCAGGCATTCCTTGGCCTGGTGGCCAGATTTCTGGCACTTGTAGCAAGCTCCTGGGGGAGGAGGTTCTGGAGGAACGCCTGGCCACTGCGGTTCAGACATTTGGAAGTTCTTGTGTGCTGGAGATGTGGCTGGGGTTTGTCTCACCGTGGAGGCAAGGAATTGCAACTTTTTTCTATTGTTGTACACCTTGAAGGCGAGGTTAATTAAATCCTGTTGTGGGGTTTGAGGGCCGGAATTTAATTTTTGGAGTTTTATTTAATGTCGGGAGCAGATTGGGTAATAAAATGTATTTTGAGAATAAGATGGCCTTTTGACCTTTTAGGGTCTAGGGCTGTAAAGTGTCTCAGGGTTGCTGCCAAAGGAGCCATGAACTGGGCTGGGTTTTTATATTTGATGAAAAAGAGCCTAAACGCTATCTGATTTGGGATAAAGAAAAAGGAGCATTAACCTTGACTATGCCTTTAGCTCCAGCCACCTTTTTAAGAGTAAAGTACCAGGCAGGTTGGGGAGGACTAGTCACGGAATGAAACTGTAAGCCGGACTGGGTGTGAGGAGGGGAGGTGATGAAAGGATTTTAGGGTGGAGGAGCGGAGGCTGAGGAAGAATTGGGACCTAGCTAGGCCTGGAGAGGAGGGGAGAGGTCAGATAGGTCTGTAGAAAAGGAAGATTAGAAAGACTCAGCAACACTTGGGGTTGGGACTGAGGGGACAGGTGGGAGGGAAAGAAGGAAGATTTGGGATGAGTTGCATTGGGAACAGAGACTAGAGAGGGACCGATGTGTAAAAGAATGCCTGGACGTCAGGCACCTCAGACCATTTGCCCATTTTACGACAAGAATTATTTAGATCTTGTAGGATGGAAAAATTGAAAGTGCTGTTTTCCGGCTATTTGGAACTACTGTCGAGTTTGTATTGGGGTCAAGTGGCATTGCAGAAGAAAATAAGACGCTTAGATTTTAGGTCAGGTGAGAGTTGAAGAGGTTTTAAGTTTTTGAGGACACAGGCTAAGGGAGAAGAAGGAGGAATGGAGGGTGGAAGGTTGCCCATAGTGAAGGAAGCAAGCCTAGAGAAAAGAAAGAGTAGAGACACAGAGGGAAGGGGTTCGGGGGTTCTTACCTTCCAGAAAAGCGGGAAAGGGGTTGGGTCGTGGAAATAAGGGGTTGGGGTGCAGAGATAAGAGGTCGGGGCATGGAAATAAGGGATTGGGGCACAGAGATATAAGAGGTTGGGGTGCAGAAATAAGGGATTGGGCCACAGAGATAAGAGGTCGGGGCGTGGAAATAAGGGACTGGGGCACAGAGATACGAGGTTGGGGTACTTGCTCCTCTAGAAAAGCGGACTTGCCACTCAGGGTGAAGGAGAAGGGGTTGGGTGTTTCTTGCCCCCCAGAAAGGCGGAGAAGGGGTAGAGACACAGAGAGAAGGGGTTGGGGTACTTGCCCCTTCCCCAGAAAAGCGGGACTTGCCGCTAAGGGTGAAGGACCAAGGCAGGCGTCCCTGCGTGGTCTGACACCTCTGAAACCTGGGTGAATAATCAGAGAGGTGTCCCTGCAATGATTAAACACTAAGGGAAGGCTGCCTTCCCTAGTCCGTGACTGGTGCCGGAGTTTTGGGTCCACGGATAAAACGTGTCTCCTTTGTCTCTACCAGAAAATGAAAGGAATTGAAATTAAGAGAAGGGAGAGATTGAAGAGTGGAAAGGAGAAAGTGGTTGAGGGACAGTGAGAGAGGTTGGAGAACAGAGTAAGAAGAGTCCGCTTACCCGATTTAAAATTGGTGAGATGTTCCTTGGGCTGGTCGGTCTGAGGACCTGAGGCCGTAGGTGGATCTTTCTCATGGAGCAAAGAACAGGAGGACAGGGGATTGATCTCCCAAGGGAGGTCCCCCGATCTGAGTCACAGCACCAAATTTCATGTGCGTCCATGTGAAGAGACCACCAAACAGGCTTTGTGTGAATAATAAAGCTTTTAATCACCTGGGTGCAGGCGGGCTGAGTCTGAAAAGAGAGTCAGCAAAGGGAGATGGGTTGGGGCCATTTTATAGGATTTGGGTAGGTAAAGGAAAAAGGGGGGTTGTTCTCTGGCGGGCAGGAGTGGGGGTCACAAGGTACTCAGTGGGGGAGCTTTTGAGCCAGGATGAGCCAGGAGAAGGAATTTCACAAGACAATGTCATCAGTTAAGGCAGGAACAGGCTATTTTCACTTCTTTTGTGGTGGAATGTCATCAGTTAAGGCAGGAACCGGCGATCTGGATGTGTACGTGCAAATCACAGGGGATATGATGGCTTAGCTTGGGCTCAGAGGCCTGACAGTTTCATGATCTTTTCATGTCATCTTGCCAACACAACAATAATGAGCAAATATCTACCTAGATTTCCAGAGTCCTCATATGGTTTTCTATTACTCTATCAAATGGAGCCCTATAACCTATTCAAACAGAAGGATTTAACTCTATACTCCTCTTTCTAGACTTTTTGACTCTTATTATTTGCCTGTTAGGACCTGTTCCTCATATCTTCATCATCCCTGGTTCCTTAGTTCTTGCTTTGGGTTCCTTGGCTTTGATAACCTGTTTTGGACATGTTTCTCTATCCTGATGCTGCCACTTTCCTCACCTCCTAGCCCATAAGGAGAATCCACCTTTCCATTAACCAACACACCAGGAGAATGACATCTGGCAGTGTAAAATGTAATTGCCCAACAGGTTTGTCCTGCACTTTGCATGGACAAAATCAATTCACTGAGACTGTGGCATTGCAGTAAAGAAAGATTTTAGGCCAGGTGCGGTGGCTCACGGCTGTAATCCTAGCACTTTGGGAGGTCAAGGTGGGTGGATCACGAGGTCAGGCGATCGAGATCATCCTGGCTAACATGGTGAAACCCCATCTCTACTAAAAGTACACAAAAAATTAGCCAGGCGTGGTGGCAGGCACCCGTCATCCCAGTTACTCAGGAGGCTGAGGCAGGAGAATGACGTGAACCCAGGAGGTGGAGCTTGCAGTGAGCCGAAATGGTGCCACTGCACTCCAGCCTGGGTGACAGAGTAAGACTCTGTCTCAAAAAAAAAAAGAAAGATTTTAACTGACATGAGGCTGGCCATGTTGGAGATGGAGTTATCACTCAAATCAGTCTCCCTGAAGGCTCAGAGGTTAGGGTTTTTATGGACAATTTGGTGAGCAGGGGCCTAAGGAATGAGTGCTGCTAATTGGTTGAGGATGAAATCATAGAGGTGTGGAAAACACCTGGGCAGGGCCACAGGACTGGTTGAGTCATGAGTCACTGGTCCAGATGGGGTCAGTCGGTTGCCAGAAAGTCTGAAAAAAATCTCTAAAGACCAATGTTAGGTTCTGTAATAGTGATGTTATCTGCAGGAGCAACTGGGGAAGTCACAAATCTTGTGACCTCTGGCCATGTGACTCCTGAGCAGTAAGGGATTATAGAAACGATGCCTATATTTTAGAAGAATTCAGGCCCCTCCCATAATCCTAATCTTGTGGCTTTTCATTAGTCTTACAAAGGCAGTTCTCAGTCCCTGAGCAAGGAGGGGGTTAGTTTTAGGGAGCACCTATTATCATCCTTACTTTCAAGTTAAACTATAAATTTCTCCCATGATTAGCTTGGCCTATGCCCAAGAATGAGTGAAGACAGCTTACAGGTTAGAAGCAAGATGGAGGGAGCCATATCAGACATCTTTTATTGTCATAATTTTGCAAAGGTGGTTTCAAAAAGATGGTATCTTATTGGGCAGGATTTTATTGGCCTAAATCAAAACTGCTTATCACATCCAGGCGCTCTTTCTGACCTTCTGGAAAACAGTAAGTTATCCTTAAGATTGCATGATGAGATCATTTACCTACCTCTTCTGTTTTCTCTTTGCCCAAGAGCTTAGCTTGGCTTCTATTCCCTCTCCTCCCTCTTCTCCTTCCCCATGCTGAGAGCGACCTTATTTCTGGACCATAAATGCCCTGACTCAGGGACAGAGTAAAAATGGACAAGTAAGTGGGGAGATAAACAGCGAGGAAAATATTACGGGAATATCAGCCTGTCTGTAAAATGCTCTTATGCAAAACATGGTACCCTTTACTCAGGGAGAGAGGGGAGGCTCTTGATTACCTCAAAATACCAAATTAGTGAGGTTTTATTTATTTTTTATTTTTTATTTTTCCCCAATGAGGAGGATTATTTAAGGGAGTTGTAAAAACTTAATAAAAGATCTCACACACACTTGGCCAGGTGCGGTGGCTCACGCCTGTAATCCCAGCACTTTGGGAGGCTGAGGTGGGTAGATCATGAGGTCAGGAGTTCGAGACCAGCCTGGCCAACATGGTGAAACCCTGTCTCTACTAAAAATACAAAAAATTAGCCTGGTGTGGTGGTGGGCGCCTGTAATCCCAGCTGCTTGGGAGGCTGGAGCAGGAGAATCGCTTGAACCGGGGAGGTGGAAGTTGCAGTGAGTCGAGATCATGCCACTGCACTCCAGGCTAGGCAACAAGAGCAAGACTCTGTCTTTAAAAAAAAAAAAGAAAGAAAAAGAAAAAAGAAAAAAATCTCACACACATTCAACAGAGTTGAAAGATCATACATTGGTCTTTCAGTTTTCTCTGAGGTGAACAAAACGAAATAAAACTAGCTACAGAACCATGTGGGAGAGAAAGGTACAGAGGTTCCTTTGTTCTCCACATTAGTTCAGATTAATCCATTGATGAAAAAAATAGCCTTTGCACTTTCAAAAAGGAGGGTATAGTAATTTGAGATTGTCATTTTAGTTCTTTTGATCTTTTCAAATCCCCCCAAGGCTCTCTCCTACCTCTTCCTAAGTTAACCAGAACCATGTTCACCTGGCAGCTGTGAATATTAGATCTTTGGAAACCTGCCCGGCCACCCACTTTCCAGCTTCCTCTGAAGTTTAAGGATATTGCTCATTAAGAAAAAATAAAATAATATAAAAATTTCTTGAATGTTGGCTAGATTCTCAGCAAGTAATAAAGTAATATACAGAAATCTAAAAAGAGATACTCAGGAGAATCACTAAGTCAAGTAAAGATATTTCAAAATGAAGTTTAAAGTAAATCTGTTAGAAAATAACACGAATATTTGGCGAATTCTATAGAAATTGTAGTAATTTAAGGAACTGACTTTATGGGTATTCTGAAACATGCAGAACACATAGCTTGTCTTTTATACTCATAATTCCTCTGTACAATGGCTTGAGAAAGCAGTTATGAAATTTCCACTTGGGATCCCCATGGCTCCAGTCGTTGTTTCTGGGAACAGCTTTTGATTTTCCATCTTAATGATGCTGATGGTACAATAAAAGAAAGAACTTTCTTCTCTCCTTGACACTTCAGAAAACATTTTTGCTCTTGTAACACATTATTTCTTACATTTTCTTTTTATAATTTATCTTCCAGAATTTTCAAAGCTTTTTTGATTGAAAAATAATATAAGGGAAATATTATTAAAAATAAAACATAACTCTCCATAAATTACTATATTAACAAAACAATTTGGTTCACATTTTGTGAGTTTTGTTTCTGTCTTTGTTCATATTCATACACACACATTTTATACAATGCTTTAGAAAGCACATGACATTTGCATAT
This sequence comes from Homo sapiens, assembly GCF_000001405.40. Classification (NCBI taxonomy): domain Eukaryota; kingdom Metazoa; phylum Chordata; class Mammalia; order Primates; family Hominidae; genus Homo; species Homo sapiens. The sequence goes on from NC_000023.11 coordinate 16,053,707, forward strand.
CTGCCCTTTTCACTTAACCTTTTATTATAAATTTTAAATAATACATAGATGATATCAAGATCTATAATCAATATTTTAAAATTCCTATTGTTAGACATTTTGGATGTCTGTATATTTTGCTGTTCTAATGTTTAGTAGGAACTCTTAAAAATCTGGAGCCAGACCAACTGGAGGGGAAGTTGGCATCTAGCATCCTTGATAGTCCTACAGAACTAACCCTACTCCTTACCTGCGTCTCGCCTCTAAATATTTTAGACAATGTCTTCTATCTATAATATTTGTGACTATCTACAGTAATTTTGTATAGTCCCCTGCAATAGATCATGGCCAAGGTAACTAAAATGTTCATTACATCATAGTGGTTTTCAAACTGGTCTCTGAAGACCCTTAAAAAGGCTTCCACTAGAAGGGGTGGAGTGAGTGGTTGGGGCTCTGAATCCCTACCTCAGCTCCGACTGGAGCCGTTCTGTTTTATTGGGGCCTAGTGTTAAACAAAATTTGAATACAACTGGTTTAGATCAACAAGGTTCAATGTGGTGACAAGTGTACACAAGTGGGTGTCACTGAAGTATTTGAGGGTTCAAAGACCTCATGGTGAAATGGGGTATTTTTCACCGAGTCAAACTTGGATAGCCGTCTAGAGTGTGGTCCTTCTTGAAGACTCAAGGCCCTGGGCATAGTTTATGTCTCAGAGATATGAGACATGTCCTGAATTGAAGAGACAGCCTGCTCTCTGGTGTCTCATTTTTGCTTTCCTACAGGCCATTATTCAAAGTGTAGCCAGACAGATCTTACTGAAGGTTTTTAAAGGCAAAGCCAATCAGGTAACTTCCCTGCTCAAATCAAGCTTCTTAATAAGCTCTGCACTGCCCAGGAGAATCTGGTTCTTGTTTTCCTCCCTATCTTCATTTCAACTCACTTGTACTCAACTTTACTACATTCTAGCCCAAGTGCTGTCCAGTGGAAACAGAATATGAGCCGTATATGTCATTTTATCTTTTCCAGGAGCCACATTGAAAAAAATAAAAAGAAACAAGTGGAATTAATTTTAGTAATATATTTTATTTAACCCAATATATCCAAAATATTTTTATTGCAATATGTAATCAATATACAAAACTATTAAAGAGATGTTTTACATTCTTTTTTCATACTAAGGCTTGAAAATCCAGGGGGTATTTTAAATTTGTAGCAAGCTCATCTTAATTCAGATGCTAATTTTTCACCTATTGTATTTTATTTATATTGTTGGGAGGAAATACTTTTTCCTCTTCAAACTTAGGTCCTGTACTTGAGTGTCTGCACATTAACTGACAATAAATAGATTAACAGAAGACAAAATTTATTTAAACATGCTCATGCTCAGTAATGAGTAATTTTCTGAATAGTCAGAGATCATGGTTTATACATCAACTTAATAAAAAGGGTAGTAGTGGTGATTTAGGACTTAAGCGGAAAAGTATGGAAGGTTCTATTGGGCTTTTTGATGCTAATGCATGGCTGAATTCACATTTCCTGGCTAGGAGTTAGTCTCTTCCCAATCAGGAAACTCCCTTGGAGAAGAGTTCAATGGCAGCTATATCTTCAGGAGGCTTTGCTTAAGTTTAGATAATGTTGCGTCCCATGGCTGCTGATTGCTCAGATGTTTTTAGTTTAAAGTAATTTTCATACCACTCTGGTGGGCTATTAATTCCTTCAGTATTTAGTGTTCATAAAAATTACAGTTGAAAAAGGAGATTCATACACCCAAGTTATTCCAAGAACACGTGAAAGTTTTCCAGTAACTGAATCAAGTAGCAAAAATAATTTTCCTTTAATATTGACATCCACTTTGACAAAACTGGTTCATCTGTTTTAGATTTGATTTTGATTTGACTTTAGATTGTAAGGTTCTAGGTTCATAGAACCCATCCTAGGTTCATGGCTGAGGCCCCTATAACAAAAGATAGATTCTTAGCAAGAGAAAAGCCTACAAATGTATTTAATATAAGCTTTAAATGACACAGGAGTCTTCTTAAGGGAATAAAGACCCAAAGAAATAGTTAAATTTGTGTATTTTTATGCCAGGTTTAATGAAGAGTGGACAGTCATGGAGAAATATGATATGACAAAGGTGTCAACCTAAAATAAACAGCAGAGAGAACAACTCTCCAAGACAAAGAGTCTATTCAGAAATAGCAAGGAATTGTAATTTGGGATATGCATGCTATGGTGGACATTCAAAGAAATGGAGAGAGGCAAAGTTCCTTTAAGAGTAAAAGGGGGAGTCCCTGTTAGTTGTTTTGAAATAAACCTCATTGGCCACAGAAGTTTATTGCAGGAATTGGCAAATACTCATTGGTGATACTGGCTGTTGCTGGGGAGATGGCTTCATAGAAACATCCCAAATTTTTGTGGTTTTCAGAGAGTCTCTGTAACAGTTTTTATCATAGGCATATGTCCATGTGGTCCCTTCCTTCTTGGCCTACCTGTTCCATTTCGTTTGGGCTTGACATGAGTGATTCCCTTTTGAGGCTGACAGCTTTCACAAAGGGTATGATCTAATGGTAATAAACTGGGGTGGGGGTGGAGAATCTAGTAAGGCCTATTTGTTCAGATTCTTCTCTATGTCCTGGTGTTTCAGAGATAAAAATGTTCCTTTCCTCCGAGTATAGAGAGAGCACCTCTCACTGAGGGTCTTATAACTGGCTTCAGAGGACAGTCAGAAAATCCTTTCTAGGTTTTATGACCTACATCAGGGGAGAAGGGTGAGGGAATGTTAGAGTGACCTTTCTTCTTCTGTCATTTTCTCAAATTTTTTTAACTTAAAATATTCAATATGCCAAGATGCCATTTTTTAGAGTAGTGTGTCCTGAACCCCATGAGAAGCAAAAGTATGTCTGTCCCAGTTAAGTAAATTTGCTAACTCTGGTATCAATTCAGTATATTAGCCTTTAATTTAAAGGAGTATTGTGTAAAGCAAAAAACAATTCAAAATTTATCAATATGAATAAAGTATTCTTTCAATTTTTTCCTGTATCCACATTTGGAGTGTCGATTAGCCACGTGTGACTAGTGGCCATATTGAACAATGCGGTTCTAGAACTAATCTTTCAGTTCATCTGAGGGTCCAGGCTTTTCTTGCCTCAGGTCCTTCTCACACAGTTTTTTTTTTTGTTTTTTGTTTTTTGTTTCTTCTTCTGGAAAATTATTTCTCCATTTCTCTCCTAGGTTAACTCTTAACTCTCCCTGGACACAGCTTAAATGGGATTTTCTTAGAGAGGCTTTCCCTGATTCCCAAATCTAACTTGGGAATCCTGTTCTACTTTCTCAGAAGATCTTATACATTTTCTTTCTAACCCTTACCACAGTTGGACATAATGCTTTCAATGTACAATTGGTCATTTAATATTATCACAGTGGAAGCTCCATAATGACAGGGGCTCTGTCTGTTTTGCTTACCACTGAATATCTTGTCCCTTGTATAGTGCTCAGCACATACAGATACTAAGTAAGTAGCCTTTCAACAAATGAATCAGAGAAAGAGAAAAGACTGGATTATAAGGTCTTTGAGGAAGTTGCTTTCTGACCTGCAAAAATAAAGCTGCAAATCATCTGATTTATGGGATTTGGTCATCCGAGTATGTTGACAATGAATTGGAATGGGTTTTAGTAATATATTGGGGTAACTTGGGATAAATCAAGCAAAGTTGAAATGTATATAGTGAGGGTAATATAGCCACAAGTTAATTACTCTAACAATTATTGTCTCTAAAATGAAGGATATGAATTAGCTGATCTACAAGAGTCTTCCATGATCTTTGACTGATCTTTTTGACATGAGTTAAAGGAACTGGAGTAGAAATTAATTATAATCTTATATTGATAGTAAGGGAATAAAAATTTCCCTTTCACCTTATAAATTCCCTTATTAATAAAAATGGAATTATTATTCAATTATGACCAATACAAAAATATGCACAGTTTTATAGATTGTCACAAAGTGAATATATTCATGTAACCACACCCAGGTCAAGAAATAGAACATTAAGCAATACCATCAAGAAACTGAAAAGACAACCCACAGAATAATAAAAAATATTTGCAAATAATTTATCTGATAAGAAACTTGTATCCCAAATATATTAATGTAAAGAAGTCTTACAACTAAATAATAAAAAGACAGCTCAATTAAAATATGGGCAAAGAAATTAATGTTTCTTCAAAGAAGATATACAAATGGCAAATAAGCCAATAAAAGATGCTCAACATCATTAGTCATTAGGGAAGTACAAATCAAAACCATAATGAGGCTGGGCACAGTGGCTCACACCTGTAATCCCAGCACTTTGCGTGGGTGAGGTAGGAGGATCACTTGAGCCCAGGAGTTCGAAACCAGCCTGGGCAAAATAAGGAGACCCTATCTCTACAAAACAAACAAAAACAAAACATAAAGCTATGATGAAATACCACTATACTCCCACTAGAATGGCTATAATTTTTAAAAAGTAGACAAAAACAAGTGTAAGTGAGGATGTGGAGAAATTGGCCCTAATACATTGTTGGTGGGAATGTAAAATGATGCGGCCACTTTGGAAAAAAGTTTGGCAGTTTCTCAAAAAGTTTAACATAAGTTACCATATGATACAGCAATTATACTCCTGGTCATAAATTCAAAAGATATGAAAACATGTGTCCACACAAAATCTTGTACATGAATGGTCATAGCAGTGATGCTGAGGGTAAACCTGACTAAGCTTGTCAAACTTTAACCTGCTTTGTTTGCTTTTAGCTTTTTATTTTTAATTACTAACTCTAAATGTCACATAGCTAAGCAATGTATTACAATACACCCTTCAGTTTATTTATAGTTAACATATCTGATGTGTAGGTCACAATGGTAATGGGTGCCAAAGTTGTTTTTTCAGGAACTTAGAGTCAGCTCTTGTCCAGTTCAAACTGGGTGAGACCACCGACCCTTCAACTGGCTCTGAATGAATGTCCAATGGGTGACCATTTGATGGCAGAGGGCTGAGAGCGTCACTCTCAGATCATGCTAATGCCATGGATTTTTTTTTTTTAACATGAGTCCTATGAAGAGCCATGAAGTTGACTGAACTTGTGCAGAACGCTAATTACCTTACTTTTCCTTAACCCCAATCACCTTCCCCCACATCTCAGACCACTTTTCTCTTTTATCCTATGAATATCCCTAAACTCCATTTTCAGGGAGAGAGATTTAAGACCTGTTCTCCCATCTCCTTGCTTGACTGCCACATGAATAAACCCTTTCTTTGCTACAAAACTCATTATCTCAGTGTTAGCCATACTTCAAGGTGGGCAAAACGGGCTGGGTTTGGTAACAGCAGCAGTATTCATAGTAGCTAAAAAGTGAAAATAATCCAAATGTCTATCATCTGATGAATGGATCAATAAAATATGGTATATCCATACAATGGAATATTATTCTGCAATAAAAAGAAATGAAGTGCTGATATATGCTACAACGTAGATGAACCTCAACATTATGCCAAGTGGAAGAAGTAAGTCACCAAAGGTGACATATTATTCCATTTGTATTAAATGTCCAGAATAGACAAGTCCATAGAAATACAAAGTAGATCAGCAGTTGCTTAGAGCTGGTTGGGGAGGAGTGGTGGGGAATAGGAAGTGACAGCTACTGGGCACCAGGTTTCTTTTAGGGAGGACAAAAATGTATATATATTTAGAGATAGGGTCTCCTCTGTTGTCCAGGTTGGAGTGTAGTGGCAAGATCAAGGGTCACTGCAGCCTCAACTTCCTGGGCTCAAGCAGTCCTTTCATGTAAGCCCCCAAAGTAGCTGGGACTACAAGTGTGCACCACCAAGCCTGGCTAATTTGTTTTGAATTTCAGTAGAGACAAGGTCTTGCTATGTTACCCAGGCTGGTCTCAAACTCCTGAGCTCAAGGGATCTTCCTGCCTCAGCCTCTCAAAATGCTGAGATTACAGGCATGAGCCACTGCACCCAGCCAAGAAAATGTTCTAAAGTGAGATTAAGTGAGGTTGTGATGATGTTTGCACAACCCTATGAATATGCTGAAAAATACTGAATTGTCCACTTTGAATATATGAATTGTATGGCATGTGAATTATATATTATAAAGCTGTTAAAAGAAAAAGTAATCGTGCGTTGCCAGCATCCAAAAAGTAACTCTGTCGTAGATTGGGTTCCCTGGAAGCTGAATCTCAGATGGTGATTCTTGTGCAAGGTGTTTTGTGATGGAATACTCACAGGAGAAGGTGAGTGAAAAAAGCAGGAAAAAGCTAAGTGTAGTCATAGCTAAGGACCAGCCTCAGCCTCATCAGATGGTGAACTATGGAGAATGAATGGCAAGCACCACAGTGTGGTTCCATATGGAGGCAAAGAGGTTGATCGTTTTTTTATATCCGTGTCAGTCAACAGACAATTGTCAGCTGTGAGCTGCCTCCTTTGCTCATGTCTGTGTGTGTGTGTGTGTGTGTGTGTGTGTGTGTATGTTTGAGTGTAAAAACCTCCTTGGTAAGTCAGTTCTCTCCTGACCAAAAATGATCCTGGAAGGTGGCAGCTGTGACCTATTAGCAACTCAGAATCACTACAGCTAGAGGACTGATGCCCCATCCAGTTTCAGGGCATCTGGGAAGGGCACCAACAGTGTCCACTACATCCCCTCATGTTCTGTTTCGTTTTTACAGTCTTGATCCTCCACAGTTCCTCCCTTTGGCTGGACTGTCACTTCAGCATATGATTTATGGACAACCTGATTTATCTGTGTTTTTACCTCTTAGAAAACTCTGTGCTTCACAGTGGGGCTATTATGTGTCTGTTCTATGTCAAATACTGTGTTAGATAAACGCCAGTCTTCAATGAAAATGAATAGCACAGGTCTATTTACTTAGCATTAGCATAGGTTATTTCAGACATTATTTGCCTCCAGGAAAACCAAAAAAGCCATAAAAGCAGAGAGCATGAAGGCAGGAAATTAAAAAAAAAATTCTGACAGAAGAATGCTGAAACCTAGATACAGAATCTCCTACTTTCCTCATCAATGTTCCTGATGAAAACATTTCTGTGGTGGTAGGAATGTTCACCAGGAAACTTGGGGTTTATAAGAAGCCAAAAGAGTTTCTTGATGTTGAACTGGCCAATGTTCCTGAGCTTGTTAACAAGCCCCGAGACAGAACTGGCTCCAGGAAAGTTGCGGGGGAAAAAGTATTTTCTTTAAGTTTAAGGAGAAAACTAGGGTTAGATTGTGTATTAATTTTTCATTGCTGCATAACAAAATACCACAATCACAATGGCTTAAAACGACCCACATTTATTATTTCCCAGTTTCCGTGGGTCAGGAGTCCAGGTACTACCTAGCTAAGTTCTCTTCTTAGAGTCTCACTGGGCTGCATAGGTGCCAGCTGGGGCTTCAGTCTCATCTGGAACTTGGGTCCTATTCCAAGCTCTTGTAAATTGTTGGCAGAATTCAGGACTTTTTGGTTGCAGGACTGAGTCCCTTAGCTTCTTAGTAGCTGTCAGCTGGAGACTGCCTTCAGTTTCTAGAGGCCTCCCACAGTTTCCTGCCACATGGCCCTCTCCACAGGCAGTTTGCAACACCACTGTTTGCACCTTCAAGGCCAGCAGGAGAGTGTCTCTCCCCAGTCTGCTAAGAGGGAATCTTACGTAAGGTAAGGTCATCTTATATAAGGAATCTTATATAAGCTAGTCAGTCATGAGAGCGACATCTTGGCACATTTTTCATATTTAGTTGATTGGAAGCAATTCACAATTCCCACCCACACTCAAGGGGTTAGCGGGAATTATACAAGGGTGTGACTCATTGGGAGTTACCTTAGGATGTGTCTGACACAAATAGAAACTGTTTCTTTGGCTCATTTGAAAATTTCCTTAAATATCTATTATCTTTAAAAATAGCTTAATGGGTTTTTTTTTGCTTTTAAAATAAAAAACTCTTTTTTGGTAAAAAGATTATTGAATATGATTATTTATCTCACTTTGAATACTCGTGGGCTACTGGGGAGTCCTACATAGTCTGGCTTCCTGGTACCTGCTGTTCCCCCTGCCTAAAGAGCTCTTATATCAGATATCAGTGCACCATGGTTCTAGGCACATAGTAGGTGCTCAATAAATGTAGTTTGACTAAATGAAGAAATGCATGAAAAAGGGTGTTTTCTTTGCATACAGCAGACACTTGAACTTTTTTTTATACCAAAGAGCTTATCTTAAGTGTATGGTCTCAGCCTACCTTCTCTGCCAATGGAGGATTCAAGAGGAAACAAATAGCCTTTTCAGTACAAAAGTGACAGTAGCATCAAAAGCTATAACTTAGCTGTAGTTTATGGCATGCACAATGAGATTCAAGGTCAGCTATTCATTCTTCTAAAAAATTAAGTAACATTTGGCTTACAAAAGCATAGGCAATATAAGTGCCCAGAGTATTACCTCTCTGAATCACTGCTTCTTGGATTAAGAGCACTATATGGTTTGTATCAGATTGATTGTTGATTGAACGTGATGTGCACGTATGAGTACAGTCCTAGTGGGGCCAACCCAAAGCATAGATGAGCTTCTCAAGCCAGTGAGCACATTTCCGTTATTACTCAAGGGAAAATATATTTGAAGTCAGTTAACTTTTAGCTCTTGTGGAAAGGATGGCCAGCGTGAGTGAAAAAAAATTTATCATAAAGTATCATCTGACTCTTCTAAAGACAATATCCAAGAGTTTTATTATTCATAGTATCTCACTATGAGTGAGACAAAGTAATGGGTCATTCAAGTATCTATTTTGATGAGTTGCTGCTTGGTAAGAAAATTTCATATGTTCATGATTGTGATGGTTAATTTTATGTGGCAACTTGACTGGGCCACTGGGTGCTCAAATATCTAGTCAAACATTATCATAGGTGTGTCTGTAAGGGTATTCTTGGATGAGACTGACATTTGAATTGGTACACTGAGTAAAACAAATTGCTCTCCCTAATGTGAGTGGTCCTTACCCAGTCAGTTGAAGGCTTGAATAGAAAAAAAGGGCCCTAATCTTCCTTTTAATAAGAGGGAATTCTTCCTGCTTGACTGCTTTGAGCTGGGATATCAGTCTATCCTAGTCTTCCAACTTGAACTGGAATATTTGCTCTTCTTGGATGTTGAGCCTCCCAGCTTTCAGACTTGAACTACAGTATTAACTCATCCAGTTCTTGGGCCTTTGGATTCAGACTAGAACTATACATTGACTCTCTTGGGTCTCCAGCTTGGTGACTGCAGGTCTTGGGATTTCTCAGCCTCTGCAATCATGTGAGCCAATTTCCTTGCTTCCTAAATTCTCTTCCAGTGGCAGTTCCAAACTTTACAACTTCTTTAAAGCTCCTAAACTAATTTTGCTCAATTTCAGACAATGAACTAGGACACAGATTCAATGAACTTGAAGTCTTGAGTCTTGACCCAACTGACATCCCTTGGCGCCCCTTGTCTGAAGGTCACAGCACCTGTCAGATAGCCCTTTCCATACAGTTTGTGTTCTCTCTCTTCTAATAACGGTTTCATCCTCATTATTTCAGGCTAGGAGTGGGAAACTGGGCTCAGTTGTTGAGTCATGGGTTGCTACACCATTCCTTGTGTAATTTTCCTGCTCTCCACTCACATCTTCATATACAGTCTCTTTTAAAAAAAAAAAACTTCATATTTTGAAATAATTATAGACTCATAACAAGTTACAAAAATAGTACAGAGAGGTTCTAAGTACCCTTCACTCAGCTTCCTCCAATGATAACATCTTATATACCTAAGAGTACATTATCAAAATAATGAAATTGACATTGGCACAATACTATTGACTAGATTACAGACCTTACCCAGATTTCACCAGTTTTCACATGCCCTCTTTTTTTTGTAGTATAGTCAGATAAACCTTTATCACATGTGTAGATTCACAGAACCACTACCACAATCAAGATAACAATGGTTCCATCTGTATACAATCTCTTTATTAAACTCCTTTCAAATTACCCAGTTTGAGCATGCTCTCTGTTTCTTGCCAGCCCACCTATTGATGCACTCTTAAAAGATTTTTGACATTCTTAGAGTGAGGGTCTTGTATTTAAGGATGAGGGCCAAGAAGACAGCAAGCCTCAGACAGAGAAGGGTGCAAAGTGGCAGCTACAAAGTAAAAATGGCAGTTGGGCCACTCTTGGCAAAGAATATCTGAGACAGATTCCAGAATGATATGAGATAATCTGAAGGTTTTATTTTATAGCAGTTGTTCTCAAGCCTAACTGTGCATCAGAATCATCCAGAGAGCATTAAAAATAAAACAAAAAACAATCAATCCAACAAATGAACAAAAAAACAAAACAATAACAGAGACTTGGGCCCCATCCCCAGAGGTTCTGATTTATTTAGTTCAGAGCGGAGTCCAAGGATGGAAACTTTTTGCAAGTTCCTTAGATGATTCTAACATACAGCCAAGGTTGTGAGCCAGTGTTTTATAGCATCTGGGTTTTGTGTCTTAACTACAAAAGCCATTCCTACTCAAGATTGTATTTTTATAAAAGACAACTTCCAGCTTTCCTGCATATTTGCTTTACTTTTTATTACATTTAATTTTTAATACATCGTCAATTTATTTTTGTTGTAGGGAGTGAGAAATGAATTAATTGTATTTTCCCCCAAACAGGAGCTTTGTTGTTCTAGTATCATTTATTGAACAATCCATATTCTCTCCACTGATATAAAATATTACCCTTATGATTTACTAAATTCCTAAATCATTTGACTCTGTTTCTATATTATATTTTGTTGCATTGATCTATCTTTCTATTAAGTTTCAGAATCGAACTATTTTCATTGCAGTCACTTTATAATGCTTTAATTTCTGATGGTAGGGAAAATGGATATTTTTAAGGTATTGAATCTTTCCATTAAAAAAATAGATACTTCTTTAAGTTGATTCCAAGTTTTTGTGCTCTGGAGTTTTAAATTTTTCTCCATATAGATTATGAAACTATAAGTAAGTTTCAAAAATATTTTTCAAGAAATGGATAATGGGGTTCAGGACATACCACTCCAAAATATGGCACCTTGGCTTATTGAATATTTTGATTTGAAGGAATTTGAGAAAATGGCAGAAATAGAAAGGGCTTTCTGACTCTTTCCTGCCTTTCTCCATTACAGCAGGTCATAAAACCTAGGAAGGATTTTCTGACCTTCCCCTGAAGCAGGTCATAAGACTCTCAGATGAGATATGCCTGCATTATGCACAGAGGAAAGGAGCATCCTTATCTCTGAAGACACAGAAAAGAATTTGAACAAACAGGCCTTGCTTGGTTTCCCCCAATTTATAATATTTATCGCACTCTCTCCACCCTTTGTTGTATCATATTTCTTCATGACTCTTAATTCTTCATCAAATCTACTATAAAAACACTCGGGTTTAACTCTTTCTTCAGGTATTTATTTCCTTATGAAGGCTCCTGTGTCACATCAAACTTATATTAAATAAATTTCTATGCTTTTCTCTTAATCTTTTTATTTTTTATTTATTTATTTATTTTGTTACAGGGGCCCCAGCAATGAACCTAAGATGGGTAGAAGGAAAGGTATTTTCCTCCTCTATGTGATATAACTCCCAATCCACTAAAATTAATTTTGAGCCAGAGGCAGCAAAATAAATAAATAAATAAATAAATTAGCCTATGTAACTTTATCCTTGATCATAAATGATAAAAATAAATATTTGTCTTGTGTAATTTCTTATGGAAATAAAATGCTTCTTTATTTGACATGATTAGCAAATGTGTGCTACTTTATCAAGAATCCTGGCATGTTACACGTGGAGTAGTAATTTTCAAAACCTATAACCTAATAAAATACTAGTGACTAAAACAGTAAAGTAAAATGTATTTTTTTAAGAGTCAGAAGGTACGTGTCTTTATAATAAGAACAGTGTACTGTAGCTGCTAATGGAAAATGTAGATGAATGAAGGCTAGATAAAAAACGACTTTTCAGAAAACAAGTACTCCCCACAATTACTCGGGTTAGAAGGTGCTCATTTTTACCCATTTTATTCCTGCAAGTTAAAAGTCCTATAGTCAGAATAGCCAGTCATGAGATACAGAGAAACTTGAATTTCTAAAATGAATGATGAGATGAATCCATATCAAGACATAAGTGCTCAAATTTTTTTTTTTTTTTTTTTGAGACGGAGTTTTGCTCTTGTTGCCCAGGCTGGAGTGCAATGGTGCAATCTCAGCTCACCGCAACCTTCGCCTCCCAGGTTCAAGCAATTCTCCTGCCTCAGCCTCCGAAGTAGCTGGGATTACAGACATGTGCCACCATGCCTGGCTAATTTTTTTTGTAGTTTTAGTAGAGACGGGGTTTCTCCATGTTGGTCAGGCTGGTCTCGAACTCCTGACCTCAGATGATCCACCCACCTCGGCCTCCCAAAGTGCTGGGATTACAGGCGTGAGCCACTGTGCCCGGCCTTTTTTTTGTTTGTTTGTTTTTGTTTTGTTTTTTTGAGACGGAGTCTCGCTCTGTCACCCAGGCTGGAGTGCAGTGGCGCAATCTCAGCTCACTGCAACCTCCGCCTCCTAGGTTCACGCCATTCTCCTGCCTCAGCCTCCTGAGTAGCTGGGACTACAGGCGCCCGCCACCACGCCTGGCTAATTTTTTGTATTTTTAGTAGAGATGGGGTTTCACTGTGTTAGCCAGGATGGTCTCGATCTCCTGACCTCGTGATCCGCCCGCCTCGGCCTCCCAAAGTGCTGGGATTACAGGCATGAGCCAACGTGCCCGGCCTAAGTGCTCCAATATTTTTTAAAGTTTTAAATATTTACTGACCAATTCAAATCCATTTGCTGAAAGTCCTTCCTCCTTATCCTGTGTCAGCTAAAGGCTTTCGGTTAATGGATACTATTTGTGGTTTCATCAGTTAATGGATACTATTTGTGGTTTCACAAAGAGTTAACATCTTTAAGGTATGTGGTGAAAATTCTGGAATAGGAAGACGGGAAACACTCACATAAGCTTTAGAAATTTTACTTGGATATTGTCTTAGTCTGTTTTCTGCTGCTGTAACTGAATATCTAAGACTGAGTAGTTTATTTTTTTAAAACAAAAGAAAATTATTTTGGACAGTTTTGGAGGCTGGGAAGACAAAAGGCATGGTGGCAGTTTCTGGCAAGGGCTTTCATATTGCATCGTAACATGGTGGAAAAGTGAAAGGGCAAGCGAGTGTGTGTGAAAGAGACAAAACATGAGGGCAGGCTCACTTTATAACAACCCACTCTTGAAGTAACCAACCAATCCCATCCTGAGAGAGTGAGAACTCACTCCCTCAAAAATTAACCCAATCTCATGAGAGTGATATTTATCCATCTTAATGACTTAATCACCTCTTAAAAGCCCCACGTCTTACTACTGTTACATTAGGGATTAAGTTTCAAGATGGGTTTTGGAGGGTACAAACATTCAAACCATAGCAGATATGCATATGACAAATAGTGGCACATTAAAATTATGAAGAAACTGCAGCCATGACTAAGCAATGCTTTTTATGTAACATAGGAAAAACAAAAGTATTCATGGCTACTATGTGTGTGCATACATATGAATGTATGTTTTATGTACTGAGTATATATATATATATGCATGTATCTGTGCGTTAATACATATGTATATTTCTATATATAATGTCTGTAATTAGCTTAGACTATTCTTTTGGACATAAATAAGCAGGGTGAATCTTGGAATAACATTTGTGGAGCTACACCACTAACAAATATTGGCATATCTGACTGCAGAAATTAGACTTTAAACAACTTTTGTTAGTATTAGTAACAGTTATTAGTTATTAGTAAGTACAACACTATTGAAGTCATATTGTTTTGGCTTTCTTTGACTTGTAAGCTACTTACATAAAAGTGGGTTGGTTTGCACGTTCTCACTCGTAGGTAGGAGTTGAACAATGGGAACATATGGACACAGGGTGGGGAACATCACACACCAGGGCCTATTGGGGGGTGGGGGCCTGGGGGAGGGATGGCATTAGGAGAAATACCCAATGTAAGTGACGAGTTGATAGATGCAGAAAACCAATATGGCACATGTATACCTATGTAACAAACCTGCATGTTGTGCACATGTACCCTAGAACTTAGAGTATAATAAAAAAAGAAATTGAAAAAAAAAGTGGGTTGGTTCACTGTATGTAAATATGCTTTCTTCAAAACAACAGTGTTTTATCCCCATTGTAAATAAGACAGCAGCCTCCTTTCTCTTTTTAAACAATGCAGTTGTTTGCTTACTTTTGAATATCTAATTGTAAGGTCCTGGAAACTGGCCTATGTGATTTAGAAAGCAAAGACAGACCACTGAAACCTTGCTTCTGCTCTTAGGCAATGCCTGTGGCACATCAGCAACTTTTCCCTCTTCCTCTAAGATAGAGCCAATTGTTGTTCACACTTGTTTGCTGGGCAAGCAAATCAACTGATCGATCCTCCTGTGTGTCAAATAGTATCAGTAGAGTACTGAAGTGTTCAAACCAGCACACACTTGCCTTCTATGTGAATAGCAGGATTGATTCCTAGGGAGTGTTTAATTTAGTATTTTGAGAGTATGTATTTGCATTTTGACCACTAAATAAGTTATTTATAACTATGCAAATATTATATGATTAGACTTGGTTTTAAATTTGTAATACTTTCATAACACTAAAAATATTTATTAAGATAATCTTTATGAATCAAGTATTTTTATATTTCCAGTAAGAGGATAAAAATACCTTTTCATATTTATATTTGAGTATCTGTGACACTACTGTTTTCTTTGTACCAATTTGGAGATTCCAGAAACCTGACATAATTTAAAGAGCTTTCATCCTTTTAATTTTCTTCAAACAAATCAAACTCAAGAGATGAAAGAATACAGGAAATGTTTCTGTGAAACTATACATAGGAAAAAGGCCATTTAAGTTTTCTTTCTGTCAAACATTATGTGTGGATTGAAGGTGTTATGAATGTAAAATGGAAAGTTAATTTTTCTTCCTGGTGTATAAGAGCAGGACTGGCTAAATTATGGCAATGCAGAGTCCTTTGTTTAAAATTATGATTATTATTGGCTTAAACAACAGAAATTTATTTTCTAACAGTTTTGGTTCCAGGAAGCTCCAGATCAAGGTGCCAGCAGGGTTGGTTTCCTCTGAGACTTCTATACTTGATTTATAGATGGCTACCCTGTTCACATGGTCATCCCTCTGTGCATGCAGGCCCCTTTTTATAAGGACACCAGTCATATTGGATTCGGGCCCCACCCTAGTAAAAAAAATAAATTTAGGAGGTACAAGTGTAGTTTTGTTACATGAATATACTGTGTAGTGGTGAAATCTGGCCTTTTAATGTAACAATCACCTGAATAGTATATACAATATATCCATTAGGTAATTTCTCATTTCTCACCCCTCTCCTACACTCTCACCTTCTGGAGTTTCCAGTGTCTATTATTCCACTCTGTATGTCCATGTGTATCCATTGTTTAGCTCTCACTTGTAAGTGAAAACATGCAGTTTTTTAAAGTTTTAATTTTTAAAATTTTAATTTTTGTGGCTACATAGGTGTATTTATTTCTGGGGTACATGAGATACTTTGATACAGGCATGCAATGCATAATAATCACATCATGTAGAATGGGGTATCCTTCCCCTCAAGCATCCTCCTTAGTGTTAAAGCAATCCAATTATACTTTTTTAGTCATTTTTAAATGTACAATTAAATTACTATTGACTATAGTCACCCTGTTGTGCTGTCAAATAGTAGGTCTCATTCATTCTAACTATTTTTTGTACCCATTAACCATTGCCACCACCCCCCAATTCCCCATTACCCTTTCCAGCTGCTAGTATCCATCCTTCTACTCTCTATGTCCATGAGTTCAGTTGTTTTGATTTTTAAATCCTACAAATAAGTGAGAACATGTGATGTTTGTCTTTCTGTGCCTGGCTTATTTCACTTAACATATTGATCTCCAGTTCCATCCATTTTGTTGCAAGTGACAGGATCGCATTCTTTTTTATGGGCAAATATTACTCCATTGTGTATAAGCACCAAATTTTCTTTATCTATTTATCTGTTGATGGACACTTAGGTTGCTTCCAAATCTTGGCTATTGTGAACAGAGCTGTAACAAATGTGGGAGTGCAGATATCTCTTCAATAAACTGATATCCTTTTTTTGGGGGGTATATACTCAGCAGAGGGATTGCTGGGTCATACGGTAGGTCTATTTTCAGTTTTATGAGGAATCTCCAAACTATTCTCCGTAGTGGTTGTACTAATCTACATTCCCACCAACAGTGTATGAGGGTTCCCTTTTATCCACATCCTTGCCGTCATTTGCTATTGCCTGTCTATGGATGTAAGCCATTTTAACTTGAGTGAAATAATATCTCATTGTAGTTTTGATTTGCATTTCTCTGATGATCAATGTTATTGAGCACCTTTTCATATGCCTGTTTGCCATTGGTATGTCTTCCTTGGAGAAGTCTATTCTTGTGAAATGTCTATTCAAATGTTTTGCCCATTTTTTGATGGGATTATTAGATTTTTTCCTATAGAGTTGTTTGAACTCCTTATATATTCTGGTTATTAATCCTTTGTCAGATGGGTACTTTGCAAATATTTTCTCCCATTCTGTGGGTTGTCTGTTGACTTTGTTCATTGTTTCCTTTGCTGTGCAAAAGCTTTTTAATCTGATGTGACCCTATTTGTCCTTTTTTTTTTTTTTTGATTGCCTGTGCTCACGGGGTGTTACTCAAGAAATTTTTGCCCAGACCAGTGTTCTGGAGAGTTTTCTCAATGTTTACTTGTAGTAGTTTCATAGTTTGAGGTCTTAGATTTAAGTATTTAATCTATTTTTATTTGATTTTTGTATATGGTGAGAGATAGGGTTTAGTTTCACTCTTCTGCATATGGATATCCAGCTTTCCCAGCACCATATATTGAAGAGACTATCTTTTACCCAGTGTATGTTCTTGGCATCTTTGTCAAAAATTAGTTCACTGTAGGTGTGTGGATTTGTTTCTGAGTTCTCTATTGTTTCATTGGTCTGTGTGTCTGTTTTTATTCCAGTAGCATGCTGTTTTGTATTCTCCCCTCTTTTTTTTTTTTTCTTCCTACAATAGCTTTGGCCATTCTGGGTCTTTTGTGGTTCCATATAAATTTCAGGATTATTTTTTTCGTTCTGTGAAGAACATCTTTGGTATTTTGATAGGGATAGCATTGAATCTGTAGATTGCTTTGGGTAGTACAGGCATTTTAACAATATCGATTCTTCCAAACCATGAACATGGAACATATTTCCAATTTTTGGTTTCTTCTTCAATTCCTTTCATCAGTGTTTTATAGTTTTAATTATAGAGAACTTTTACATCTTAGGTTAATTCCTACGTATCTAATTTTATTTGTGGCTATTTTAAATGGGATTACTTTTTAAAATTTCTTTTTCAGATTGTTCACTGTTGGCATATAGAAATGCTACTGATTTTTGTATGTTGGTTTTGTATTCTGCAACTTTACTGAATTTTTTTATCAGTTCTAATAGTTTTTTGGTGGAGTCTAGGTTTTTCCAAATATAAGATCATATCATTGGCAAACAAGGGTCATTTGACTTTTTTCTTTCCAATTTGGATGCCCTTTATTTATTTCTCTTATCTCTTTGCTCTAGCCAGGACTTCCAGTGCTATGTTGAATAATAGTGGTGAAAGTGGGCATCCTTGTCATGTTACACATCTTAGAGGAAAGGCTTTCAGTTTTTCCCCATTCAGTATGATATGAGCTATGGGTCTGTCATATATGGCTTTTACTATGTTGAGGTGTGTTCCTTCCCTACCTAGTTTTTTGAGAGTTTTTATCATGAGAGGATGTTAAATTTTATCAAATGATTTTTAGCATCAATTGAAATGATCATATGGTTTTTGTCCTTCATCCTGTTGATATGATGTATCACATTGATTTGTGTATGTTGAACCATCCTTGCATCCCTGGGATAAATCCAACTTGGTCATGAGGAATGATTTTTTTAGTGTATTTTTGAATTTGGTTTGCTAGTATTTTGTTGAGGATTTTTGTATCAGTATTCATCAGAGATATTAGCCTGTAGTTTTCTACAGGCTAACATCTCTGTATACGTCTGTCTGTCTGGTTTTGATATCTGGCCTTATAGAATGAGTTTAGAAGTATTCCCTCCTCATCTATTTTTCAGAACAGTTTGAGTAGGATTGGTATGAGTTATTCTCTAAATGTTTGGTAGAATTCAGCAGTGAAGCCATTGGGTCCTGGGCTTTTCTTTACTGGGAGCCTTTTTTATGGCTTTGATCTTGTTACTTGTTATTGGTCTGTTCAAGTTTTGGATTTCTTCCTGGTTCAATATTGATAGGCTGTAAAAAAGGGGACATTACAACTGAAACAGCAGAAATTCAAAGGATCATTAGTGGCTACTATGAGCAACTATATGCCAACAAGTTGGAAAATCTAGAAGATCAGAGATTTTATTTATTTGGGTCTTCTCAGTTTTTTTCTTAGGCTAAAGGTTTGTCAATTTTGCTTAATTTTTCAAAAAAACAACTTTTTGTTTCATTGATCTTTTCTATTGTTTTCTTCATTTCAATTTCATTCATTTCTGCTTTGATATTTATTATTTCTTTTTTTCTACTAATATTGGATTTGGTTTGCTCTTGCTTTTCTAGTTCTTTAACATGCATCATTATATTGTTTATTTGAATATTTTCTTCTTTTTTGATGTAGGCAATTATACCTATAAACTTCCCTCTTAGTACTGCTTTTGCTGCATACCATAGGTTTTTGTCTATTGTGTTTCTGTTATCATTTGTTTCAAGAAATGTTTCCATTTTATTCTTAATTTTGTCATTGACCCACTGGTCATGCAGCAGCATGTTGTTTAATTTCCATGTATTTGTGTGGTTTCCAAAATTCCTCTTGTTATCAATTTCTAGTTTTATTCCATTATGGTCAGAGAAGATGCTTGATATTCTTTTAATTGTTTTGAATATTTTAAGACTTGTTTTGTGACATAACATATGATCTGTCCTTGAGAATGATCCATGTACTGAGGAGAAGAAGGTGAATTCTGCAGCCATTGGATGAAATGTTTTATAAATACTTATTAGGTTCATTTGGTCTATAGTGCAGATTAAGTTTGATGTTTCTTTGTTGATTTTCTGTCTGGAAGAGCAGTCCAATGCTGAAAGTAGAGTGTTGAAGTCTCTAGCTATTATTGTATTGGAGTCTATATCTATCTTCAGCTCTAATAATATTTGCTTTATATATCTGGTTGTTCCAGTGTCAGGTACATATACATTTTAAATTGTTATATTCTCTTGAGGATATAATTGAGGTTTTTGTGATTACTTTTAATGGCAAAAACCGCAATTACTTTTGCACCAACCTACTACACGTGTAACTCAACTGAATCCTTCCAGGCAATACCTTAGTTTTGGCTTTCTTCATTTCTGAACCTCATTACTTTATGTT
This sequence comes from Homo sapiens, assembly GCF_000001405.40. Taxonomy (NCBI): domain Eukaryota; kingdom Metazoa; phylum Chordata; class Mammalia; order Primates; family Hominidae; genus Homo; species Homo sapiens. The sequence continues at coordinate 16,073,250 of NC_000023.11, forward strand.
TTTGTTTCTAATTTTCTCCCCATCTTCAGTATTACTTTTTACTCCCAATCAACACCCCTGTAGGGGTTGAATAGTGTCCCCCCAAAATTTATATCCACCTGGAACTTCAGAATGTGACCTCATTTGGAAATGAGGTTTTGCACATGTAAGTAGTTAGGATCATGAGATTATATTATACTGGATTTTGGGTGGGTCTTAAGTCCAATGACTGGTGTCTTTATAAGAGGATATAGAAACACAGAGAAGATAATGTGAAGATGGAGGCAGAGGTTGAAGTGATACGTCTACAAGCCAAGGAATGCTGGGAGCCACCAGAAGCTGGAAGAGACAAGGAAGGATTTTCTCCTAGAACCTTTGGAGTGAGTGTGGCCCTGTTGTCATCTTGGTTTTGGACTTTTGGTCTTTAGAATTGTGAGACAATGAATTTGTTTTAAACCACCAAGTTTGTGGTAATTTGTTACGGCAGCCCTAGGAAACTAATATGACCACTACACACACACAATTGATCCCACACTGCAGCAAAGTTCTGTCTTTCTTTTTCTTTCTTCTTTCTTTCTTTCTCTTTTTTCTTTCTTTCTTTCTTTTTTCTTCCTTCCTTCCTTCCTTCCTTCTTCCTTTCTTTCTCTTTTTCTTCTTCCTTTTCTGTTTTGTGTATGTGTGTATTTGTTTTTATTTTTTATGACAAAACATATTTAAAACATATTCAAAAGAAGACAGAATGTATAATGAACCTCCATGTACCTATTTCCCCAGCTTCAACAGTTATCAACTCATGACCAATCTTGTTTCATCTCTACTTCCACCAGCTTCCCCTATCTACTGTCTTATTTTGAAGCTGATCACAGACATTGTATCCTTACATCCATAAACATTTCAGAATATATCTCTCAAAAGCAAAGACTCTTTTTGTTTTAAGTGAACTACAATAAAGGGCTGTCTTTCCAAGATGAAAAGTTCCTAGTATTATTCCTCTGCTTAAAAGATTTAATGTCTTCTCCGGTATAAAAAGTAATCTCATTAATTTGGCATTCACCGAGGCTTGGTTTTTGTTTTTGTTTTAGAATCTGAAATGGCCCTGTTTATCTCTCCAACCTCATGGTCCAACATTCTCCCTGTTCACATCATGTCCTAGATATTCTAAACTAGCAGATGAAACCATAAGAAATTATCATGTCTATAGACCAAAGTTGGTCAAACATTGGCAACTTCATATAATTCAACCTAATATAATTGACACTAGGCTCTCTTCTTTTTGGACTTGCTTCACCAGGTTCACACTTTGGTTTTTGGATTTTTCACATAGTGATGTAATTGTTTACCTGCCTATCTCTTCACCTAGTGGATAAACTCTCTGAAGGCAGGGATGAGGGCTTTTCTCTGTGTGTCTCCAGATTTCTGGTACAAGGCCAATGCTTAATAAATATTGTTAAAAAAAAATCAGTTACTTCATTTGCTACAGTCATCCACAAGGTCCCCCTGCCCCGATTCCATAGACAGTCTCTGAAGTTACATAATTCTGAAACTATCTATATACTCTTTTCTTTTTATCACTTAAAAAAGTATACAAGGAGGTAAAATATCATGTTGCTTTTCCTTTTCATTTTAGAAGATGAAACCTTTAAGTGCCCCCTCGGGGATGTTGCTTTTCTCTCCTGTGCTGCTGTCAGCTGCCCCTATATATAGCAGAGCATTGGCAATATGTTCTGTTCTAGGGGCTAAAATCTAGTGTCTTCATATAGTGGATTAGACTAGATAAGGAAAAATAAAGTTGAGTTTAGCTAACAGTGCAATAATTCTCCTGGTATTCATTTACTACTTTACAAGGGGAGAATCCAATTTGTGTGCAATTTTTCCTCGTTTTAAAAGTTATTTTTAAGATGAGCTCTCAATCATGAAAGATGAGTCATCTATTAGTTTATCTGTTTTGGTAAACCACTCTAAAACTTAGAGGTTTAAGACAACAATTTTATTTTGATTATGATTTAATAGGTCAGGAATTCAGATGGCTTAGATGGACAGCTCCTTTCTGCTCCATGTGTTCCTGGCTGAGGCAGAAAGCAGGTGGCAGTTGGAGAGCAGAGTTCTCTTCCAAGATGGCTTCTTCACTCACATATCTGATGTCTTAGGGCTCACTGAGCTCTTTCCATACATGTCTAATCCTTTGGGGCCTTTCCACATGGCTTGAGATTATCAGAGCATGTTTGGCTCAGGGTGGTCACACTTCTTACATGGCAGCTGGTTTCCAAGAGAGAAAGTAGACACTGTCAGGCCTCTTAAAGGGTTAAGTCTGGAATGGATACAGTTTCATTTCTGCTGCATTCTGTTGTTAAAGCAATTCCAGCCTAGCCCAGATCCAAGGGAGTGGAGAAATAGACTATATTTCTAAATGGAAACAGTGGACAAAATGTGTGTCCACTTTTAATTTGATACATCATCTTTCAGTTATTGTTTGGACATGGGAGGCCTGAATCACATATCTGGAGCTATTCATGAGTTTGTAATGAGGTCCTGCTGACCTTGGATCTTCTGGCTGTGTAATTATCTTATTCTGGTTTAACATCCTCACTGAGTTCACACAAATATTGAACATTTTGAAAATATTAACTAATGAAAATTCTATCACCTTTTATTTGGTGGTTGAAAATGCCAATGTTTTTATCTTGCAAAAACAATTTTTTTCCTCTCCCAGTACCCCAAAATATTCTCTGGAAGAAGGCTGGAAAATGACAATTTAAGTAGAAATGTTGATTTAAGGATACTAGTGTGATGAAATCTTGCAAGAAGCAAAATTCAGCGGAAGTCAGGTTCTTCTTGGGCCACATGTTTTACACACATACACATATACACGCATATATGTATATATTATATATATATATAACTCGGGTACAATGGGATGCTATGATAAATCTGTTTCATCTATGCGTTATTTTAATATATACCTTAGGCTTGTAGGTAAGCCTTAGGGGTGTTTCATATTGCATAGGATCAAGATAAAAGAGACTGTTTAATATTGACCTTTTTATATTTCTAGTAAAAGCAAAAATCGCTTGAAGTTAAGGCTGTTTACATCACAATCTGAGATACTGAGGGAGACTCGCCATGCCCACCTATTGCTCAGATATTTAACGTTTGGAATACTATTTAATATTTAAAAATGTTTTTCTATTTCTAATTATTTTTGACAACTGCAATCTCATTATAAGTTCATTCCTTCCATTTTGTCAGTATGATTACAACATCATGCCTCAGTTTAAACAGCTGTAGTCCATTGAGGGTTAGAACGTCAACATCCAAATATATATGTGTGTGTGTGTGTGTGTGTGTGTGTGTGTATGTAGAGAAAGTTTATTGTTTATGGTTTTCTTTGTTTTTTATTTTGAGTCCACTAAATCTTTAATAGATTAGTATCTACTTCTACTGCAGAGGAAAAAGCAGGATTTTTTTTGTCATTTACTTTTTCCACCATATTTTTATTTATGTCAATGGATGTCACTACCTTCAAAATGAACACATCCGAGTTTAGGTTGAACCAAAATTTATTTCATTATTTCATTTGCGAATTTATAAAAGCTTTCATGATATACCTTGAGGCAGCTGGAGAAACCTAAAAGGATTCTCGAATCCAGGACTAA